>NC_000023.11:61212416-61812416 GCF_000001405.40 Homo sapiens
AGCATTCTCGGAAACTACTTTGTGATGTTTGTATTCAACTCCCAGAGTTGAACTTTCCTTTTGAAAGAGCAGCTATGAAACACTCTTTTTCGAGAATCTGCAAGTGGACGTTTGGAGGGCTTTGAGGCCTGTGGTGGAAAAGGAAATATCTTCACATAAAAACTACATAGAAGCATTCTCAGAAACTACTTTGTGAGGATGGCATTCAACTCATGGAGTTGAACAGTCCTATTGATAGAGCAGATTGGAATCACTCTTTTTGTAGAATCTGCAAATGGAGATTTGGACTGCTTTGAGGCCTACGGTAGTATAGGAAGGAACTTCATATAAAAGGCAAACGGAAGCATTCTCAGAATATTCTTTGTGATGATGGAGTTTCACTCACAGAGCTGAACATGCCTTTTGATGGAGCAGTTTCCAAATACACTTTTGGTAGAATCTGCAGGTGGATATTTGGAGCTCTCTGAGGATTTCGTTGGAAACGGGAATAATTTCCCATAACTAAACACAAACACGCTGAGAAAGTTCTTCATGATGAATGCATTTAACTCGCAGAGATGAACCTGCCTTTGAGAGTTCAGGTTCGAAACACTCTTTCTGTGGAATCTGCAAGTGGATATTTGGACCACTGGCTGGCCTTCATTCCAAACGGGTATATGTTCACGTAAAAACTAAAGAGAAGCGTTCTCAGAAACTTCTGAGTGATGATTGCATTCAAGTCACACAGTTGAACCCTCCTTTTGATTGAGCAGTTTTGAAACTGTCTTTTTGTAGAATCTGTAAGTGGATGCGTGGACCTCTTTGAAGATTTCTTTGGAAACGGGAATATTTCCACAGAAAAACTAAACTGAAGCATTCTCAGAAACTGCTTTGTGATGTTTGTGTTCGAGTCACAGAGTTTAACATTGCTTTTCACAGAGCAGTTTTGAAATATTCTTTTGGCAGAATCTGCAAGTGGACATTTGGAGCGCATTCAGGCCTGTGGTGGAAAAGGCCTGAAAGCCTTTTCCTTTATCTTCACAGAAAGACGAGAGAGAAGCATTGTCAGAAACTTCTTTGTGATGATTGCATTCAACTCACAGAGTTGAAGATTCCTTTTGAAACAGCAGTTTCGAAACACTCTTTCTGTGGGATCCGCAAGGGGATATTTGGACCTCTTTGAAGATTTCGTTGCCAAACGGGATAATCTTCACTTAAAAGCAAAACGGAAGCATTCTCAGAAACTTCTTTGGGATGTTTGCATTCACCTCACAGAGTTGAACTTTCCCTTTGATAGCGCAGCTTCGACACACTTTTTCTACAATGTGCAAGTGGATATTTAGCGGGCTTGGAGGACTGTGTTGGAAAAGGAAATATCTTCTCCTAAAAACGACATAGAAGCATTCTCAGAAACTGCTCTGTGATGATTGCATTCAACTCCCAGAGTTGAACATTCCTTTTGATAGAGCAGTTTGCAAACACTCTTTTTGTAGAATCTGCAAGTGGAGATTTGGACCGCTTTGAGGCCTGTGGTAGTGAAGGAAAGAACTTCATATAAAAACCAGACGGTAGCACTCTCAGAAAATTCTTTGTGACGATGGAGTTTAACTCAGGGAGCTGAACATTCGTTATGATGGAGCAGTTTCCAAACACACGTTTTGTAGAATCTGCGAGGGGATATTTTGACCTCTCTGAGGATTTCATTGGAAACGGGATCAACTTCCCATAACTGAACGGAAGCAAACTCAGAACATTCTTTGTGATGTTTGTATTCAACTCACAGAGTTGAACCTTCCTTTGATAGTTCAGGTTTGCAACACCCTTGTAGTAGAATCTGCAAGTGTATATTTTGACCACTTTGTAGCCTTCGTTTGAAACGTCTATATCTTCACATCAAACCTAGACAGAAGCATTCTCAGAAAGTTTTCTGCGATGACTGCATTCAACTCACAGAGTTGAAAAATCCTTCTGATGGAGCAGTTTTGAAACCCTCTTTCTTTGGAATCTGCAAGGGGATATGTGGACCTCTTTGAAGATTTCACTGGAAACGGGATCATCTTCACATAAAAACTAAACAGAAGCATTCTCGGAAACTACTTTGTGATGTTTGTATTCAACTCCCAGAGTTGAACTTTCCTTTTGAAAGAGCAGCTATGAAACACTCTTTTTCGAGAATCTGCAAGTGGACGTTTGGAGGGCTTTGAGGCCTGTGGTGGAAAAGGAAATATCTTCACATAAAAACTAGATAGAAGCATTCTCAGAAACTACTTTGTGAGGATGGCATTCAACTCATGGAGTTGAACAATCCTATTGATAGAGCAGATTGGAATCACTCTTTTTGTAGAATCTGCAAATGGAGATTTGGACTCCTTTGAGGCCTACGGTCGTATAGGAAGGAACTTCATATAAAAGGTAAACGGAAGCATTCTCAGAATATTCGTTGTGATGATGGAGTTTCACTCACAGAGCTGAACATGCCTTTTGATGGAGCAGTTTCCAAATACACTTTTGGTAGAATCTGCAGGTGGATATTTGGAGCTCTCTGAGGATTTCGTTGGAAACGGGAATAATTTCCCATAACTAAACACAAACACTCTGAGAAAGTTCTTCATGATGAATGCATTTAACTCGCAGAGATGAACCTGCCTTTGAGAGTTCAGGTTCGAAACACTCTTTCTGTAGAATCTGCAAGTGGATATTTGGACCACTGGGTGGCCTTCGTTCGAAACGGGTATATGTTCACGTAAAAACTAAAGAGAAGCATTCTCAGAAACTTCTGAGTGATGATTGCATTCAAGTCACACAGTTGAACCCTCCTTTTGATGGAGCAGTTTTGAAACTGTCTTTTTGTAGAATCTGTAAGTGGATACGTGGACCTCTTTGAAGATTTCTTTGGAAACGGGAATATTTCCACAGAAAAACTAAACTGAAGCATTCTCAGAAACTGCTTTGTGATGTTTGTGTTCGAGCCACAGAGTTTAACATTGCTTTTCATAGAGCAGTTTTGCAATATTCTTTTCACAGAATCTGCAAGTGGACATTTGGAGCGCTTTCAGGCCTGTGGTGGAAAAGGCCTGAAAGCCTTTTCCTTTATCTTCACAGAAAGACGAGAGAGAAGCATTGTCAGAAACTTCTTTGTGATGATTGCATTCAACTCACAGAGTTGAAGATTCCTTTTGAAACAGCAGTTTCGAAACACTCTTTCTGTGGGATCCGCAAGGGGATATTTGGACCTCTTTGAAGGTTTCGTTGGAAACGGGATAATCTTCACCTAAAAGCTAAACGGAAGCATTCTCAGAAACTTCTTTGGGATGTTTGCATTCACCTCACAGAGTTGAACTTTCCCTTTGATAGCGCAGCTTTGACACACTTTTTCTACAATGTGCAAGTGGCTATTTAGCGGGCTTGGAGGACTGTGTTGGAAAAGGAAATATCTTCTCCTAAAAACGACATAGAAGCATTCTCAGAAACTGCTCTGTGATGATTGCATTCAACTCCCAGAGTTGAACATTCCTTTTGATAGAGCAGTTTGCAAACACTCTTTTTGTAGAATCTGCAAGTGGAGATTTGGACCGCTTTGAGGCCTGTGGTAGTAAAGGAAAGAACTTCATATAAAAACCAGACGGTAGCACTCTCAGAAAATTCTTTGTGACGATGGAGTTTAACTCAGAGAGCTGAACATTCGTTATGATGGAGCAGTTTCCAAACACACGTTTTGTAGAATCTGCAAGGGGATATTTCGACCTCTCTGAGGATTTCGTTGGAAACGGGATCAACTTCCCATAACTGAACGGAAGCAAACTCAGAACATTCTTTGTGATGTTTGTATTCAACTCACAGAGTTGAACCTTCCTTTGATAGTTCAGGTTTGCAACACCCTTGTAGTAGAATCTGCAAGTGTATATTTTGACCACTTTGTAGCCTTCGTTTGAAACGTCTATATCTTCACATCAAACCTAGAAAGAAGCATTCTCAGAAAGTTTTCTGCGATGACTGCATTCAACTCACAGAGTTGAACAATCCTTCTGATGGAGCAGTTTTGAAACCCTCTTTCTTTGGAATCTGCAAGGGGATATGTGGACCTCTTTGAAGATTTCACTGGAAACGGGATCATCTTCACATAAAAACTAAACAGAAGCATTCTCGGAAACTACTTTGTGATGTTTGTATTCAACTCCCAGAGTTGAACTTTCCTTTTGAAAGAGCAGCTATGAAACACTCTTTTTCGAGGATCTGCAAGTGGACGTTTGGAGGGCTTTGAGGCCTGTGGTGGAAAAGGAAATATCTTCACATAAAAACTAGATAGAAGCATTCTCAGAAACTACTTTGTGAGGATGGCATTCAACTCATGGAGTTGAACAATCCTATTGATAGAGCAGATTGGAATCACTCTTTTTGTAGAATCTGCAAATGGAGATTTGGACTGCTTTGAGGCCTACGGTAGTACAGGAAGGAACTTCATATAAAAGGCAAACGGAAGCATTCTCAGAATATTCTTTGTGATGATGGAGTTTCACTGACAGAGCTGAACATGCCTTTTGATGGAGCAGTTTCCAAATACACTTTTGGTAGAATCTGCAGGTGGATATTTGGAGCTCTCTGAGGATTTCGTTGGAAACGGGAATAATTTCCCATAACTAAACGCAAACACTCTGAGAAAGTTCTTCATGATGAATGCATTTAACTCGCAGAGATGAACCTGCCTTTGAGAGTTCAGGTTCGAAACACTCTTTCTGTATAATCTGCAAGTGGATATTTGGACCACTGGGTGGCCTTCGTTCGAAACGGGTATATGTTCACGTAAAAACTAAAGAGAAGCATTCTCAGAAACTTCTGAGTGATGATTGCATTCAAGTCACACAGTTGAACCCTCCTTTTGATGGAGCAGTTTTGAAACTGTCTTTTTGTAGAATCTGTAAGTGGATACGTGGACCTCTTTGAAGATTTCTTTGGAAACGGGAATATTTCCACAGAAAAACTAAACTGAAGCATTTTCAGAAACTGCTTTGTGATGTTTGTGTTCGAGCCACAGAGTTTAACATTGCTTTTCATAGAGCAGTTTTGAAATATTCTTTTCGCAGAATCTGCAAGTGGACATTTGGAGCGCTTTCAGGCCTGTGGTGGAAAAGGCCTGAAAACCTTTTCCTTTATCTTCACAGAAAGACGAGAGAGAAGCATTGTCAGAAACTTCTTTGTGATGATTGCATTCAACTCACAGAGTTGAAGATTCCTTTTGAAACAGCAGTTTCGAAACACTCTTTCTGTGGGATCCGCAAGGGGATATTTGGACCTCTTTGAAGGTTTCGTTGGAAACGGGATAATCTTCACCTAAAAGCTAAACGGAAGCATTCTCAGAAACTTCTTTGGGATGTTTGCATTCACCTCACAGAGTTGAACTTTCCCTTTGATAGCGCAGCTTTGACACACTTTTTCTACAATGTGCAAGTGGCTATTTAGCGGGCTAGGAGGACTGTGTTGGAAAAGGAAATATCTTCTCCTAAAAACGACATAGAAGCATTCTCAGAAACTGCTCTGTAATGATTGCATTCAACTCCCAGAGTTGAACATTCCTTTTGATAGAGCAGTTTGCAAACACTCTTTTTGTAGAATCTGCAAGTGGAGATTTGGACCGCTTTGAGGCCTGTGGTAGTGAAGGAAAGAACTTCATATAAAAACCAGACGGTAGCACTCTCACAAAATTCTTTGTGACGATGGAGTTTAACTCAGGGAGCTGAACATTCGTTATGATGGAGCAGTTTCCAAACACACGTTTTGTAGAATCTGCGAGGGGATATTTGGACCTCTCTGAGGATTTCGTTGGAAACGGGATCAACTTCCCATAACTGAACGGAAGCAAACTCAGAACATTCTTTGTGATGTTTGTATTCAACTCACAGAGTTGAACCTTCCTTTGATAGTTCAGGTTTGCAACACCCTTGTAGTAGAATCTGCAAGTGTATATTTTGACCACTTTGTAGCCTTCGTTTGAAACGTCTATATCTTCACATCAAACCTAGACAGAAGCATTCTCAGAAAGTTTTCTGCGATGACTGCATTCAACTCACAGAGTTGAACAATCCTTTTGATGGAGCAGTTTTGAAACCCTCTTTCTTTGGAATCTGCAAGGGGATATGTGGACCTCTTTGAAGATTTCACTGGAAACGGGATCATCTTCACATAAAAACTAAACAGAAGCATTCTCGGAAACTACTTTGTGATGTTTGTATTCAACTCCCAGAGTTGAACTTTCCTTTTGAAAGAGCAGCTATGAAACACTCTTTTTCGAGAATCTGCAAGTGGACGTTTGGAGGGCTTTGAGGCCTGTGGTGGAAAAGGAAATATCTTCACATAAAAACTAGATAGAAGCATTCTCAGAAACGAGTTTGTGAGGATGGCATTCAACTCATGGAGTTGAACAATCCTATTGATAGAGCAGATTGGAATCACTCTTTTTGTAAAATCTGCAAATGGAGATTTGGACTGCTTTGAGGCCTACGGTAGTATAGGAAGGAACTTCATATAAAAGGCAAACGGAAGCATTCTCAGAATATTCTTTGTGATGATGGAGTTTCACTCACAGAGCTGAACATGCCTTTTGATGGAGCAGTTTCCAAATACACTTTTGGTAGAATCTGCAGGTGGATATTTGGAGCTCTCTGAGGATTTCGTTGGAAACGGGAATAATTTCCCATAACTAAACACAAACACTCTGAGAAAGTTCTTCATGATGAATGCATTTAACTCGCAGAGATGAACCTGCCTTTGAGAGTTCAGGTTCGAAACACTCTTTCTGTAGAATCTGCAAGTGGATATTTGGACCACTGGGTGGCCTTCGTTCGAAACGGGTATATGTTCACGTAAAAACTAAAGAGAAGCATTCTCAGAAACTTCTGAGTGATGATTGCATTCAAGTCACACAGTTGAACCCTCCTTTTGATGGAGCAGTTTTGAAACTGTCTTTTTATAGAATCTGTAAGTGGATACGTGGACCTCTTTGAAGATTTCTTTGGAAACGGGAATATTTCCACAGAAAAACTAAACTGAAACATTCTCAGAAACCGCTTTGTGATGTTTGTGTTCCAGCCACAGAGTTTAACATTGCTTTTCATAGAGCAGTTTTGAAATATTCTTTTGGCAGAATCTGCAAGTGGACATTTGGAGCGCTTTCAGGCCTGTGGTGGAAAAGGCCTGAAAGCCTTTTCCTTTATCTTCACAGAAAGACGAGAGAGAAGCATTGTCAGAAACTTCTTTGTGATGATTGCATTCAACTCACAGAGTTGAAGATTCCTTTTGAAACAGCAGTTTCGAAACACTCTTTCTGTGGGATCCGCAAGGGGATATTTAGACCTCTTTGAAGATTTCGTTGCAAACGGGATAATCTTCACCTAAAAGCTAAACGAAAGCATTCTCAGAAACTTCTTTGGGATGTTTGCATTCACCTCACAGAGTTGAAATTTCCCTTTGATAGCGCAGCTTCGACACACTTTTTCTACAATGTGCAAGTGGATATTTAGCGGGCTTGGAGGACTGTGTTGGAAAAGGAAATATCTTCTCCTAAAAACGACATAGAAGCATTCTCAGAAACTGCTCTGTGATGATTGCATTCAACTCCCAGAGTTGAACATTCCTTTTGATAGAGCAGTTTGCAAACACTCTTTTTGTAGAATCTGCAAGTGGAGATTTGGACCGCTTTGAGGCCTGTGGTAGTAAAGGAAAGAACTTCCTATAAAAACTAGACGGTAGCACTCTCAGAAAATTCTTTGTGACGATGGAGTTTAACTCAGAGAGCTGAACATTCGTTATGATGGAGCAGTTTCCAAACACACGTTTTGTAGAATCTGCAAGGGGATATTTGGACCTCTCTGAGGATTTCGTTGGAAACGGGATCAACTTCCCATAACTGAACGGAAGCAAACTCAGAACATTCTTTGTGATGTTTGTATTCAACTCACAGAGTTGAACCTTCCTTTGATAGTTCAGGTTTGCATCACCCTTGTAGTAGAATCTGCAAGTGTATATGTTGACCACTATGTAGCCTTCGTTTGAAACGTCTATATCTTCACATCAAACCTAGACAGAAGCATTCTCAGAAAGTTTTCTGCGATGACTGCATTCAACTCACAGAGTTGAACAATCCTTTTGATGGAGCAGTTTTGAAACCCTCTTTCTTTGGAATCTGCAAGGGGATATGTGGACCTCTTTGAAGATTTCACTGGAAACGGGATCATCTTCACATAAGAACTAAACAGAAGCATTCTCGGAAACTAATTTGTGATGTTTGTATTCAACTCCCAGAGTTGAACTTTCCTTTTGAAAGAGCAGCTATGAAACACTCTTTTTCGAGAATCTGCAAGTGGACGTTTGGAGGGCTTTGAGGCCTGTGGTGGAAAAGGAAATATCTTCACATAAAAACTAGATAGAAGCATTCTCAGAAACGACTTTGTGAGGATGGCATTCAACTCATGGAGTTGAACAGTCCTATTGATAGAGGAGATTGGAATCACTCTTTTTGTAGAATCTGCAAATGGAGATTTGGACTGCTTTGAGGCCTACGGTAGTATAGGAAGGAACTTCATATAAAAGGCAAACGGAAGCATTCTCAGAATATTTTGTGTGATGATGGAGTTTCACTCACAGAGCTGAACGTGCCTTTTGATGGAGCAGTTTCCAAATACACTTTTGGTAGAATCTGCAGGTGGATATTTGGAGCTCTCTGAGGATTTCGTTGGAAACGGGAATAATTTCCCATAACTAAACACAAACACTCTGAGAAAGTTCTTCATGATGAATGCATTTAACTCGCAGAGATGAACCTGCCTTTGAGAGTTCAGGTTCGAAACACTCTTTCTGTAGAATCTGCAAGTGGATATTTGGACCACTGGCTGGCCTTCGTTCGGAACGGGTATATGTTCACGTAAAAACTAAAGAGAAGCATTCTCAGAAACTTCTGAGTGATGATTGCATTCAAGTCACACAGTTGAACCCTCCTTTTGATGGAGCAGTTTTGAAACTGTCTTTTTGTAGAATCTGTAAGTGGATACGTGGACCTCTTTGAAGATTTCTTTGGAAACGGGAATATTTCCACAGAAAAACTAAACTGAAGCATTCTCAGAAACCGCTTTGTGATGTTTGTGTTCGAGCCACAGAGTTTAACATTGCTTTTCATAGAGCAGTTTTGAAATATTCTTTTGGCAGAATCTGCAAGTGGACATTTGGAGCGCTTTCAGGCCTGTGGTGGAAAAGGCCTGAAAGCCTTTTCCTTTATCTTCACAGAAAGACGAGAGAGAAGCATTGTCAGAAACTTCTTTGTGATGATTGCATTCAACTCACAGAGTTGAAGATTCCTTTTGAAACAGCAGTTTCGAAACACTCTTTCTGTGGGATCCGCAAGGGGATATTTGGACCTCTTTGAAGATTTCGTTGCAAACGGGATAATCTTCACCTAAAAGCTAAACGGAAGCATTCTCAGAAACTTCTTTGGGATGTTTGCATTCACCTCACAGAGTTGAACTTTCCCTTTGATAGCGCAGCTTCGACACACTTTTTCTAAAATGTGCAAGTGGATATTTAGCGGGCTTGCAGGACTGTGTTGGAAAAGGAAATATCTTCTCCTAAAAACCACATAGAAGCATTCTCAGAAACTGCTCTGTGATGATTGCATTCAACTCCCAGAGTTGAACATTCCTTTTGATAGAGCAGTTTGCAAATACTCTTTTTGTAGAATCTGCAAGTGGAGATTTGGACCGCTTTGAGGCCTGTGGTAGTAAAGGAAAGAACTTCATATAAAAACTAGATGGTAGCACTCTCAGAAAATTCTTTGTGACGATGGAGTTTAACTCAGAGAGCTGAACATTCGTTATGATGGAGCAGTTTCCAAACACACGTTTTGTAGAATCTGCAAGGGGATATTTGGACCTCTCTGAGGATTTCGTTGGAAACGTGATCAACTTCCCATAACTGAACGGAAGCAAACTCAGAACATTCTTTGTGATGTTTGTATTCAACTCACAGAGTTGAACCTTCCTTTGATAGTTGAGGTTTGCAACACCCTTGTAGTAGAATCTGCAAGTGTATATTTTGACCACTTTGTAGCCTTCGTTTGAAACGTCTATATCTTCACATCAAACCTAGACAGAAGCATTCTCAGAAAGTTTTCTGCGATGACTGCATTCAACTCACAGAGTTGAACAATCCTTTTGATGGAGCAGTTTTGAAACCCTCTTTTTTTGGAATCTGCAAGGGGATATGTGGACCTCTTTGAAGATTTCACTGGAAACGGGATCATCTTCACATAAGAACTAAACAGAAGCATTCTCGGAAACTACTTTGTGATGTTTGTATTCAACTCCCAGAGTTGAACTTTCCTTTTGAAAGAGCAGCTATGAAACACTCTTTTTCGAGAATCTGCAAGTGGACGTTTGGAGGGCTTTGAGGCCTGTGGTGGAAAAGGAAATATCTTCACATAAAAACTACATAGGAGCATTCTCAGAAACGACTTTGTGAGGATGGCATTCAACTCATGGAGTTGAACAGTCCTATTGATAGAGCAGATTGGAATCACTCTTTTTGTAGAATCTGCAAATGGAGATTTGGACTGCTTTGAGGCCTACGGTCGTATAGGAAGGAACTTCATATAAAAGGCAAACGGAAGCATTCTCAGAATATTCTTTGTGATGATGGAGTTTCACTCACAGAGCTGAACATGCCTTTTGATGGAGCAGTTTCCAAATACACTTTTGGTAGAATCTGCAGGTGGATATTTGGAGCTCTCTGAGGATTTCGTTGGAAACGGGAATAATTTCCCATAACTAAACACAAACACGCTGAGAAAGTTCTTCATGATGAATGCATTGAACTCGCAGAGATGAACCTGCCTTTGAGAGTTCAGGTTCGAAACACTCTTTCTGTAGAATCTGCAAGTGGATATTTGGACCACTGGGTGGCCTTCGTTCGAAACGGCTATATGTTCACGTAAAAACTAAACAGAAGCATTCTCAGAAACTTCTGAGTGATGATTACATTCAAGTCACACAGTTGAACCCTCCTTTTGATTGAGCAGTTTTGAAACTGTCTTTTTGTAAAATCTGTAAGTGGATACGTGGACCTCTTTGAATATTTCTTTGGAAACGGGAATATTTCCACAGAAAAACTAAACTGAAGCATTCTCAGAAACTGCTTTGTGATGTTTGTGTTCGAGCCACAGAGTTTAACATTGCTTTTCATAGAGCAGTTTTGAAATATTCTTTTGGCAGAATCTGCAAGTGGACATTTGGAGCGCTTTCAGGCCTGTGGTGGAAAAGGCCTGAAAGCCTTTTCCTTTATCTTCACAGGAAGACGAGAGAGAAGCATTGTCAGAAACTTCTTTTTGATGATTGCATTCAACTCACAGAGTTGAAGATTCCTTTTGAAACAGCAGTTTCGAAACACTCTTTCTGTGGGATCCGCAAGGGGATATTTGGACCTCTTTGAAGGTTTCGTTGGAAACGGGATAATCTTCACCTAAAAGCTAAACGGAAGCATTCTCAGAAACTTCTTTGGGATGTTTGCATTCACCTCACAGAGTTGAACTTTCCCTTTGATAGCGCAGCTTTGACACACTTTTTCTACAATGTGCAAGTGGCTATTTAGCGGGCTTGGAGGACTGTGTTGGAAAAGGAAATATCTTCTCCTAAAAACGACATAGAAGCATTCTCAGAAACTGCTCTGTGATGATTGCATTCAACTCCCAGAGTTGAACGTTCCTTTTGATAGAGCAGTTTGCAAACTCTCTTTTTGTAGAATCTGCAAGTGGAGATTTGGACCGCTTTGAGGCCTGTGGTAGTGAAGGAAAGAACTTCATATAAAAACCAGACGGTAGCACTCTCAGAAAATTCTTTGTGACGATGGAGTTTAACTCAGGGAGCTGAACATTCGTTATGATGGAGCAGTTTCCAAACACACGTTTTGTAGAATCTGCAAGGGGATATTTGGACCTCTCTGAGGATTTCGTTGGAAACGGGATCAACTTCCCATAACTGAACGGAAGCAAACTCAGAACATTCTTTGTGATGTTTGTATTCAACTCACAGAGTTGAACCTTCCTTTGATAGTTCAGGTTTGCAACACCCTTGTAGTAGAATCTGCAAGTGTATATTTTGACCACTTTGTAGCCTTCGTTTGAAACGTCTATATCTTCACATCAAACCTAGACAGAAGCATTCTCAGAAAGTTTTCTGCGATGACTGCATTCAACACACAGAGTTGAACAATCCTTTTGATGGAGCAGTTTTGAAACCCTCTTTCTTTGGAATCTGCAAGGGGATATGTGGACCTCTTTGAAGATTTCACTGGAAACGGGATCATCTTCACATAAAAACTAAACAGAAGCATTCTCGGAAACTACTTTGTGATGTTTGTATTCAACTCCCAGAGTTGAACTTTCCTTTTGAAAGAGCAGCTATGAAACACTCTTTTTCGAGAATCTGCAAGTGGACGTTTGGAGGGCTTTGAGGCCTGTGGTGGAAAAGGAAATATCTTCACATAAAAACCAGATAGAAGCATTCTCAGAAACTACTTTGTGAGGATGGCATTCAACTCATGGAGTTGAACAATCCTATTGATAGAGAAGATTGGAATCACTCTTTTTGTAGAATCTGCAAATGGAGATTTGGACTGCTTTGAGGCCTACGGTAGTACAGGAAGGAAGTTCATATAAAAGGCAAACGGAAGCATTCTCAGAATATTCTTTGTGATGATGGAGTTTCACTCACAGAGCTGAACATGCCTTTTGATGGAGCAGTTTCCAAATACACTTTTGGTAGAATCTGCAGGTGGATATTTGGAGCTCTCTGAGGATTTCGTTGGAAACGGGAATAATTTCCCATAACTAAACACAAACACTCTGAGAAAGTTCTTGATGATGAATGCATTTAACTCGCAGAGATGAACCTGCCTTTGAGAGTTCAGGTTCGAAACACTCTTTCTGTAGAATCTGCAAGTGGATATTTGGACCACAGGGTGGCGTTCGTTCGAAACGGGTATATGTTCACGTAAAAACTAAAGAGAAGCATTCTCAGAAACTTCTGAGTGATGATTGCATTCAAGTCACACAGTTGAACCCTCCTTTTGATGGAGCAGTTTTGAAACTGTCTTTTTGTAGAATCTGTAAGTGGATACGTGGACCTCTTTGAAGATTTCTTTGGAAACGGGAATATTTCCACAGAAAAACTAAACTGAAGCATTCTCAGAAACTGCTTTGTGATGTTTGTGTTCGAGCGACAGAGTTTAACATTGCTTTTCATAGAGCAGTTTTGAAATATTCTTTTGGCAGAATCTGCAAGTGGACATTTGGAGCGCTTTCAGGCCTGTGGTGGAAAAGGCCTGAAAGCCTTTTCCTTTATCTTCACAGAAAGACGAGAGAGAAGCATTGTCAGAAACTTCTTTGTGATGATTGCATTCAACTCACAGAGTTGAAGATTCCTTTTGAAACAGCAGTTTCGAAACACTCTTTCTGTGGGATCCGCAAGGGGATATTTGGACCTCTTTGAAGATTTCGTTGGAAACGGGATAATCTTCACCTAAAACCTAAGCGGAAGCATTCTCAGAAACTTCTTTGGGATGTTTGCATTCACCTCACAGAGTTGAACTTTCCCTTTGATAGCGCAGCTTCGACACACTTTTTCTACAATGTGCAAGTGGATATTTAGCGGGCTTGGAGGACTGTGGTGGAAAGGGAAATATCTTCTCCTAAAAACCACATAGAAGCATTCTCAGAAACTGCTCTGTGATGATTGCATTCAACTCCCAGAGTTGAACATTCCTTTTGATAGAGCAGTTTGCAAACACTCTTTTTGTAGAATCTGCAAGTGGAGATTTGGACCGCTTTGAGGCCTGTGGTAGTGAAGGAAAGAACTTCATATAAAAACCAGACGGTAGCACTCTCAGAAAATTCTTTGTGACGATGGAGTTTAACTCAGGGAGCTGAACATTCGTTATGATGGAGCAGTTTCCAAACACACGTTTTGTAGAATCTGCAAGGGGATATTTGGACCTCTCTGAGGATTTCGTTGGAAACGGGATCAACTTCCCATAACTGAACGGAAGCAAACTCAGAACATTCTTTGTGATGTTTGTATTCAACTCACAGAGTTGAACCTTCCTTTGATAGTTCAGGTTTGCAACACCCTTGTAGTAGAATCTGCAAGTGTATATTTTGACCACTTTGTAGCCTTCGTTTGAAACGTCTATATCTTCACATCAAAACTAGACAGAAGCATTCTCAGAAAGTTTTCTGCGATGACTGCATTCAACTCACAGAGTTGAACAATCCTTCTGATGGAGCAGTTTTGAAACCCTCTTTCTTTGGAATCTGCAAGGGGATATGTGGACCTCTTTGAAGATTTCACTGGAAACGGGATCATCTTCACATAAAAACTAAACAGAAGCATTCTCGGAAACTACTTTGTGATGTTTGTATTCAACTCCCAGAGTTGAACTTTCCTTTTGAAAGAGCAGCTATGAAACACTCTTTTTCGGGAATCTGCAAGTGGACGTTTGGAGGGCTTTGAGGCCTGTGGTGGAAAAGGAAATATCTTCACACAAAAACCAGATAGAAGCATTCTCAGAAACGACTTTGTGAGGATGGCATTCAACTCATGGAGTTGAACAATCCTATTGATAGAGCAGATTGGAATCACTCTTTTTATAGAATCTGCAAATGGAGATTTGGACTGCTTTGAGGCCTACGGTAGTACAGGAAGGAACTTCATATAAAAGGCAAACGGAAGCATTCTCAGAATATTCTTTGTGATGATGGAGTTTCACTCACAGAGCTGAACATGCCTTTTGATGGAGCAGTTTCCAAATACACTTTTGGTAGAATCTGCAGGTGGATATTTGGAGCTCTCTGAGGATTTCGTTGGAAACGGGAATAATTTCCCATAACTAAACACAAACACTCTGAGAAAGTTCTTCATGATGAATGCATTTAACTCGCAGAGATGAACCTGCCTTTGAGAGTTCAGGTTCGAAACACTCTTTCTGTAGAATCTGCAAGTGGATATTTGGACCACTGGCTGGCCTTCGTTCGAAACGGGTATATGTTCACGTAAAAACTAAAGAGAAGCATTCTCAGAAACTTCTGAGTGATGATTGCATTCAAGTCACACAGTTGAACCCTCCTTTTGATGGAGCAGTTTTGAAACTGTCTTTTTGTAGAATCTGTAAGTGGATGCGTGGACCTCTTTGAAGATTTCTTTGGAAACGGGAATATTTCCACAGAAAAACTAAACTGAAGCATTCTCAGAAACTGCTTTGTGATGTTTGTGTTCGAGCCACAGAGTTTAACATTGCTTTTCATAGAGCAGTTATGAAATATTCTTTTCGCAGAATCTGCAAGTGGACATTTGGAGCGCTTTCAGGCCTGTGGTGGCAAAGGCCTGAAAGCCTTTTCCTTTATCTTCACAGAAAGACGAGAGAGAAGCATTGTCAGAAACTTCTTTGTGATGATTGCATTCAACTCACAGAGTTGAAGATTCCTTTTGAAACAGCAGTTTCGAAACACTCTTTCTGTGGGATCCGCAAGGGGATATTTGGACCTCTTTGAAGGTTTCGTTGGAAACGGGATAATCTTCACCTAAAAGCTAAACGGAAGCATTCTCAGAAACTTCTTTGGGATGTTTGCATTCACCTCACAGAGTTGAACTTTCCCTTTGATAGCGCAGCTTTGACACACTTTTTCTACAATGTGCAAGTGGCTATTTAGCGGGCTTGGAGGACTGTGTTGGAAAAGGAAATATCTTCTCCTAAAAACGACATAGAAGCATTCTCAGAAACTGCTCTGTGATGATTGCATTCAACTCCCAGAGTTGAACATTCCTTTTGATAGAGCAGTTTGCAAACACTCTTTTTGTAGAATCTGCAAGTGGAGATTTGGACCGCTTTGAGGCCTGTGGTAGTGAAGGAAAGAACTTCATATAAAAACCAGACGGTAGCACTCTCAGAAAATTCTTTGTGACGATGGAGTTTAACTCAGGGAGCTGAACATTCGTTATGATGGAGCAGTTTCCAAACACACGTTTTGTAGAATCTGCGAGGGGATATTTGGACCTCTCTGAGGATTTCGTTGGAAACGGGATCAACTTCCCATAACTGAACGGAAGCAAACTCAGAACATTCTTTGTGATGTTTGTATTCAACTCACAGAGTTGAACCTTCCTTTGATAGTTCAGGTTTGCAACACCCTTGTAGTAGAATCTGCAAGTGTATATTTTGACCACTTTGTAGCCTTCGTTTGAAACGTCTATATCTTCACATCAAACCTAGACAGAAGCATTCTCAGAAAGTTTTCTGCGATGACTGCATTCAACTCACAGAGTTGAACAATCCTTCTGATGGAGCAGTTTTGAAACCCTCTTTCTTTGGAATCTGCAAGGGGATATGTGGACTTCTTTGAAGATTTCACTGGAAACGGGATCATCTTCACATAAAAACTAAACAGAAGCATTCTCGGAAACTACTTTGTGATGTTTGTATTCAACTCCCAGAGTTGAACTTTCCTTTTGAAAGAGCAGCTATGAAACACTCTTTTTCGAGAATCTGCAAGTGGACGTTTGGAGGGCTTTGAGGCCTGTGGTGGAAAAGGAAATATCTTCACATAAAAACTAGATAGAAGCATTCTCAGAAACTACTTTGTGAGGATGGCATTCAACTCATGGAGTTGAACAATCCTATTGACAGAGCAGATTGGAATCACTCTTTTTGTAGAATCTGCAAATGGAGATTTGGACTGCTTTGAGGCCTACGGTCGTATAGGAAGGAACTTCAGATAAAAGGCAAACGGAAGCATTCTCAGAATATTCTTTGTGATGATGGAGTTTCACTCACAGAGCTGAACATGCCTTTTGATGGAGCAGTTTCCAAATACACTTTTGGTAGAATCTGCAGGTGGATATTTGGAGCTCTTTGAGGATTTCGTTGGAAACGGGAATAATTTCCCATAACTAAACACAAACACGCTGAGAAAGTTCTTCATGATGAATGCATTTAACTCGCAGAGATGAACCTGCCTTTGAGAGTTCAGGTTCGAAACACTCTTTCTGTAGAATCTGCAAGTGGATATTTGGACCACTGGCTGGCTTTCGTTCGAAACGGGTATATGTTCACGTAAAAACTAAAGAGAAGCATTCTCAGAAACTTCTGAGTGATGATTGCATTCAAGTCACACAGTTGAACCCTCCTTTTGATGGAGCAGTTTTGAAACTGTCTTTTTGTAGAATCTGTAAGTGGATACGTGGACCTCTTTGAAGATTTCTTTGGAAACGGGAATATTTCCACAGAAAAACTAAACTGAAGCATTCTCAGAAACCGCTTTGTGATGTTTGTGTTCGAGCCACAGAGTTTAACATTGCTTTTCATAGAGCAGTTTTGAAATATTCTTTTGGCAGAATCTGCAAGTGGACATTTGGAGCGCTTTCAGGCCTGTGGTGGCAAAGGCCTGAAAGCCTTTTCCTTTATCTTCACAGAAAGACGAGAGAGAAGCATTGTCAGAAACTTCTTTGTGATGATTGCATTCAACTCACAGAGTTGAAGATTCCTTTTGAAACAGCAGTTTCGAAACACTCTTTCTGTGGGATCCGCAAGGGGATATTTGGACCTCTTTGAAGGTTTCGTTGGAAACGGGATAATCTTCACCTAAAAGCTAAACGGAAGCATTCTCAGAAACTTCTTTGGGATGTTTGCATTCACCTCACAGAGTTGAACTTTCCCTTTGATAGCGCAGCTTTGACACACTTTTTCTACAATGTGCAAGTGGCTATTTAGCGGGCTTGGAGGACTGTGTTGGAAAAGGAAATATCTTCTCCTAAAAACGACATAGAAGCATTCTCAGAAACTGCTCTGTGATGATTGCATTCAACTCCCAGAGTTGAACATTCCTTTTGATAGAGCAGTTTGCAAACACTCTTTTTGTAGAATCTGGAAGTGGAGATTTGGACCGCTTTGAGGCCTGTGGTAGTGAAGGAAAGAGCTTCATATAAAAACCAGACGGTAGCACTCTCAGAAAATTCTTTGTGACGATGGAGTTTAACTCAGGGAGCTGAACATTCGTTATGATGGAGCAGTTTCCAAACACACGTTTTGTAGAATCTGCAAGGGGATATTTGGACCTCTCTGAGGATTTCGTTGGAAACGGGATCAACTTCCCATAACTGAACGGAAGCAAACTCAGAACATTCTTTGTGATGTTTGTATTCAACTCACAGAGTTGAACCTTCCTTTGATAGTTCAGGTTTGCAACACCCTTGTAGTAGAATCTGCAAGTGTATATTTTGACCACTTTGTAGCCTTCGTTTGAAACATCTATATCTTCACATCAAACCTAGACAGAAGCATTCTCAGAAAGTTTTCTGCGATGACTGCATTCAACTCACAGAGTTGAACAATCCTTCTGATGGAGCAGTTTTGAAACCCTCTTTCTTTGGAATCTGCAAGGGGATATGTGGACCTCTTTGAAGATTTCACTGGAAACGGGATCATCTTCACATAAAAACTAAACAGAAGCATTCTCGGAAACTACTTTGTGATGTTTGTATTCAACTCCCAGAGTTGAACTTTCCTTTTGAAAGAGCAGCTATGAAACACTCTTTTTCGAGAATCTGCAAGTGGACGTTTGGAGGGCTTTGAGGCCTGTGGTGGAAAAGGAAATATCTTCACATAAAAACTAGATAGAAGCATTCTCAGAAACGACTTTGTGAGGATGGCATTCAACTCATGGAGTTGAACAATCCTATTGATAGAGCAGATTGGAATCACTCTTTTTGTAGAATCTGCAAATGGAGATTTGGACTGCTTTGAGGCCTACGGTCGTATAGGAAGGAACTTCATATAAAAGGCAAACGGAAGCATTCTCAGAATATTCTTTGTGATGATGGAGTTTCACTCACAGAGCTGAACGTGCCTTTTGATGGAGCAGTTTCCAAATACACTTTTGGTAGAATCTGCAGGTGGATATTTGGAGCTCTCTGAGGATTTCGTTGGAAACGGGAATAATTTCCCATAACTAAACACAAACACTCTGAGAAAGTTCTTCATGATGAATGCATTTAACTCGCAGAGATGAACCTGCCTTTGAGAGTTCAGGTTCGAAACACTCTTTCTGTAGAATCTGCAAGTGGATATTTGGACCACTGGGTGGCCTTCGTTCGAAACGGGTATATGTTCACGTAAAAACTAAAGAGAAGCATTCTCAGAAACTTCTGAGTGATGATTGCATTCAAGTCACACAGTTGAACCCTCCTTTTGATGGAGCAGTTTTGAAACTGTCTTTTTGTAGAATCTGTAAGTGGATACAGTGGACCTCTTTGAAGATTTCTTTGGAAACGGGAATATTTCCACAGAAAAACTAAACTGAAGCATTCTCAGAAACCGCTTTGTGATGTTTGTGTTCGAGCCACAGAGTTTAACATTGCTTTTCATAGAGCAGTTTTGAAATATTCTTTTCGCAGAATCTGCAAGTGGACATTTGGAGCGCTTTCAGGCCTGTGGTGGAAAAGGCCTGAAAGCCTTTTCCTTTATCTTCACAGAAAGACGAGAGAGAAGCATTGTCAGAAACTTCTTTGTGATGATTGCATTCAACTCACAGAGTTGAAGATTCCTTTTGAAACAGCAGTTTCGAAACACTCTTTCTGTGGGATCCGCAAGGGGATATTTGGACCTCTTTGAAGGTTTCGTTGGAAACGGGATAATCTTCACCTAAAAGCTAAACGGAAGCATTCTCAGAAACTTCTTTGGGATGTTTGCATTCACCTCACAGAGTTGAACTTTCCCTTTGATAGCGCAGCTTTGACACACTGTTTCTACAATGTGCAAGTGGCTATTTAGCGGGCTTGGAGGACTGTGTTGGAAAAGGAAATATCTTCTCCTAAAAACGACATAGAAGCATTCTCAGAAACTGCTCTGTGATGATTGCATTCAACTCCCAGAGTTGAACATTCCTTTTGATAGAGCAGTTTGCAAACACTCTTTTTGTAGAATCTGCAAGTGGAGATTTGGACCGCTTTGAGGTCTGTGGTAGTGAAGGAAAGAATTTCATATAAAAACCAGACGGTAGCACTCTCAGAAAATTCTTTGTGACGATGGAGTTTAACTCAGGGAGCTGAACATTCGTTATGATGGAGCAGTTTCCAAACACACGTTTTGTAGAATCTGCAAGGGGATATTTGGACCTCTCTGAGGATTTCGTTGGAAACGGGATCAACTTCCCATAACTGAACGGAAGCAAACTCAGAACATTCTTTGTGATGTTTGTATTCAACTCACAGAGTTGAACCTTCCTTTGATAGTTCAGGTTGGCAACACCCTTGTAGTAGAATCTGCAAGTGTATATTTTGACCACTTTGTAGCCTTCGTTTGAAACGTCTATATCTTCACATCAAACCTAGACAGAAGCATTCTCAGAAAGTTTTCTGCGATGACTGCATTCAACTCACAGAGTTGAACAATCCTTCTGATGGAGCAGTTTTGAAACCCTCTTTCTTTGGAATCTGCAAGGGGATATGTGGACCTCTTTGAAGATTTCACTGGAAACGGGATCATCTTCACATAAAAACTAAACAGAAGCATTCTCGGAAACTACTTTGTGATGTTTGTATTCAACTCCCAGAGTTGAACTTTCCTTTTGAAAGAGCAGCTATGAAACACTCTTTTTCGAGAATCTGCAAGTGGACGTTTGGAAGGCTTTGAGGCCTGTGGTGGAAAAGGAAATATCTTCACATAAAAACTAGATAGAAGCATTCTCAGAAACGACTTTGTGAGGATGGCATTCAACTCATGGAGTTGAACAATCCTATTGATAGAGCAGATTGGAATCACTCTTTTTGTAGAATCTGCAAATGGAGATTTGGACTGCTTTGAGGCCTACGGTAGTATAGGAAGGAACTTCATATAAAAGGCAAACGGAAGCATTCTCAGAATATTCTTTGTGATGATGGAGTTTCACTCACAGAGCTGAACATGCCTTTTGATGGAGCAGTTTCCAAATACACTTTTGGTAGAATCTGCAGGTGGATATTTGGAGCTCTCTGAGGATTTCGTTGGAAACGGGAATAATTTCCCATAACTAAACACAAACACGCTGAGAAAGTTCTTCATGATGAATGCATTTAACTCGCAGAGATGAACCTGCCTTTGAGAGTTCAGGTTCGAAACACTCTTTCTGTAGAATCTGCAAGTGGATATTTGGACCACTGGCTGGCCTTCGTTCGAAACGGGTATATGTTCACGTAAAAACTAAAGAGAAGCGTTCTCAGAAACTTCTGAGTGATGATTGCATTCAAGTCACACAGTTGAACCCTCCTTTTGATGGAGCAGTTTTGAAACTGTCTTTTTGTAGAATCTGTAAGTGGATGCGTGGACCTCTTTGAAGATTTCTTTGGAAACGGGAATATTTCCACAGAAAAACTAAACTGAAGCATTCTCAGAAACTGCTTTGTGATGTTTGTGTTCGAGCCACAGAGTTTAACATTGCTTTTCATAGAGCAGTTTTGAAATATTCTTTTGGCAGAATCTGCAAGTGGACATTTGGAGTGCTTTCAGGCCTGTGGTGGAAAAGGCCTGAAAGCCTTTTCCTTTATCTTCACAGAAAGACGAGAGAGAAGCATTGTCAGAAACTTCTTTGTGATGATTGCATTCAACTCACAGAGTTGAAGATTCCTTTTGAAACAGCAGTTTCGAAACACTCTTTCTGTGGGATCCGCAAGGGGATATTTGGACCTCTTTGAAGATTTCGTTGGAAACGGGATAATCTTCACCTGAAAGCTAAACGGAAGCATTCTCAGAAAACTTCTTTGGGATGTTTGCATTCACCTCACAGAGTTGAACTTTCCCTTTGATAGCGCAGCTTCGACACACTTTTTCTACAATGTGCAAGTGGATATTTAGCGGGCTTGGAGGACTGTGTTGGAAAAGGAAATATCTTCTCCTAAAAACGACATAGAAGCATTCTCAGAAACTGCTCTGTGATGATTGCATTCAACTCCCAGAGTTGAACATTCCTTTTGATAGAGCAGTTTGCAAACACTCTTTTTGTAGAATCTGCAAGTGGAGATTTGGACCGCTTTGAGGCCTGTGGTAGTAAAGGAAAGAACTTCATATAAAAAGTAGACGGTAGCACTCTCAGAAAATTCTTTGTGACGATGGAGTTTAACTCAGAGAGCTGAACATTCGTTATGATGGAGCAGTTTCCAAACACACGTTTTGTAGAATCTGCAAGGGGATATTTGGACCTCTCTGAGGATTTCGTTGGAAACGGTATCAATTTCCCATAACTAAACGGAAGCAAACTCAGAACATTTTTTGTGATGGTTGCATTCATCTCACAGAGTTGAACCTTCCTTTGATAGTTGAGGTTTGCATCACCCTTGTAGTAGAATCTGCAAGTGTATATTTTGACCACTTTGTAGCCTTCGTTTGAAACGTCTATATCTTCACATCAAACCTAGACAGAAGCATTCTCAGAAAGTTTTCTGCGATGACTGCATTCAACTCACAGAGTTGAACAATCCTTTTGATGGAGCAGTTTTGAAACCCTCTTTCTTTGGAATCTGCAAGGGGATATGTGGGACCTCTTTGAAGATTTCACTGGAAACGGGATCATCTTCACATAAAAACTAAACAGAAGCATTCTCGGAAACTACTTTGTGATGTTTGTATTCAACTCCCAGAGTTGAACTTTCCTTTTGAAAGAGCAGCTATGAAACACTCTTTTTCGAGAATCTGCAAGTGGACGTTTGGAGGGCTTTGAGGCCTGTGGTGGAAAAGGAAATATCTTCACATAAAAACTAGATAGAAGCATTCTCAGAAACGACTTTGTGAGGATGGCATTCAACTCATGGAGTTGAACAATCCTATTGATAGAGCAGATTGGAATCACTCTTTTTGTAGAATCTGCAAATGGAGATTTGGACTGCTTTGAGGCCTAAGGTAGTATAGGAAGGAACTTCATATAAAAGGCAAACGGAAGCATTCTCAGAATATTCTTTGTGATGATGGAGTTTCACTCACAGAGCTGAACATGCCTTTTGATGGAGCAGTTTCCAAATACACTTTTGGTAGAATCTGCAGGTGGATATTTGGAGCTCTCTGAGGATTTCGTTGGAAACGGGAATAATTTCCCATAACTAAACACAAACACTCTGAGAAAGTTCTTCATGATGAATGCATTTAACTCGCAGAGATGAACCTGCCTTTGAGAGTTCAGGTTCGAAACACTCTTTCTGTAGAATCTGCAAGTGGATATTTGGACCACTGGCTGGCCTTCGTTCGAAACGGGTATATGTTCACGTAAAAACTAAAGAGAAGCATTCTCAGAAACTTCTGAGTGATGATTGCATTCAAGTCACACAGTTGAACCCTCCTTTTGATGGAGCAGTTTTGAAACTGTCTTTTTGTAGAATCTGTAAGTGGATACGTGGACCTCTTTGAAGATTTCTTTGGAAACGGGAATATTTCCACAGAAAAACTAAACTGAAGCATTCTCAGAAACCGCTTTGTGATGTTTGTGTTCGAGCCACAGAGTTTAACATTGCTTTTCATAGAGCAGTTTTGAAATATTCTTTTGGCAGAATCTGCAAGTGGACATTTGGAGCGCTTTCAGGCCTGTGGTGGAAAAGGCCTGAAAGCCTTTTCCTTTATCTTCACAGAAAGACGAGAGAGAAGCATTGTCAGAAACTTCTTTGTGATGATTGCATTCAACTCACAGAGTTGAAGATTCCTTTTGAAACAGCAGTTTCGAAACACTCTTTCTGTGGGATCCGCAAGGGGATATTTGGACCTCTTTGAAGGTTTCGTTGGAAACGGGATAATCTTCACCTAAAAGCTAAACGGAAGCATTCTCAGAAACTTCTTTGGGATGTTTGCATTCACCTCACAGAGTTGAACTTTCCCTTTGATAGCGCAGCTTTGACACACTTTTTCTACAATGTGCAAGTGGCTATTTAGCGGGCTTGGAGGACTGTGTTGGAAAAGGAAATATCTTCTCCTAAAAACGACATAGAAGCATTCTCAGAAACTGCTCTGTGATGATTGCATTCAACTCCCAGAGTTGAACATTCCTTTTGATAGAGCAGTTTGCAAACACTCTTTTTGTAGAATCTGCAAGTGGAGATTTGGACCGCTTTGAGGCCTGTGGTAGTGAAGGAAAGAACTTCATATAAAAACCAGACGGTAGCACTCTCAGAAAATTCTTTGTGACGATGGAGTTTAACTCAGGGAGCTGAACATTCGTTATGATGGAGCAGTTTCCAAACACACGTTTTGTAGAATCTGCAAGGGGATATTTGGACCTCTCTGAGGATTTCGTTGGAAACGGGATCAACTTCCCATAACTGAACGGAAGCAAACTCAGAACATTCTTTGTGATGTTTGTATTCAACTCACAGAGTTGAACCTTCCTTTCATAGTTCAGGTTTGCAACACCCTTGTAGTAGAATCTGCAAGTGTATATTTTGACCACTTTGTAGCCTTCGTTTGAAACGTCTATATCTTCACATCAAACCTAGACAGAAGCATTCTCAGAAAGTTTTCTGCGATGACTGCATTCAACTCACAGAGTTGAACAATCCTTCTGATGGAGCAGTTTTGAAACCCTCTTTCTTTGGAATCTGCAAGGGGATATGTGGACCTCTTTGAAGATTTCACTGGAAACGGGATCATCTTCACATAAAAACTAAACAGAAGCATTCTCGGAAACTACTTTGTGATGTTTGTATTCAACTCCCAGAGTTGAACTTTCCTTTTGAAAGAGCAGCTATGAAACACTCTTTTTCGAGAATCTGCAAGTGGACGTTTGGAGGGCTTTGAGGCCTGTGGTGGAAAAGGAAATATCTTCACATAAAAACTAGATAGAAGCATTCTCAGAAACGACTTTGTGAGGATGGCATTCAACTCATGGAGTTGAACAATCCTATTGATAGAGCAGATTGGAATCACTCTTTTTGTAGAATCTGCAAATGGAGATTTGGACTGCTTTGAGGCCTACGGTCGTATAGGAAGGAACTTCATATAAAAGGCAAACGGAAGCATTCTCAGAATATTCTTTGTGATGATGGAGTTTCACTCACAGAGCTGAACATGCCTTTTGATGGAGCAGTTTCCAAATACACTTTTGGTAGAATCTGCAGGTGGATATTTGGAGCTCTCTGAGGATTTCGTTGGAAACGGGAATAATTTCCCATAACTAAACACAAACACTCTGAGAAAGTTCTTCATGATGAATGCATTTAACTCGCAGAGATGAACCTGCCTTTGAGAGTTCAGGTTCGAAACACTCTTTCTGTAGAATCTGCAAGTGGATATTTGGACCACTGGCTGGCCTTCGTTCGAAACGGGTATATGTTCACGTAAAAACTAAAGAGAAGCATTCTCAGAAACTTGTGAGTGATGATTGCATTCAAGTCACACAGTTGAACCCTCCTTTTGATGGAGCAGTTTTGAAACTGTCTTTTTGTAGAATCTGTAAGTGGATACGTGGACCTCTTTGAAGATTTCTTTGGAAACGGGAATATTTCCACAGAAAAACTAAACTGAAGCATTCTCAGAAACTGCTTTGTGATGTTTGTGTTCGAGCCACAGAGTTTAACATTGCTTTTCATAGAGCAGTTTTGAAATATTCTTTTGGCAGAATCTGCAAGTGGACATTTGGAGCGCTTTCAGGCCTGTGGTGGAAAAGGCCTGAAAGCCTTTTCCTTTATCTTCACAGAAAGACGAGAGAGAAGCATTGTCAGAAACTTCTTTGTGATGATTGCATTCAACCCACAGAGTTGAAGATTCCTTTTGAAACAGCATTTTCGAAACACTCTTTCTGTGGGATCCGCAATGGGATATTTGGACCTCTTTGAAGATTTCGTTGGAAACGGGATAATCTTCACCTAAAAGCTAAACGGAAGCATTCTCAGAAACTTCTTTGGGATGTTTGCATTCACCTCACAGAGTTGAACTTTCCCTTTGATAGCGCAGCTTCGACACACTGTTTCTACAATGTGCAAGTGGATATTTAGCGGGCTTGGAGGACTGTGTTGGAAAAGGAAATATCTTCTCCTAAAAACGACATAGAAGCATTCTCAGAAACTGCTCTGTGATGATTGCATTCAACTCCCAGAGTTGAACATTCCTTTTGATAGAGCAGTTTGCAAACACTCTTTTTGTAGAATCTGCAAGTGGAGATTTGGACCGCTTTGAGGCCTGTGGTAGTAAAGGAAAGAACTTCATATAAAAACCAGACGGTAGCACTCTCAGAAAATTCTTTGTGACGATGGAGTTTAACTCAGAGAGCTGAACATTCGTTATGATGGAGCAGTTTCCAAACACACGTTTTGTAGAATCTGCAAGGGGATATTTGGACCTCTCTGAGGATTTCGTTGGAAACGGGATCAACTTCCCATAACTGAACGGAAGCAAACTCAGAACATTCTTTGTGATGTTTGTATTCAACTCACAGAGTTGAACCTTCCTTTGATAGTTCAGGTTTGCAACACCCTTGTAGTAGAATCTGCAAGTGTATATTTTGACCACTTTGTAGCCTTCGTTTGAAACGTCTATATCTTCACATCAAACCTAGAAAGAAGCATTCTCAGAAAGTTTTCTGCGATGACTGCATTCAACTCACAGAGTTGAACAATCCTTTTGATGGAGCAGTTTTGAAACCCTCTTTCTTTGGAATCTGCAAGGGGATATGTGGACCTCTTTGAAGATTTCACTGGAAACGGGATCATCTTCACATAAGAACTAAACAGAAGCATTCTCGGAAACTACTTTGTGATGTTTGTATTCAACTCCCAGAGTTGAACTTTCCTTTTGAAAGAGCAGCTATGAAACACTCTTTTTCGAGAATCTGCAAGTGGACGTTTGGAGGGCTTTGAGGCTGTGGTGGAAAAGGAAATATCTTCACATAAAAACTAGATAGAAGCATTCTCAGAGACTACTTTGTGAGGATGGCATTCAACTCATGGAGTTGAACAATCCTATTGATAGAGCAGATTGGAATCACTCTTTTTGTAGGATCTGCAAATGGAGATTTGGACTGCTTTGAGGCCTACGGTAGTATAGGAAGGAACTTCATATAAAAGGCAAATGGAAGCATTCTCAGAATATTCTTTGTGATGATGGAGTTTCACTCACAGAGCTGAACATGCCTTTTGATGGAGCAGTTTCCAAATACACTTTTGGTAGAATCTGCAGGTGGATATTTGGACCTCTCTGAGGATTTCGTTGGAAACGGGAATAATTTCCCATACCTAAACACAAACACTCTGAGAAAGTTCTTCATGATGAATGCATTGAACTCGCAGAGATGAACATGCCTTTGAGAGTTCAGGTTCGAAACACTCTTTCTGTAGAATCTGCAAGTGGATATTTGGACCACTGGGTGGCCTTCGTTCGAAACGGGTATATGTTCACGTAAAAACTAAAGAGAAGCATTCTCAGAAACTTCTGAGTGATGATTGCATTCAAGTCACACGGTTGAACACTCCTTTTGATTGAGCAGTTTTGAAACTGTCTTTTTGTAGAATCTGTAAGTGGATACGTGGACCTCTTTGAAGATTTCTTTCGAAACGGGAATATTTCCACAGAAAAACTAAACTGAAGCATTCTCAGAAACTGCTTTGTGATGTTTGTGTTCGAGCCACAGAGTTTAACATTGCTTTTCATAGAGCAGTTTTGAAATATTCTTTTGGCAGAATCTGCAAGTGGACATTTGGAGCGCTTTCAGGCCTGTGGTGGAAAAGGCCTGAAAGCCTTTTCCTTTATCTTCACAGAAAGACGAGAGAGAAGCATTGTCAGAAACTTCTTTGTGATGATTGCATTCAACTCACAGAGTTGAAGATTCCTTTTGAAACAGCAGTTTCGAAACACTCTTTCTGTGGGATCCGCAAGGGGATATTTGGACCTCTTTGAAGGTTTCGTTGGAAACGGGATAATCTTCACCTAAAAGCTAAACGGAAGCATTCTCAGAAACTTCTTTGGGATGTTTGCATTCACCTCACAGAGTTGAACTTTCCCTTTGATAGCGCAGCTTTGACACACTTTTTCTACAATGTGCAAGTGGCTATTTAGCGGGCTTGGAGGACTGTGTTGGAAAAGGAAATATCTTCTCCTAAAAACGACATAGAAGCATTCTCAGAAACTGCTCTGTGATGATTGCATTCAACTCCCAGAGTTGAACATTCCTTTTGATAGAGCAGTTTGCAAACACTCTTTTTGTAGAATCTGCAAGTGGAGATTTGGACCGCTTTGAGGCCTGTGGTAGTGAAGGAAAGAACTTCATATAAAAACCAGACGGTAACACTCTCAGAAAATTCTTTGTGACGATGGAGTTTAACTCAGGGAGCTGAACATTCGTTATGATGGAGCAGTTTCCAAACACACGTTTTGTAGAATCTGCAAGGGGATATTTGGACCTCTCTGAGGATTTCGTTGGAAACGGGATCAACTTCCCATAACTGAACGGAAGCAAACTCAGAACATTCTTTGTGATGTTTGTATTCAATTCACAGAGTTGAACCTTCCTTTGATAGTTCAGGTTTGCAACACCCTTGTAGTAGAATCTGCAAGTGTATATTTTGACCACTTTGTAGCCTTCGTTTGAAACGTCTATATCTTCACATCAAACCTAGACAGAAGCATTCTCGGAAACTACTTTGTGATGTTTGTATTCAACTCCCAGAGTTGAACTTTCCTTTTGAAAGAGCAGCTATGAAACACTCTTTTTCGAGAATCTGCAAGTGGACGTTTGGAGGGCTTTGAGGCCTGTGGTGGAAAAGGAAATATCTTCACATAAAAACTAGATAGAAGCATTCTCAGAAACTACTTTGTGAGGATGGCATTCAACTCATGGAGCTGAACAATCCTATTGATAGAGCAGATTGGAATCACTCTTTTTGTAGAATCTGCAAATGGAGATTTGGACTGCTTTGAGGCCTACGGTAGTATAGGAAGGAAGTTCATATAAAAGGCAAACGGAAGCATTCTCAGAATATTCTTTGTGATGATGGAGTTTCACTCACAGAGCTGAACATGCCTTTTGATGGAGCAGTTTCCAAATACACTTTTGGTAGAATCTGCAGGTGGATATTTGGAGCTCTCTGAGGATTTCGTTGGAAACGGGAATAATTTCCCATAACTAAACACAAACACGCTGAGAAAGTTCTTCATGATGAATGCATTGAACTCGCAGAGATGAACCTGCCTTTGAGAGTTCAGGTTCGAAACACTCTTTCTGTAGAATCTGCAAGTGGATATTTGGACCACTGGCTGGCCTTCTTTCGAAACGGGTATATGTTCACGTAAAAACTAAAGAGAAGCGTTCTCAGAAACTTCTGAGTGATGATTGCATTCAAGTCACACAGTTGAACCCTCCTTTTGATTGAGCAGTTTTGAAACTGTCTTTTTGTAGAATCTGTAAGTGGATGCGTGGACCTCTTTGAAGATTTCTTTGGAAACGGGAATATTTCCACAGAAAAACTAAACTGAAGCATTCTCAGAAACGGCTTTGTGATGTTTGTGTTCGAGCCACAGAGTTTAACATTGCTTTTCGTAGAGCAGTTTTGAAATATTCTTTTGGCAGAATCTGCAAGTGGACATTTGGAGCGCTTTCAGGCCTGTGGTGGAAAAGGCCTGAAAGCCTTTTCCTTTATCTTCACAGAAAGACGAGAGAGAAGCATTGTCAGAAACTTCTTTGTGATGATTGCATTCAACTCACAGAGTTGAAGATTCCTTTTGAAACAGCAGTTTCGAAACACTCTTTCTGTGGGATCCGCAGGGGGATATTTGGACCTCTTTGAAGATTTCGTTGGAAACGGGATAATCTTCACCTAAAAGCTAAACGGAAGTATTCTCAGAAACTTCTTTGGGATGTTTGCATTCACCTCACAGAGTTGAACTTTCCCTTTGATAGCGCAGCTTCGACACACTTTTTCTACAATGTGCAAGTGGATATTTAGCGGGCTTGGAGGACTGTGTTGGAAAAGGAAATATCTTCTCCTAAAAACGACATAGAAGCATTCTCAGAAACTGCTCTGTGATGATTGCTTTCAACTCCCAGAGTTGAACATTCCTTTTGATAGAGCAGTTTGCAAACACTCTTTTTGTAGAATCTGCAAGTGGAGATTTGGACCGCTTTGAGGCCTGTGGTAGTAAAGGAAACAACTTCATATAAAAACCAGAGGGTAGCACCCTCAGAAAATTCTTTGTGACGATGGAGTTTAACTCAGAGAGCTGAACATTCGTTATGATGGAGCAGTTTCCAAACACACGTTTTGTAGAATCTGCAAGGGGATATTTGGACCTCTCTGAGGATTTCGTTGGAAACGGGATCAACTTCCCATAACTGAACGGAAGCAAACTCAGAACATTCTTTGTGATGTTTGTATTCAACTCACAGAGTTGAACCTTCCTTTTATAGTTGAGGTTTGCATCACCCTTGTAGTAGAATCTGCAAGTGTATATTTTGACCACTTTGTAGCCTTCGTTTGAAACGTCTATATCTTCACCTCAAACCTAGACAGAAGCATTCTCAGAAAGTTTTCTGTGATGACTGCATTCAACTCACAGAGTTGCACAATCCTTTTGATGGAGCAGTTTTGAAACCCTCTTTCTTTGGAATCTGCAAGGGGATATATGGACCTCTTTGAAGATTTCACTGGAAACGGGATCATCTTCACATAACAACTAAACAGAAGCATTCTCGGAAACTACTTTGTGATGTTTGTATTCAACTCCCAGAGTTGAACTTTCCTTTTGAAAGAGCAGCTATGAAACACTCTTTTTCGAGAATCTGCAAGTGGACGTTTGGAGGGCTTTGAGGCCTGTGGTGGAAAAGGAAATATCTTCACATAAAAACTAGATAGAAGCATTCTCAGAAACTACTTTGTGAGGATGGCATTCAACTCATGGAGTTGAACAATCCTATTGATAGAGCAGATTGGAATCACTCTTTTTGTAGAATCTGCAAATGGAGATTTGGACTGCTTTGAGGCCTACGGTAGTATAGGAAGGAACTTCATATAAAAGGCAAACGGAAGCATTCTCAGAATATTCTTTGTGATGATGGAGTTTCACTCACAGAGCTGAACATGCCTTTTGATGGAGCAGTTTCCAAATACACTTTTGGTAGAATCTGCAGGTGGATATTTGGACCTCTCTGAGGATTTCGTTGGAAACGGGAATAATTTCCCATAACTAAACACAAACACTCTGAGAAAGTTCTTCATGATGAATGCATTGAACTCGCAGAGATGAACCTGCCTTTGAGAGTTCAGGTTCGAAACACTCTTTCTGTAGAATCTGCAAGTGGATATTTGGACCACTGGGTGGCCTTCGTTCGAAACGGGTATATGTTCACGTAAGAACTAAAGAGAAGCGTTCTCAGAAACTTCTGAGTGATGATTGCATTCAAGTCACACGGTTGAACCCTCCTTTTGATTGAGCAGTTTTGAAACTGTCTTTTTGTAGAATCTGTAAGTGGATGCTTGGACCTCTTTGAAGATTTCTTTCGAAACGGGAATATTTCCACAGAAAAACTAAACTGAAACATTCTCAGAAACCGCTTTGTGATGTTTGTGTTCCAGCCACAGAGTTTAACATTGCTTTTCATAGAGCAGTTTTGAAATATTCTTTTCGCAGAATCTGCAAGTGGACATTTGGAGCGCTTTCAGGCCTGTGGTGGAAAAGGCCTGAAAGCCTTTTCCTTTATCTTCACAGAAAGACGAGAGAGAAGCATTGTCAGAAACTTCTTTGTGATGATTGCATTCAACTCACAGAGTTGAAGATTCCTTTTGAAACAGCAGTTTCGAAACACTCTTTCTGTGGGATCCGCAAGGGGATATTTGGACCTCTTTGAAGGTTTCGTTGGAAACGGGATAATCTTCACCTAAAAGCTAAACGGAAGCATTCTCAGAAACTTCTTTGGGATGTTTGCATTCACCTCACAGAGTTGAACTTTCCCTTTGATAGCGCAGCTTTGACACACTTTTTCTACAATGTGCAAGTGGCTATTTAGCGGGCTTGGAGGACTGTGTTGGAAAAGGAAATATCTTCTCCTAAAAACGACATAGAAGCATTCTCAGAAACTGCTCTGTGATGATTGCATTCAACTCCCAGAGTTGAACATTCCTTTTGATAGAGCAGTTTGCAAACTCTCTTTTTGTAGAATCTGCAAGTGGAGATTTGGACTGCTTTGAGGCCTGTGGTAGTGAAGGAAAGAACTTCATATAAAAACCAGACGGTAGCACTCTCAGAAAATTCTTTGTGACGATGGAGTTTAACTCAGGGAGCTGAACATTCGTTATGATGGAGCAGTTTCCAAACACACGTTTTGTAGAATCTGCAAGGGGATATTTGGACCTCTCTGAGGATTTCGTTGGAAACGGGATCAACTTCCCATAACTGAACGGAAGCAAACTCAGAACATTCTTTGTGATGTTTGTATTCAACTCACAGAGTTGAACCTTCCTTTGATAGTTCAGGTTTGCAACACCCTTGTAGTAGAATCTGCAAGTGTATATTTTGACCACTTTGTAGCCTTCGTTTGAAACGTCTATATCTTCACATCAAACCTAGACAGAAGCATTCTCAGAAAGTTTTCTGCGATGACTGCATTCAACTCACAGAGTTGAACAATCCTTCTGATGGAGCAGTTTTGAAACCCTCTTTCTTTGGAATCTGCAAGGGGATATGTGGACCTCTTTGAAGATTTCACTGGAAACGGGATCATCTTCACATAAAAACTAAACAGAAGCATTCTCGGAAACTACTTTGTGATGTTTGTATTCAACTCCCAGAGTTGAACTTTCCTTTTGAAAGAGCAGCTATGAAACACTCCTTTTCGAGAATCTGCAAGTGGACGTTTGGAGGGCTTTGAGGCCTGTGGTGGAAAAGGAAATATCTTCACATAAAAACTAGATAGAAGCATTCTCAGAAACGACTTTGTGAGGATGGCATTCAACTCATGGAGTTGAACAATCCTATTGATAGAGCAGATTGGAATCACTCTTTTTGTAGAATCTGCAAATGGAGATTTGGACTGCTTTGAGGCCTACGGTCGTATAGGAAGGAACTTCATATAAAAGGCAAACGGAAGCATTCTCAGAATATTCTTTGTGATGATGGAGTTTCACTCACAGAGCTGAACATGCCTTTTGATGGAGCAGTTTCCAAATACACTTTTGGTAGAATCTGCAGGTGGATATTTGGAGCTCTCTGAGGATTTCGTTGGAAACGGGAATAATTTCCCATAACTAAACACAAACACTCTGAGAAAGTTCTTCATGATGAATGCATTTAACTCGCAGAGATGAACCTTCCTTTGAGAGTTCAGGTTCGAAACACTCTTTCTGTAGAATCTGCAAGCGGATATTTGGACCACTGGGTGGCCTTCGTTCGAAACGGGTATATGTTCACGTAAAAACTAAAGAGAAGCATTCTCAGAAACTTCTGAGTGATGATTGCATTCAAGTCACACAGTTGAACCCTCCTTTTGATGGAGCAGTTTTGAAACTGTCTTTTTGTAGAATCTGTAAGTGGATACGTGGACCTCTTTGAAGATTTCTTTGGAAACGGGAATATTTCCACAGAAAAACTAAACTGAAACATTCTCAGAAACCGCTTTGTGATGTTTGTGTTCCAGCCACAGAGTTTAACATTGCTTTTCATAGAGCAGTTTTGAAATATTCTTTTGGCAGAATCTGCAAGTGGACATTTGGAGCGCTTTCAGGCCTGTGGTGGAAAAGGCCTGAAAGCCTTTTCCTTTATCTTCACAGAAAGACGAGAGAGAAGCATTGTCAGAAACTTCTTTGTGATGATTGCATTCAACTCACAGAGTTGAAGATTCCTTTTGAAACAGCAGTTTCGAAACACTCTTTCTGTGGGATCCGCAAGGGGATATTTGGACCTCTTTGAAGGTTTCGTTGGAAACGGGATAATCTTCACCTAAAAGCTAAACGGAAGCATTCTCAGAAACTTCTTTAGGATGTTTGCATTCACCTCACAGAGTTGAACTTTCCCTTTGATAGCGCAGCTTTGACACACTTTTTCTACAATGTGCAAGTGGCTATTTAGCGGGCTTGGAGGACTGTGTTGGAAAAGGAAATATCTTCTCCTAAAAACGACATAGAAGCATTCTCAGAAACTGCTCTGTGATGATTGCATTCAACTCCCAGAGTTGAACATTCCTTTTGATAGAGCAGTTTGCAAACACTCTTTTTGTAGAATCTGCAAGTGGAGATTTGGACCGCTTTGAGGCCAGTGGTAGTGAAGGAAAGAACTTCATATAAAAACCATACGGTAGCACTCTCAGAAAATTCTTTGTGACGATGGAGTTTAACTCAGGGAGCTGAACATTCGTTATGATGGAGCAGTTTCCAAACACACGTTTTGTAGAATCTGCAAGGGGATATTTGGACCTCTCTGAGGATTTCGTTGGAAACGGGATCAACTTCCCATAACTGAACGGAAGCAAACTCAGAACATTCTTTGTGATGTTTGTATTCAACTCACAGAGTTGAACCTTCCTTTGATAGTTCAGGTTTGCAACACCCTTGTAGTAGAATCTGCAAGTGTATATTTTGACCACTTTGTAGCCTTCATTTGAAACGTCTATATCTTCACATCAAACCTAGACAGAAGCATTCTCAGAAAGTTTTCTGCGATGACTGCATTCAACTCACAGAGTTGAACAATCCTTCTGATGGAGCAGTTTTGAAACCCTCTTTCTTTGGAATCTGCAAGGGGATATGTGGACCTCTTTGAAGATTTCACTGGAAACGGGATCATCTTCACATAAAAACTAAACAGAAGCATTCTCGGAAACTATTTTGTGATGTTTGTATTCAACTCCCAGAGTTGAACTTTCCTTTTGAAAGAGTAGCTATGAAACACTCTTTTTCGAGAATCTGCAAGTGGACGTTTGGAGGGCTTTGAGGCCTGTGGTGGAAAAGGAAATATCTTCACACAAAAACCAGATAGAAGCATTCTCAGAAACGACTTTGTGAGGATGGCATTCAACTCATGGAGTTGAACAATCCTATTGATAGAGCAGATTGGAATCACTCTTTTTGTAGAATCTGCAAATGGAGATTTGGACTGCTTTGAGGCCTACGGTAGTACAGGAAGGAACTTCATATAAAAGGCAAACGGAAGCATTCTCAGAATATTCTTTGTGATGATGGAGTTTCACTGACAGAGCTGAACATGCCTTTTGATGGAGCAGTTTCCAAATACACTTTTGGTAGAATCTGCAGGTGGATATTTGGAGCTCTCTGAGGATTTCGTTGGAAACGGGAATAATTTCCCATAACTAAACACAAACACTCTGAGAAAGTTCTTCATGATGAATGCATTTAACTCGCAGAGATGAACCTGCCTTTGAGAGTTCAGGTTCGAAACACTCTTTCTGTATAATCTGCAAGTGGATATTTGGACCACTGGGTGGCCTTCGTTCGAAACGGGTATATGTTCACGTAAAAACTAAAGAGAAGCATTCTCAGAAACTTCTGAGTGATGATTGCATTCAAGTCACACAGTTGAACCCTCCTTTTGATGGAGCAGTTTTGAAACTGTCTTTTTGTAGAATCTGTAAGTGGATACGTGGACCTCTTTGAAGATTTCTTTGGAAACGGGAATATTTCCACAGAAAAACTAAACTGAAACATTCTCAGAAACCGCTTTGTGATGTTTGTGTTCCAGCCACAGAGTTTAACATTGCTTTTCATAGAGCAGTTTTGAAATATTCTTTTCGCAGAATCTGCAAGTGGACATTTGGAGCGCTTTCAGGCCTGTGGTGGCAAAGGCCTGAAAGCCTTTTCCTTTATCTTCACAGAAAGACGAGAGAGAAGCATTGTCAGAAACTTCTTTGTGATGATTGCATTCAACTCACAGAGTTGAAGATTCCTTTTGAAACAGCAGTTTCGAAACACTCTTTCTGTGGGATCCGCAAGGGGATATTTGGACCTCTTTGAAGGTTTCGTTGGAAACGGGATAATCTTCACCTAAAAGCTAAACGGAAGCATTCTCAGAAACTTCTTTGGGATGTTTGCATTCACCTCACAGAGTTGAACTTTCCCTTTGATAGCGCAGCTTTGACACACTTTTTCTACAATGTGCAAGTGGCTATTTAGCGGGCTTGGAGGACTGTGTTGGAAAAGGAAATATCTTCTCCTAAAAACGACATAGAAGCATTCTCAGAAACTGCTCTGTGATGATTGCATTCAACTCCCAGAGTTGAACATTCCTTTTGATAGAGCAGTTTGCAAACACTCTTTTTGTAGAATCTGCAAGTGGAGATTTGGACCGCTTTGAGGCCTGTGGTAGTGAAGGAAAGAACTTCATATAAAAACCAGACGGTAGCACTCTCAGAAAATTCTTTGTGACGATGGAGTTTAACTCAGGGAGCTGAACATTCGTTATGATGGAGCAGTTTCCAAACACACGTTTTGTAGAATCTGCGAGGGGATATTTGGACCTCTCTGAGGATTTCGTTGGAAACGGGATCAACTTCCCATAACTGAACGGAAGCAAACTCAGAACATTCTTTGTGATGTTTGTATTCAACTCACAGAGTTGAACCTTCCTTTGATAGTTCAGGTTTGCAACACCCTTGTAGTAGAATCTGCAAGTGTATATTTTGACCACTTTGTAGCCTTCGTTTGAAACGTCTATATCTTCACATCAAACCTAGACAGAAGCATTCTCAGAAAGTTTTCTGCGATGACTGCATTCAACTCACAGAGTTGAACAATCCTTCTGATGGAGCAGTTTTGAAACCCTCTTTCTTTGGAATCTGCAAGGGGATATGTGGACCTCTTTGAAGATTTCACTGGAAACGGGATCATCTTCACATAAAAACTAAACAGAAGCATTCTCGGAAACTACTTTGTGATGTTTGTATTCAACTCCCAGAGTTGAACTTTCCTTTTGAAAGAGCAGCTATGAAACACTCTTTTTCGAGAATCTGCAAGTGGACGTTTGGAGGGCTTTGAGGCCTGTGGTGGAAAAGGAAATATCTTCACATAAAAACTAGATAGAAGCATTCTCAGAAACTACTTTGTGAGGATGGCATTCAACTCATGGAGTTGAACAATCCTATTGATAGAGCAGATTGGAATCACTCTTTTTGTAGAATCTGCAAATGGAGATTTGGACTGCTTTGAGGCCTACGGTAGTACAGGAAGGAACTTCATATAAAAGGCAAACGGAAGCATTCTCAGAATATTCTTTGTGATGATGGAGTTTCACTCACAGAGCTGAACATGCCTTTTGATGGAGCAGTTTCCAAATACACTTTTGGTAGAATCTGCAGGTGGATATTTGGAGCTCTCTGAGGATTTCGTTGGAAAAGGGAATAATTTCCCATAACTAAACACAAACACTCTGAGAAAGTTCTTCATGATGAATGCATTTAACTCGCAGAGATGAACCTGCCTTTGAGAGTTCAGGTTCGAAACACTCTTTCTGTATAATCTGCAAGTGGATATTTGGACCACTGGGTGGCCTTCGTTCGAAACGGGTATATGTTCACGTAAAAACTAAAGAGAAGCATTCTCAGAAACTTCTGAGTGATGATTGCATTCAAGTCACACAGTTGAACCCTCCTTTTGATGGAGCAGTTTTGAAACTGTCTTTTTGTAGAATCTGTAAGTGGATACGTGGACCTCTTTGAAGATTTCTTTGGAAACGGGAATATTTCCACAGAAAAACTAAACTGAAACATTCTCAGAAACCGCTTTGTGATGTTTGTGTTCCAGCCACAGAGTTTAACATTGCTTTTCATAGAGCAGTTTTGAAATATTCTTTTGGCAGAATCTGCAAGTGGACATTTGGAGCGCTTTCAGGCCTGTGGTGGAAAAGGCCTGAAAGCCTTTTCCTTTATCTTCACAGAAAGACGAGAGAGAAGCATTGTCAGAAACTTCTTTGTGATGATTGCATTCAACTCACAGAGTTGAAGATTCCTTTTGAAACAGCAGTTTCGAAACACTCTTTCTGTGGGATCCGCAAGGGGATATTTGGACCTCTTTGAAGGTTTCGTTGGAAACGGGATAATCTTCACCTAAAAGCTAAACGGAAGCATTCTCAGAAACTTCTTTGGGATGTTTGCATTCACCTCACAGAGTTGAACTTTCCCTTTGATAGCGCAGCTTTGACACACTTTTTCTACAATGTGCAAGAGGCTATTTAGCGGGCTTGGAGGACTGTGTTGGAAAAGGAAATATCTTCTCCTAAAAACGACATAGAAGCATTCTCAGAAACTGCTCTGTGATGATTGCATTCAACTCCCAGAGTTGAACATTCCTTTTGATAGAGCAGTTTGCAAACACTCTTTTTGTAGAATCTGCAAGTGGAGATTTGGACCGCTTTGAGGCCTGTGGTAGTGAAGGAAAGAACTTCATATAAAAACCAGACGGTAGCACTCTCAGAAAATTCTTTGTGACGATGGAGTTTAACTCAGGGAGCTGAACATTCGTTATGATGGAGCAGTTTCCAAACACACGTTTTGTAGAATCTGCGAGGGGATATTTGGACCTCTCTGAGGATTTCGTTGGAAACGGGATCAACTTCCCATAACTGAACGGAAGCAAACTCAGAACATTCTTTGTGATGTTTGTATTCAACTCACAGAGTTGAACCTTCCTTTGATAGTTCAGGTTTGCAACACCCTTGTAGTAGAATCTGCAAGTGTATATTTTGACCACTTTGTAGCCTTCGTTTGAAACGTCTATATCTTCACATCAAACCTAGACAGAAGCATTCTCAGAAAGTTTTCTGCGATGACTGCATTCAACTCACAGAGTTGAACAATCCTTCTGATGGAGCAGTTTTGAAACCCTCTTTCTTTGGAATCTGCAAGAGGATATGTGGACCTCTTTGAAGATTTCACTGGAAACGGGATCATCTTCACATAAAAACTAAACAGAAGCATTCTCGGAAACTACTTTGTGATGTTTGTATTCAACTCCCAGAGTTGAACTTTCCTTTTGAAAGAGCAGCTATGAAACACTCTTTTTCGAGAATCTGCAAGTGGACGTTTGGAGGGCTTTGAGGCCTGTGGTGGAAAAGGAAATATCTTCACATAAAAACTAGATAGAAGCATTCTCAGAAACGACTTTGTGAGGATGGCATTCAACTCATGGAGTTGAACAATCCTATTGATAGAGCAGATTGGAATCACTCTTTTTGTAGAATCTGCAAATGGAGATTTGGACTGCTTTGAGGCCTAAGGTAGTATAGGAAGGAACTTCATATAAAAGGCAAACGGAAGCATTCTCAGAATATTCTTTGTGATGATGGAGTTTCACTCACAGAGCTGAACATGCCTTTTGATGGAGCAGTTTCCAAATACACTTTTGGTAGAATCTGCAGGTGGATATTTGGAGCTCTCTGAGGATTTCGTTGGAAACGGGAATAATTTCCCATAACTAAACACAAACACTCTGAGAAAGTTCTTCATGATGAATGCATTTAACTCGCAGAGATGAACCTGCCTTTGAGAGTTCAGGTTCGAAACACTCTTTCTGTAGAATCTGCAAGTGGATATTTGGACCACTGGCTGGCCTTCGTTCGAAACGGGTATATGTTCACGTAAAAACTAAAGAGAAGCATTCTCAGAAACTTGTGAGTGATGATTGCATTCAAGTCACACAGTTGAACCCTCCTTTTGATGGAGCAGTTTTGAAACTGTCTTTTTGTAGAATCTGTAAGTGGATACGTGGACCTCTTTGAAGATTTCTTTGGAAACGGGAATATTTCCACAGAAAAACTAAACTGAAGCATTCTCAGAAACCGCTTTGTGATGTTTGTGTTCGAGCCACAGAGTTTAACATTGCTTTTCATAGAGCAGTTTTGAAATATTCTTTTGGCAGAATCTGCAAGTGGACATTTGGAGCGCTTTCAGGCCTGTGGTGGAAAAGGCCTGAAAGCCTTTTCCTTTATCTTCACAGAAAGACGAGAGAGAAGCATTGTCAGAAACTTCTTTGTGATGATTGCATTCAACCCACAGAGTTGAAGATTCCTTTTGAAACAGCAGTTTCGAAACACTCTTTCTGTGGGATCCGCAAGGGGATATTTGGACCTCTTTGAAGATTTCGTTGGAAACGGGATAATCTTCACCTAAAAGCTAAACGGACGCATTCTCAGAAACTTCTTTGGGATGTTTGCATTCACCTCACAGAGTTGAACTTTCCCTTTGATAGCGCAGCTTCGACACACTTTTTCTACAATGTGCAAGTGGATATTTAGCGGGCTTGGAGGACTGTGTTGGAAAAGGAAATATCTTCTCCTAAAAACGACATAGAAGCATTCTCAGAAACTGCTCTGTGATGATTGCATTCAACTCCCAGAGTTGAACATTCCTTTTGATAGAGCAGTTTGCAAACACTCTTTTTGTAGAATCTGCAAGTGGAGATTTGGACCGCTTTGAGGCCTGTGGTAGTAAAGGAAAGAACTTCATATAAAAACCAGACGGTAGCACTCTCAGAAAATTCTTTGTGACGATGGAGTTTAACTCAGAGAGCTGAACATTCGTTATGATGGAGCAGTTTCCAAACACACGTTTTGTAGAATCTGCAAGGGGATATTTGGACCTCTCTGAGGATTTCGTTGGAAACGGGATCAACTTCCCATAACTGAACGGAAGCAAACTCAGAACATTCTTTGTGATGTTTGCATTCATCTCACAGAGTTGAACCTTCCTTTGATAGTTGAGGTTTGCAACACCCTTGTAGTAGAATCTGCAAGTGTATATTTTGACCACATTGTAGCCTTCGTTTGAAACGTCTATATCTTCACATCAAACCTAGACAGAAGCATTCTCAGAAAGTTTTCTGCGATGACTGCATTCAACTCACAGAGTTGAACAATCCTTTTGATGGAGCAGTTTTGAAACCCTCTTTCTTTGGAATCTGCAAGGGGATATGTGGACCTCTTTGAAGATTTCACTGGAAACGGGATCATCTTCACATAAGAACTAAACAGAAGCATTCTCGGAAACTACTTTGTGAAGTTTGTATTCAACTCCCAGAGTTGAACTTTCCTTGTGAAAGAGCAGCTATGAAACACTCTTTTTCAAGAATCTGCAATAGGACGTTTGGAGGGCTTTGAGGCCTGTGGTGGAAAAGGAAATATCTTCACATAAAAACTAGATAGAAGCATTCTCAGAAACGACTTTGTGAGGATGGCATTCAACTCATGGAGTTGAACAATCCTATTGATAGAGCAGATTGGAATCACTCTTTTTGTAGAATCTGCAAATGGAGATTTGGACTGCTTTGAGGCCTACGGTAGTATAGGAAGGAACTTCATATAAAAGGCAAACGGAAGCATTCTCAGAATATTCTTTGTGATGATGGAGTTTCACTCACAGAGCTGAACATGCCTTTTGATGGAGCAGTTTCCAAATACACTTTTGGTAGAATCTGCAGGTGGATATTTGGAGCTCTCTGAGGATTTCGTTGGAAACGGGAATAATTTCCCATAACTAAACACAAACACTCTGAGAAAGTTCTTCATGATGAATGCATTTAACTAACAGAGATGAACCTGCCTTTGAGAGTTCAGGTTCGAAACACTCTTTCTGTAGAATCTGCAAGTGGATATTTGGACCACTGGGTGGCCTTCGTTCGAAACGGGTATATGTTCACGTAAAAACTAAAGAGAAGCATTCTCAGAAACTTCTGAGTGATGATTGCATTCAAGTCACACAGTTGAACCCTCCTTTTGATGGAGCAGTTTTGAAACTGTCTTTTTGTAGAATCTGTAAGTGCATACGTGGACCTCTTTGAAGATTTCTTTGGAAACGGGAATATTTCCACAGAAAAACTAAACTGAAGCATTCTCAGAAACTGCTTTGTGATGTTTGTGTTCGAGCCACAGAGTTTAACATTGCTTTTCATAGAGCAGTTTTGAAATATTCTTTTGGCAGAATCTGCAAGTGGACATTTGGAGCGCTTTCAGGCCTGTGGTGGAAAAGGCCTGAAAGCCTTTTCCTTTATCTTCACAGAAAGACGAGAGAGAAGCATTGTCAGAAACTTCTTTGTGATGATTGCATTCAACTCACAGAGTTGAAGATTCCTTTTGAAACAGCAGTTTCGAAACACTCTTTCTGTGGGATCCGCAAGGGGATATTTGGACCTCTTTGAAGGTTTCGTTGGAAACGGGATAATCTTCACCTAAAAGCTAAACGGAAGCATTCTCAGAAACTTCTTTGGGATGTTTGCATTCACCTCACAGAGTTCAACTTTCCCTTTGATAGCGCAGCTTTGACACACTTTTTCTACAATGTGCAAGTGGCTATTTAGCGGGCTTGGAGGACTGTGTTGGAAAAGGAAATATCTTCTCCTAAAAACGACATAGAAGCATTCTCAGAAACTGCTCTGTGATGATTGCATTCAACTCCCAGAGTTGAACATTCCTTTTGATAGAGCAGTTTGCAAACACTCTTTTTGTAGAATCTGCAAGTGGAGATTTGGACCGCTTTGAGGCCTGTGGTAGTGAAGGAAAGAACTTCATATAAAAACCAGACGGTAGCACTCTCAGAAAATTCTTTGTGACGATGGAGTTTAACTCAGGGAGCTGAACATTCGTTATGATGGAGCAGTTTCCAAACACACGTTTTGTAGAATCTGCAAGGGGATATTTGGACCTCTCTGAGGATTTCGTTGGAAACGGGATCAACTTCCCATAACTGAACGGAAGCAAACTCAGAACATTCTTTGTGATGTTTGTATTCAACTCACAGAGTTGAACCTTCCTTTGATAGTTCAGGTTTGCAACACCCTTGTAGTAGAATCTGCAAGTGTATATTTTGACCACTTTGTAGCCTTCATTTGAAACGTCTATATCTTCACATCAAACCTAGACAGAAGCATTCTCAGAAAGTTTTCTGCGATGACTGCATTCAACTCACAGAGTTGAACAATCCTCTGATGGAGCAGTTTTGAAACCCTCTTTCTTTGGAATCTGCAAGGGGATATGTGGACCTCTTTGAAGATTTCACTGGAAACGGGATCATCTTCACATAAAAACTAAACAGAAGCATTCTCGGAAACTACTTTGTGATGTTTGTATTCAACTCCCAGAGTTGAACTTTCCTTTTGAAAGAGCAGCTATGAAACACTCTTTTTCGAAAATCTGCAAGTGGACGTTTGGAGGGCTTTGAGGCCTGTGGTGGAAAAGGAAATATCTTCACACAAAAACCAGATAGAAGCATTCTCAGAAACTACTTTGTGAGGATGGCATTCAACTCATGGAGTTGAACAATCCTATTGATAGAGCAGATTGGAATCACTCTTTTTATAGAATCTGCAAATGGAGATTTGGACTGCTTTGAGGCCTACGGTAGTACAGGAAGGAACTTCATATAAAAGGCAAACGGAAGCATTCTCAGAATATTCTTTGTGATGATGGAGTTTCACTCACAGAGCTGAACATGCTTTTTGATGGAGCAGTTTCCAAATACACTTTTGGTAGAATCTGCAGGTGGATATTTGGAGCTCTCTGAGGATTTCGTTGGAAACGGGAATAATTTCCCATAACTAAACACAAACACTCTGAGAAAGTTCTTCATGATGAATGCATTTAACTCGCAGAGATGAACCTGCCTTTGAGAGTTCAGGTTCGAAACACTCTTTCTGTAGAATCTGCAAGTGGATATTTGGACCACTGGGTGGCCTTCGTTCGAAACGGGTATATGTTCACGTAAAAACTAAAGAGAAGCATTCTCAGAAACTTCTGAGTGATGATTGCATTCAAGTCACACAGTTGAACCCTCCTTTTGATGGAGCAGTTTTGAAACTGTCTTTTTGTAGAATCTGTAAGTGGATGCGTGGACCTCTTTGAAGATTTCTTTGGAAACGGGAATATTTCCACAGAAAAACTAAACTGAAGCATTCTCAGAAACCGCTTTGTGATGTTTGTGTTCGAGCCGCAGAGTTTAACATTGCTTTTCATAGAGCAGTTTTGAAATATTCTTTTCGCAGAATCTGCAAGTGGACATTTGGAGCGCTTTCAGGCCTGTGGTGGAAAAGGCCTGAAAGCCTTTTCCTTTATCTTCACAGAAAGACGAGAGAGAAGCATTGTCAGAAACTTCTTTGTGATGATTGCATTCAACTCACAGAGTTGAAGATTCCTTTTGAAACAGCAGTTTCGAAACACTCTTTCTGTGGGATCCGCAAGGGGATATTTGGACCTCTTTGAAGGTTTCGTTGGAAACGGGATAATCTTCACCTAAAAGCTAAACGGAAGCATTCTCAGAAACTTCTTTGGGATGTTTGCATTCACCTCACAGAGTTGAACTTTCCCTTTGATAGCGCAGCTTTGACACACTTTTTCTACAATGTGCAAGTGGCTATTTAACGGGCTTGGAGGACTGTGTTGGAAAAGGAAATATCTTCTCCTAAAAACGACATAGAAGCATTCTCAGAAACTGCTCTGTGATGATTGCATTCAACTCCCAGAGTTGAACATTCCTTTTGATAGAGCAGTTTGCAAACACTCTTTTTGTAGAATCTGCAAGTGGAGATTTGGACCGCTTTGAGGTCTGTGGTAGTGAAGGAAAGAACTTCATATAAAAACCAGACGGTAGCACTCTCAGAAAATTCTTTGTGACGATGGAGTTTAACTCAGGGAGCTGAACATTCGTTATGATGGAGCAGTTTCCAAACACACGTTTTGTAGAATCTGCAAGGGGATATTTGGACCTCTCTGAGGATTTCGTTGGAAACGGGATCAACTTCCCATAACTGAACGGAAGCAAACTCAGAACATTCTTTGTGATGTTTGTATTCAACTCACAGAGTTGAACCTTCCTTTGATAGTTCAGGTTTGCAACACCCTTGTAGTAGAATCTGCAAGTGTATATTTTGACCACTTTGTAGCCTTCGTTTGAAACGTCTATATCTTCACATCAAACCTAGACAGAAGCATTCTCAGAAAGTTTTCTGCGATGACTGCATTCAACTCACAGAGTTGAACAATCCTTCTGATGGAGCAGTTTTGAAACCCTCTTTCTTTGGAATCTGCAAGGGGATATGTGGACCTCTTTGAAGATTTCACTGGAAACGGGATCATCTTCACATAAAAACTAAACAGAAGCATTCTCGGAAACTACTTTGTGATGTTTGTATTCAACTCCCAGAGTTGAACTTTCCTTTTGAAAGAGCAGCTATGAAACACTCTTTTTCGAGAATCTGCAAGTGGACGTTTGGAGGGCTTTGAGGCCTGTGGTGGAAAAGGAAATATCTTCACATAAAAACTAGATAGAAGCATTCTCAGAAACGACTTTGTGAGGATGGCATTCAACTCATGGAGTTGAACAATCCTATTGATAGAGCAGATTGGAATCACTCTTTTTGTAGAATCTGCAAATGGAGATTTGGACTGCTTTGAGGCCTACGGTCGTATAGGAAGGAACTTCATATAAAAGGCAAACGGAAGCATTCTCAGAATATTCTTTGTGATGATGGAGTTTCACTCACAGAGCTGAACATGCCTGTTGATGGAGCAGTTTCCCAATACACTTTTGGTAGAATCTGCAGGTGGACATTTGGACCTCTCTGAGGATTTCTTTGGGAACGGGAATAATTTCCCATAACTAAACACAAACACTCTGAGAAAGTTCTTCATGATGAATGCATTTAACTCGCAGAGATGAACCTGCCTTTGAGAGTTCAGGTTCGAAACACTCTTTCTGTAGAATCTGCAAGTGGATATTTGGACCACTGGGTGGCCTTCGTTCGAAACGGGTATATGTTCACGTAAAAACTAAAGAGAAGCATTCTCAGAAACTTCTGAGTGATGATTGCATTCAAGTCACACAGTTGAACCCTCCTTTTGATGGAGCAGTTTTGAAACTGTCTTTTTGTAGAATCTGTAAGTGGATACGTGGACCTCTTTGAAGATTTCTTTGGAAACGGGAATATTTCCACAGAAAAACTAAACTGAAGCATTCTCAGAAACCGCTTTGTGATGTTTGTGTTCGAGCCACAGAGTTTAACATTGCTTTTCGTAGAGCAGTTTTGAAATATTCTTTTCGCAGAATCTGCAAGTGGACATTTGGAGCGCTTTCAGGCCTGTGGTGGAAACGGCCTGAAAGCCTTTTCCTTTATCTTCACAGAAAGACGAGAGAGAAGCATTGTCAGAAACTTCTTTGTGATGATTGCATTCAACTCACAGAGTTGAAGATTCCTTTTGAAACAGCAGTTTCGAAACACTCTTTCTGTGGGATCCGCAAGGGGATATTTGGACCTCTTTGAAGGTTTCGTTGGAAACGGGATAATCTTCACCTAAAAGCTAAACGGAAGCATTCTCAGAAACTTCTTTGGGATGTTTGCATTCACCTGACAGAGTTGAACTTTCCCTTTGATAGCGCAGCTTTGACACACTTTTTCCACAATGTGCAAGTGGCTATTTAGCGGGCTTGGGGGACTGTGTTGGAAAAGGAAATATCTTCTCCTAAAAACGACATAGAAGCATTCTCAGAAACTGCTCTGTGATGATTGCATTCAACTCCCAGAGTTGAACATTCCTTTTGATAGAGCAGTTTGCAAACACTCTTTTTGTAGAATCTGCAAGTGGAGATTTGGACCGCTTTGAGGCCTGTGGTAGTGAAGGAAAGAGCTTCATATAAAAACCAGACGGTAGCACTCTCAGAAAATTCTTTGTGACGATGGAGTTTAACTCAGTGAGCTGAACATTCGTTATGATGGAGCAGTTTCCAAACACACGTTTTGTAGAATCTGCGAGGGGATATTTGGACCTCTCTGAGGATTTCGTTGGAAACGGGATCAACTTCCCATAACTGAACGGAAGCAAACTCAGAACATTCTTTGTGATGTTTGTATTCAATTCACAGAGTTGAACCTTCCTTTGATAGTTCAGGTTTGCAACACCCTTGTAGTAGAATCTGCAAGTGTATATTTTGACCACTTTGTAGCCTTCGTTTGAAACGTCTATATCTTCACATCAAACCTAGACAGAAGCATTCTCAGAAAGTTTTCTGCGATGACTGCATTCAACTCACAGAGTTGAACAATCCTTCTGATGGAGCAGTTTTGAAACCCTCTTTCTTTGGAATCTGCAAGGGGATATGTGGACCTCTTTGAAGATTTCACTGGAAACGGGATCATCTTCACATAAAAACTAAACAGAAGCATTCTCGGAAACTACTTTGTGATGTTTGTATTCAACTCCCAGAGTTGAACTTTCCTTTTGAAAGAGCAGCTATGAAACACTCTTTTTCGAGAATCTGAAAGTGGACGTTTGGAGGGCTTTGAGGCCTGTGGTGGAAAAGGAAATATCTTCACATAAAAACTAGATAGAAGCATTCTCAGAAACGACATTGAGGATGGCATTCAACACATGGAGTTGGACAATCCTATTGATAGAGCAGATTGGAATCACTCTTTTTGTAGAATCTGCAAATGGAGATTTGGACTGCTTTGAGGCCTACGGTAGTATAGGAAGGAACTTCATATAAACGGCAAACGGAAGCATTCTCAGAATATTCTTTGTGATGATGGAGTTTCACTCACAGAGCTGAACATGCCTTTTGATGGAGCAGTTTCCAAATACACTTTTGGTAGAATCTGCAGGTGGATATTTGGAGCTCTCTGAGGATTTCGTTGGAAACGGGAATAATTTCCCATAACTAAACACAAACACGCTGAGAAAGTTCTTCATGATGAATGCATTTAACTCGCAGAGATGAACCTGCCTTTGAGAGTTCAGGTTCGAAACACTCTTTCTGTAGAATCTGTAAGTGGATATTTGGACCACTGGCTGGCCTTCGTTCGAAACGGGTATACGTTCACGTAAAAACTAAAGAGAAGCGTTCTCAGAAACTTCTGAGTGATGATTGCATTCAAGTCACACAGTTGAACCCTCCTTTTGATTGAGCAGTTTTGAAACTGTCTTTTTGTAGAATCTGTAAGTGGATGCGTGGACCTCTTTGAAGATTTCTTTGGAAACGGGAATATTTCCACAGAAAAACTAAACTGAAGCATTCTCAGAAACTGCTTTGTGATGTTTGTGTTCGAGCCACAGAGTTTAACATTGCTTTTCATAGAGCAGTTTTGAAATATTCTTTTGGCAGAATCTGCAAGTGGACATTTGGAGCGCTTTCAGGCCTGTGGTGGAAAAGGCCTGAAAGCCTTTTCCTTTATCTTCGCAGAAAGACGAGAGAGAAGCATTGTCAGAAACTTCTTTGTGATGATTGCTTTCAACTCACAGAGTTGAAGATTCCTTTTGAAACAGCAGTTTCGAAACACTCTTTCTGTGGGATCCGCAAGGGGATATTTGGACCTCTTTGAAGGTTTCGTTGGAAACGGGATAATCTTCACCTAAAAGCTAAACGGAAGCATTCACAGAAACTTCTTTGGGATGTTTGCATTCACCTCACAGAGTTGAACTTTCCCTTTGATAGCGCAGCTTCGACACACTTTTTCTACAATCTGCAAGTGGATATTTAGCGGGCTTGGAGCACTGTGTTGGAAAAGGAAATATCTTCTCCTAAAAACGACATAGAAGCATTCTCAGAAACTGCTCTGTGATGATTGCATTCAACTCCCAGAGTTGAACATTCCTTTTGATAGAGCAGTTTGCAAACACTCTTTTTGTAGAATCTGCAAGTGGAGATTTGGACCGCTTTGAGGCCTGTGGTAGTAAAGGAAAGAACTTCATATAAAAACTAGACGGTAGCACTCTCAGAAAATTCTTTGTGACGATGGAGTTTAACTCAGAGAGCTGAACATTCGTTATGATGGAGCAGTTTCCAAACACACGTTTTGTAGAATCTGCAAGGGGATATTTGGACCTCTCTGAGGATTTCGTTGGAAACGGGATCAACTTCCCATAACTGAACGGAAGCAAACTCAGAACATTCTTTGTGATGTTTGTATTCAACTCACAGAGTTGAACCTTCCTTTGATAGTTCAGGTTTGCATCACCCTTGTAGTAGAATCTGCAAGTGTATATTTTGACCACTTTGTAGCCTTCGTTTGAAACGTCTATATCTTCACATCAAACCTAGACAGAAGCATTCTCAGAAAGTTTTCTGCGATGACTGCATTCAACTCACAGAGTTGAACAATCCTTTTGATGGAGCAGTTTTGAAACCCTCTTTCTTTGGAATCTGCAAGGGAATATGTGGACCTCTTTGAAGATTTCACTGGAAACGGGATCATCTTCACATAAGAACTAAACAGAAGCATTCTCGGAAACTACTTTGTGATGTTTGTATTCAACTCCCAGAGTTGAACTTTCCTTTTGAAAGAGCAGCTATGAAACCCTCTTTTTCGAGAATCTGCAAGTGGACGTTTGGAGGGCTTTGAGGCCTGTGGTGGAAAAGGAAATATCTTCACATAAAAACTAGATAGAAGCATTCTCAGAAACGACTTTGTGAGGATGGCATTCAACTCATGGAGTTGAACAATCCTATTGATAGAGCAGATTGGAGTCACTCTTTTTGTAGAATCTGCAAATGGAGATTTGGACTGCTTTGAGGCCTACGGTAATATAGGAAGGAACTTCATATAAAAGGCAAACGGAAGCATTCTCAGAATATTCTTTGTGATGATGGAGTTTCACTCACAGAGCTGAACATGCCTTTTGATGGAGCAGTTTCCAAATACACTTTTGGTAGAATCTGCAGGTGGATATTTGGAGCTCTCTGAGGATTTCGTTGGAAAAGGGAATAATTTCCCATAACTAAACACAAACACGCTGAGAAAGTTCTTCATGATGAATGCATTTAACTCGCAGAGATGAACCTGCCTTTGAGAGTTCAGGTTCGAAACACTCTTTCTGTAGAATCTGCAAGTGGATATTTGGACCACTGGCTGGCCTTCGTTCGAAACGGGTATATGTTCACGTAAAAACTAAAGAGAAGCGTTCTCAGAAACTTCTGAGTGATGATTGCATTCAAGTCACACAGTTGAACCCTCCTTTTGATTGAGCAGTTTTGAAACTGTCTTTTTGTAGAATCTGTAAGTGGATGCGTGGACCTCTTTGAAGATTTCTTTGGAAACAGGAATATTTCCACAGAAAAACTAAACTGAAGCATTCTCTGAAACTGCTTTGTGATGTTTGTGTTCGAGCCGCAGAGTTTAACATTGCTTTTCATAGAGCAGTTTTGAAATATTCTTTTGGCAGAATCTGCAAGTGGACATTTGGAGCGCTTTCAGGCCTGTGGTGGAAAAGGCCTGAAAGCCTTTTCCTTTATCTTCACAGAAAGACGAGAGAGAAGCATTGTCAGAAACTTCTTTGTGATGATTGCATTCAACTCACAGAGTTGAAGATTCCTTTTGAAACAGCAGTTTCGAAACACTCTTTCTGTGGGATCCGCAAGGGGATATTTGGACTTCTTTGAAGATTTCGTTGGAAACGGGATAATCTTCACCTAAAAGCTAAACGGAAGCATTCTCAGAAACTTCTTTGGGATGTTTGCATTCACCTCACAGAGTTGAACTTTCCCTTTGATAGCGCAGCTTCGACACACTTTTTCTAAAATGTGCAAGTGGATATTTAGCGGGCTTGCAGGACTGTGTTGGAAAAGGAAATATCTTCTCCTAAAAACCACATAGAAGCATTCTCAGAAACTGCTCTGTGATGATTGCATTCAACTCCCAGAGTTGAACATTCCTTTTGATAGAGCAGTTTGCAAACACTCTTTTTGTAGAATCTGCAAGTGGAGATTTGGAAAAGCTTTGAGGCCTGTGGTAGTAAAGGAAACAACTTCATATAAAAACTAGACGGTAGCACTCTCAGAAAATTCTTTGTGACGATGGAGTTTAACTCAGAGAGCTGAACATTCGTTATGATGGAGCAGTTTCCAAACACACGTTTTGTAGAATCTGCAAGGGGATATTTGGACCTCTCTGAGGATTTCGTTGGAAACGGGATCAACTTCCCATAACTGAACGGAAGCAAACTCAGAACATTCTTTGTGATGTTTGTATTCAACTCACAGAGTTGAACCTTCCTTTGATAGTTCAGGTTTGCAACACCCTTGTAGTAGAATCTGCAAGTGTATATTTTGACCACTTTGTAGCCTTCGTTTGAAACGTCTATATCTTCACATCAAACCTAGACAGAAGCATTCTCAGAAAGTTTTCTGCGATGACTGCATTCAACTCACAGAGTTGAACAATCCTTCTGATGGAGCAGTTTTGAAACCCTCTTTCTTTGGAATCTGCAAGGGGATATGTGGACCTCTTTGAAGATTTCACTGGAAACGGGATCATCTTCACATAAAAACTAAACAGAAGCATTCTCGGAAACTACTTTGTGATGTTTGTATTCAACTGCCAGAGTTGAACTTTCCTTTTGAAAGAGCAGCTATGAAACACTCTTTTTCGAGAATCTGCAAGTGGACGTTTGGAGGGCTTTGAGGCCTGTGGTGGAAAAGGAAATATCTTCACATAAAAACTAGATAGAAGCATTCTCAGAAACTACTTTGTGAGGATGGCATTCAACTCATGGAGTTGAACAATCCTATTGATAGAGCAGATTGGAATCACTCTTTTTGTAGAATCTGCAAATGGAGATTTGGACTGCTTTGAGGCCTACGGTAGTACAGGAAGGAACTTCATATAAAAGGCAAACGGAAGCATTCTCAGAATATTCTTTGTGATGATGGAGTTTCACTCACAGAGCTGAACATGCCTTTTGATGGAGCAGTTTCCAAATACACTTTTGGTAGAATCTGCAGGTGGATATTTGGAGCTCTCTGAGGATTTCGTTGGAAACGGGAATAATTTCCCATAACTAAACACAAACACTCTGAGAAAGTTCTTCATGATGAATGCATTTAACTCGCAGAGATGAACCTGCCTTTGAGAGTTCAGGTTCGAAACACTCTTTCTGTAGAATCTGCAAGTGGATATTTGGACCACTGGCTGGCCTTCGTTCGAAACGGGTATATGTTCACGTAAAAACTAAAGAGAAGCATTCTCAGAAACTTGTGAGTGATGATTGCATTCAAGTCACACAGTTGAACCCTCCTTTTGATGGAGCAGTTTTGAAACTGTCTTTTTGTAGAATCTGTTAGTGGATACGTGGACCTCTTTGAAGATTTCTTTGGAAACGGGAATATTTCCACAGAAAAACTAAACTGAAGCATTCTCAGAAACCGCTTTGTGATGTTTGTGTTCGAGCCGCAGAGTTTAACATTGCTTTTCATAGAGCAGTTTTGAAATATTCTTTTGGCAGAATCTGCAAGTGGACATTTGGAGCGCTTTCAGGCCTGTGGTGGCAAAGGCCTGAAAGCCTTTTCCTTTATCTTCACAGAAAGACGAGAGAGAAGCATTGTCAGAAACTTCTTTGTGATGATTGCATTCAACTCACAGAGTTGAAGATTCCTTTTGAAACAGCAGTTTCGAAACACTCTTTCTGTGGGATCCGCAAGGGGATATTTGGACCTCTTTGAAGGTTTCGTTGGAAACGGGATAATCTTCACCTAAAAGCTAAACGGAAGCATTCTCAGAAACTTCTTTGGGATGTTTGCATTCACCTCACAGAGTTGAACTTTCCCTTTGATAGCGCAGCTTTGACACACTTTTTCTACAATGTGCAAGTGGCTATTTAGCGGGCTTGGAGGACTGTGTTGGAAAAGGAAATATCTTCTCCTAAAAACGACATAGAAGCATTCTCAGAAACTGCTCTGTGATGATTGCATTCAACTCCCAGAGTTGAACGTTCCTTTTGATAGAGCAGTTTGCAAACTCTCTTTTTGTAGAATCTGCAAGTGGAGATTTGGACCGCTTTGAGGCCTGTGGTAGTGAAGGAAAGAACTTCATATAAAAACCAGACGGTAGCACTCTCAGAAAATTCTTTGTGACGATGGAGTTTAACTCAGGGAGCTGAACATTCGTTATGATGGAGCAGTTTCCAAACACACGTTTTGTAGAATCTGCAAGGGGATATTTGGACCTCTCTGAGGATTTCGTTGGAAACGGGATCAACTTCCCATAACTGAACGGAAGCAAACTCAGAACATTCTTTGTGATGTTTGTATTCAACTCACAGAGTTGAACCTTCCTTTGATAGTTCAGGTTTGCAACACCCTTGTAGTAGAATCTGCAAGTGTATATTTTGACCACTTTGTAGCCTTCGTTTGAAACGTCTATATCTTCACATCAAACCTAGACAGAAGCATTCTCAGAAAGTTTTCTGGGATGACTGCATTCAACTCACAGAGTTGAACAATCCTTCTGATGGAGCAGTTTTGAAACCCTCTTTCTTTGGAATCTGCAAGGGGATATGTGGACCTCTTTGAAGATTTCACTGGAAACGGGATCATCTTCACATAAAAACTAAACAGAAGCATTCTCGGAAACTAATTTGTGATGTTTGTATTCAACTCCCAGAGTTGAACTTTCCTTTTGAAAGAGCAGCTATGAAACACTCTTTTTCGAGAATCTGCAAGTGGACGTTTGGAGGGCTTTGAGGCCTGTGGTGGAAAAGGAAATATCTTCACATAAAAACTAGATAGAAGCATTCTCAGAAACGACTTTGTGAGGATGGCATTCAACTCATGGAGTTGAACAGTCCTATTGATAGAGGAGATTGGAATCACTCTTTTTGTAGAATCTGCAAATGGAGATTTGGACTGCTTTGAGGCCTACGGTAGTATAGGAAGGAACTTCATATAAAAGGCAAACGGAAGCATTCTCAGAATATTCTTTGTGATGATGGAGTTTCACTCACAGAGCTGAACATGCCTTTTGATGGAGCAGTTTCCTAATACACTTTTGGTAGAATCTGCAGGTGGATATTTGGACCTCTCTGAGGATTTCGTTGGAAACGGGAATAATTTCCCATAACTAAACACAAACACGCTGAGAAAGTTCTTCATGATGAATGCATTGAACTCGCAGAGATGAACCTGCCTTTGAGAGTTCAGGTTCGAAACACTCTTTCTGTAGAATCTGCAAGTGGATATTTGGACCACTGGCTGGCCTTCGTTCGAAACGGGTATATGTTCACGTAAAAACTAAAGAGAAGCGTTCTCAGAAACTTCTGAGTGATGATTGCATTCAAGTCACACAGTTGAACCCTCCTTTTGATTGAGCAGTTTTGAAACTGTCTTTTTGTAGAATCTGTAAGTGGATACGTGGACCTCTTTGAAGATTTCTTTGGAAACGGGAATATTTCCACAGAAAAACTAAACTGAAGCATTCTCAGAAACTGCTTTGTGATGTTTGTGTTCGAGCCACAGAGTTTAACATTGCTTTTCATAGAGCAGTTTTCAAATATTCTTTTGGCAGAATCTGCAAGTGGACATTTGGAGCGCTTTCAGGCCTGTGGTGGAAAAGGCCTGAAAGCCTTTTCCTTTATCTTCACAGAAAGACGAGAGAGAAGCATTGTCAGAAACTTCTTTGTGATGATTGCATTCAACTCACAGAGTTGAAGATTCCTTTTGAAACAGCAGTTTCGAAACACTCTTTCTGTGGGATCCGCAAGGGGATATTTGGACCTCTTTGAAGGTTTCGTTGGAAACGGGATAATCTTCACCTAAAAGCTAAACGGAAGCATTCTCAGAAACTTCTTTGGGATGTTTGCATTCACCTCACAGAGTTGAACTTTCCCTTTGATAGCGCAGCTTTGACACACTTTTTCTACAATGTGCAAGTGGATATTTAGCGGGCTAGGAGGACTGTGTTGGAAAAGGAAATATCTTCTCCTAAAAACGACATAGAAGCATTCTCAGAAACTGCTCTGTGATGATTGCATTCAACTCCCAGAGTTGAACATTCCTTTTGATAGAGCAGTTTGCAAACACTCTTTTTGTAGAATCTGCAAGTGGAGATTTGGACCGCTTTGAGGCCTGTGGTAGTGAAGGAAAGAACTTCATATAAAAACCAGACGGTAGCACTCTCAGAAAATTCTTTGTGACGATGGAGTTTAACTCAGGGAGCTGAACATTCGTTATGATGGAGCAGTTTCCAAACACACGTTTTGTAGAATCTGCAAGGGGATATTTGGACCTCTCTGAGGATTTCGTTGGAAACGGGATCAACTTCCCATAACTGAACGGAAGCAAACTCAGAACATTCTTTGTGATGTTTGTATTCAACTCACAGAGTTGAACCTTCCTTTGATAGTTCAGGTTTGCAACACCCTTGTAGTAGAATCTGCAAGTGTATATTTTGACCACTTTGTAGCCTTCGTTTGAAACGTCTATATCTTCACATCAAACCTAGACAGAAGCATTCTCAGAAAGTTTTCTGCGATGACTGCATTCAACTCACACAGTTGAACAATCCTTCTGATGGAGCAGTTTTGAAACCCTCTTTCTTTGGAATCTGCAAGGGGATATGTGGACCTCTTTGAAGATTTCACTGGAAACGGGATCATCTTCACATAAAAACTAAACAGAAGCATTCTCGGAAACTACTTTGTGATGTTTGTATTCAACTCCCAGGAGTTGAACTTTCCTTTTGAAAGAGCAGCTATGAAACACTCTTTTTCGAGAATCTACAAGTGGACGTTTGGAGGGCTTTGAGGCCTGTGGTGGAAAAGGAAATATCTTCACATAAAAACTAGATAGAAGCATTCTCAGAAACTACTTTGTGAGGATGGCATTCAACTCATGGAGTTGAACAATCCTATTGATAGAGCAGATTGGAATCACTCTTTTTGTAGAATCTGCAAATGGAGATTTGGACTGCTTTGAGGCCTACGGTAGTATAGGAAGGAACTTCATATAAAAGGCAAACGGAAGCATTCTCAGAATATTCTTTGTGATGACGGAGTTTCACTCACAGAGCTGAACATGCCTTTTCATGGAGCAGTTTCCAAATACACTTTTGGTAGAATCTGCAGGTGGATATTTGGAGCTCTCTGAGGATTTCGTTGGAAACGGGAATAATTTCCCATAACTAAACACAAACACGCTGAGAAAGTTCTTCATGATGAATGCATTTAACTCGCAGAGATGAACCTGCCTTTGAGAGTTCAGGTTCAAAACACTCTTTCTGTAGAATCTGCAAGTGGATATTTGGACCACTGGCTGGCCTTCGTTCGAAACGGGTATATGTTCACGTAAAAACTAAAGAGAAGCGTTCTCAGAAACTTCTGAGTGATGAATGCATTCAAGTCACACAGTTGAACCCTCCTTTTGATTGAGCAGTTTTGAAACTGTCTTTTTGTAGAATCTGTAAGTGGATGCGTGGACCTCTTTGAAGATTTCTTTGGAAACGGGAATATTTCCACAGAAAAACTAAACTGAAGCATTCTCAGAAACTGCTTTGTGATGTTTGTGTTCGAGCCGCAGAGTTTAACATTGCTTTTCATAGAGCAGTTTTGAAATATTCTTTTGGCAGAATCTGCAAGTGGACATTTGGAGCGCTTTCAGGCCTGTGGTGGAAATGGCCTGAAAGCCTTTTCCTTTATCTTCACAGAAAGACGAGAGAGAAGCATTGTCAGAAACTTCTTTGTGATGATTGCATTCAACTCACAGAGTTGAAGATTCCTTTTGAAACAGCAGTTTCGAAACACTCTTTCTGTGGGATCCGCAAGGGGATATTTGGACCTCTTTGAAGATTTCGTTGGAAACGGGATAATCTTCACTTAAAGCTAAACGGAAGCATTCTCAGAAACTTCTTTGGGATGTTTGCATTCACCTCACAGAGTTGAACTTTCCCTTTGATAGCGCAGCTTCGACACACTTTTTCTACAATGTGCAAGTGGATATTTAGCGGGCTTGGAGGACTGTGTTGGAAAAGGAAATATCTTCTCCTAAAAACGACATAGAAGCATTCTCAGAAACTGCTCTGTGATGATTGCATTCAACTCCCAGAGTTGAACATTCCTTTTGATAGAGCAGTTTGCAAACACTCTTTTTGTAGAATCTGCAAGTGGAGATTTGGACCGCTTTGAGGCCTGTGGTAGTAAAGGAAAGAACTTCATATAAAAACCAGACGGTAGCACTCTCAGAAAATTCTTTGTGACGATGGAGTTTAACTCAGAGAGCTGAACATTCGTTATGATGGAGCAGTTTCCAAACACACGTTTTGTAGAATCTGCAAGGGGATATTTCGACCTCTCTGAGGATTTCGTTGGAAACGGGATCAACTTCCCATAACTGAACGGAAGCAAACTCAGAACATTCTTTGTGATGTTTGTATTCAACTCACAGAGTTGAACCTTCCTTTGATAGTTCAGGTTTGCAACACCCTTGTAGTAGAATCTGCAAGTGTATATTTTGACCACTTTGTAGCCTTCGTTTGAAACGTCTATATCTTCACATCAAACCTAGAAAGAAGCATTCTCAGAAAGTTTTCTGCGATGACTGCATTCAACTCACAGAGTTGAACAATCCTTCTGATGGAGCAGTTTTGAAACCCTCTTTCTTTGGAATCTGCAAGGGGATATGTGGACCTCTTTGAAGATTTCACTGGAAACGGGATCATCTTCACATAAAAACTAAACAGAAGCATTCTCGGAAACTATTTTGTGATGTTTGTATTCAACTCCCAGAGTTGAACTTTCCTTTTGAAAGAGCAGCTATGAAACACTCTTTTTCGAGAATCTGCAAGTGGACGTTTGGAGGGCTTTGAGGCCTGTGGTGGAAAAGGAAATATCTTCACACAAAAACCAGATAGAAGCATTCTCAGAAACTGCTTTGTGAGGATGGCATTCAACTCATGGAGTTGAACAATCCTATTGATAGAGCAGATTGGAATCACTCTTTTTGTAGAATCTGCAAATGGAGATTTGGACTGCTTTGAGGCCTACGGTAGTACAGGAAGGAACTTCATATAAAAGGCAAACGGAAGCATTCTCAGAATATTCTTTGTGATGATGGAGTTTCACTCACAGAGCTGAACATGCCTTTTGATGGAGCAGTTTCCAAATACACTTTTGGTAGAATCTGCAGGTGGATATTTGGAGCTCTCTGAGGATTTCGTTGGATACGGGAATAATTTCCCATAACTAAACACAAACACTCTGAGAAAGTTCTTCATGATGAATGCATTTAACTCGCAGAGATGAACCTGCCTTTGAGAGTTCAGGTTCGAAACACTCTTTCTGTATAATCTGCAAGTGGATATTTGGACCACTGGGTGGCCTTCGTTCGAAACGGGTATATGTTCACGTAAAAACTAAAGAGAAGCGTTCTCAGAAACTTCTGAGTGATGATTGCATTCAAGTCTCACAGTTGAACCCTCCTTTTGATTGAGCAGTTTTGAAACTGTCTTTTTGTAGAATCTGTAAGTGGATGCGTGGACCTCTTTGAAGATTTCTTTGGAAACGGGAATACTTCCACAGAAAAAGTAAACTGAAGCATTCTCAGAAACCGCTTTGTGATGTTTGTGTTCGAGCCACAGAGTTTAACATTGCTTTTCATAGAGCAGTTTTGAAATATTCTTTTGGCAGAATCTGCAAGTGGACATTTGGAGCGCTTTCAGGCCTGTGGTGGAAAAGGCCTGAAAGCCTTTTCCTTTATCTTCACAGAAAGACGAGAGAGAAGCATTGTCAGAAACTTCTTTGTGATGATTGCATTCAACTCAGAGTTGAAGATTCCTTTTGAAACAGCAGTTTCGAAACACTCTTTCTGTGGGATCCGCAAGGGGATATTTGGACCTCTTTGAAGGTTTCGTTGGAAACGGGATAATCTTCACCTAAAAGCTAAACGGAAGCATTCTCATAAACTTCTTTGGGATGTTTGCTTTCACCTCACAGAGTTGAACTTTCCCTTTGATAGCGCAGCTTTGACACACTTTTTCTACAATGTGCAAGTGGCTCTTTAGCGGGCTTGGAGGACTGTGTTGGAAAAGGAAATATCTTCTCCTAAAAACGACATAGAAGCATTCTCAGAAACTGCTCTGTGATGATTGCATTCAACTCCCAGAGTTGAACATTCCTTTTGATAGAGCAGTTTGCAAACACTCTTTTTGTAGAATCTGCAAGTGGAGATTTGGACCGCTTTGAGGCCTGTGGTAGTGAAGGAAAGAACTTCATATAAAAACCAGACGGTAGCACTCTCAGAAAATTCTTTGTGACGATGGAGTTTAACTCAGGGAGCTGAACATTCGTTATGATGGAGCAGTTTCCAAACACACGTTTTGTAGAATCTGCGAGGGGATATTTGGACCTCTCTGAGGATTTCGTTGGAAACGGGATCAACTTCCCATAACTGAACGGAAGCAAACTCAGAACATTCTTTGTGATGTTTGTATTCAACTCACAGAGTTGAACCTTCCTTTGATAGTTCAGGTTTGCAACACCCTTGTAGTAGAATCTGCAAGTGTATATTTTGACCACTTTGTAGCCTTCATTTGAAACGTCTATATCTTCACAGCAAACCTAGACAGAAGCATTCTCAGAAAGTTTTCTGCGATGACTGCATTCAACTCACAGAGTTGAACAATCCTTCTGATGGAGCAGTTTTGAAACCCTCTTTCTTTGGAATCTGCAAGGGGATATGTGGACCTCTTTGAAGATTTCACTGGAAACGGGATCATCTTCACATAAAAACTAAACAGAAGCATTCTCAGAAACTACTTTGTGATGATTGTATTCAACTCCCAGAGTTGAACTTTCCTTTTGAAAGAGCAGCTATGAAACACTCTTTTTCGAGAATCTGCAAGTGGACGTTTGGAGGGCTTTGAGGCCTGTGGTGGAAAAGGAAATATCTTCACATAAAAACTAGATAGAAGCATTCTCAGAAACGACTTTGTGAGGATGGCATTCAACTCATGGAGTTGAACAGTCCTATTGATAGAGCAGATTGGAATCACTCTTTTTGTAGAATCTGCAAATGGAGATTTGGACTGCTTTGAGGCCTACGGTAGTATAGGAAGGAACTTCATATAAAAGGCGAACGGAAGCATTCTCAGAATATTCTTTGTGATGATGGAGTTTCACTCACAGAGCTGAACATGCCTTTTGATGGAGCAGTTTCCAAATACACTTTTGGTAGAATCTGCAGGTGGATATTTGGAGCTCTCTGAGGATTTCGTTGGAAACGGGAATAATTTCCCATAACTAAACACAAACACGCTGAGAAAGTTCTTCATGATGAATGCATTTAACTCGCAGAGATGAACCTGCCTTTGAGAGTTCAGGTTCGAAACACTCTTTCTGTAGAATCTGTAAGTGGATATTTGGACCACTGGCTGGCCTTCGTTCGAAACGGGTATACGTTCACGTAAAAACTAAAGAGAAGCGTTCTCAGAAACTTCTGAGTGATGATTGCATTCAAGTCACACAGTTGAACCCTCCTTTTGATTGAGCAGTTTTGAAACTGTCTTTTTGTAGAATCTGTAAGTGGATGCGTGGACCTCTTTGAAGATTTCTTTGGAAACGGGAATATTTCCACAGAAAAACTAAACTGAAGCATTCTCAGAAACTGCTTTGTGATGTTTGTGTTCGAGCCACAGAGTTTAACATTGCTTTTCATAGAGCAGTTTTGAAATATTCTTTTGGCAGAATCTGCAAGTGGACATTTGGAGCGCTTTCAGGCCTGTGGTGGAAAAGGCCTGAAAGCCTTTTCCTTTATCTTCACAGAAAGACGAGAGAGAAGCATTGTCAGAAACTTCTTTGTGATGATTGCATTCAACTCACAGAGTTGAAGATTCCTTTTGAAACAGCAGTTTCGAAACACTCTTTCTGTGGGATCCGCAAGGGGATATTTGGACCTCTTTGAAGATTTCGTTGCCAACTGGATAATCTTCACTTAAAAGCAAAACGGAAGCATTCTCAGAAACTTCTTTGGGATGTTTGCATTCACCTCACAGAGTTGAACTTTCCCTTTGATAGCGCAGCTTCGACACACTTTTTCTACAATGTGCAAGTGGATATGTAGCGGGCTTGGAGGACTGTGTTGGAAAAGGAAATATCTTCTCCTAAAAACGACATAGAAGCATTCTCAGAAACTGCTCTGTGATGATTGCATTCAACTCCCAGAGTTGAACATTCCTTTTGATAGAGCAGTTTGCAAACACTCTTTTTGTAGAATCTGCAAGTGGAGATTTGGACCGCTTTGAGGCCTGTGGTAGTAAAGGAAACAACTTCATATAAAAACCAGACGGTAGCACTCTCAGAAAATTCTTTGTGACGATGGAGTTTAACTCAGAGAGCTGAACATTCGTTATGATGGAGCAGTTTCCAAACACACGTTTTGTAGAATCTGCAAGGGGATATTTGGACCTCTCTGAGGATTTCGTTGGAAACGGGATCAACTTCCCATAACTGAACGGAAGCAAACTCAGAACATTCTTTGTGATGTTTGTATTCAACTCACAGAGTTGAACCTTCCTTTGATAGTTCAGGTTTGCATCACCCTTGTAGTAGAATCTGCAAGTGTATATTTTGACCACTTTGTAGCCTTCGTTTGAAACGTCTATATCTTCACATCAAACCTAGACAGAAGCATTCTCAGAAAGTTTTCTGCGATGACTGCATTCAACTCACAGAGTTGAACAATCCTTTTGATGGAGCAGTTTTGAAACCCTCTTTCTTTGGAATCTGCAAGGGGATATGTGGACCTCTTTGAAGATTTCACTGGAAACGGGATCATCTTCACATAAGAACTAAACAGAAGCATTCTCGGAAACTACTTTGTGATGTTTGTATTCAGCTCCCAGAGTTGAACTTTCCTTTTGAAAGAGCAGCTATGAAACACACTTTTTCGAGAATCTGCAAGTGGACGTTTGGAGGGCTTTGAGGCCTGTGGTGGAAAAGGAAATATCTTCACATAAAAACTAGATAGAAGCATTCTCAGAAACGACTTTGTGAGCATGGCATTCAACTCATGGAGTTGAACAATCCTATTGATAGAGCAGATTGGAATCACTCTTTTTGTAGAATCTGCAAATGGAGATTTGGACTGCTTTGAGGCCTACGGTCGTATAGGAAGGAACTTCATATAAAAGGCAAACGGAAGCATTCTCAGAATATTCTTTGTGATGATGGAGTTTCACTCACAGAGCTGAACATACCTTTTGATGGAGCAGTTTCCAAATACACTTTTGGTAGAATCTGCAGGTGGATATTTGGAGCTCTCTGAGGATTTCGTTGGTAACGGGAATAATTTCCCATAACTAAACACAAACACTCTGAGAAAGTTCTTCATGATGAATGCATTTAACTCGCAGAGATGAACCTGCCTTTGAGAGTTCAGGTTCGAAACACTCTTTCTGTATAATCTGCAAGTGGATATTTGGACCACTGGGTGGCCTTCGTTCGAAACGGGTATATGTTCACGTAAAAACTAAAGAGAAGCATTCTCAGAAACTTCTGAGTGATGATTGCATTCAAGTCACACGGTTGAACCCTCCTTTTGATGGAGCAGTTTTGAAACTGTCTTTTTGTAGAATCTGTAAGTGGATACGTGGACCTCTTTGAAGATTTCTTTGGAAACGGGAATATTTCCACAGAAAAACTAAACTGAAGCATTCTCAGAAACCGCTTTGTGATGTTTGTGTTCGAGCCGCAGAGTTTAACATTGCTTTTCATAGAGCAGTTTTGAAATATTCTTTTGGCAGAATCTGCAAGTGGACATTTGGAGCGCTTTCAGGCCTGTGGTGGAAAAGGCCTGAAAGCCTTTTCCTTTATCTTCACAGAAAGACGAGAGAGAAGCATTGTCAGAAACTTCTTTGTGATGATTGCATTCAACTCACAGAGTTGAAGATTCCTTTTGAAACAGCAGTTTCGAAACACTCTTTCTGTGGGATCCGCAAGGGGATATTTGGACCTCTTTGAAGGTTTCGTTGGAAACGGGATAATCTTCACCTAAAAGCTAAACGGAAGCATTCTCAGAAACTTCTTTGGGATGTTTGCATTCACCTCACAGCAGTTGAACTTTCCCTTTGATAGCGCAGCTTCGACACACTTTTTCTACAATGTGCAAGTGGATATTTAGCGGGCTTGGAGGACTGTGTTGGAAAAGGAAATATCTTCTCCTAAAAACGACATAGAAGCATTCTCAGAAACTGCTCTGTGATGATTGCATTCAACTCCCAGAGTTGAACATTCCTTTTGATAGAGCAGTTTGCAAACACTCTTTTTGTAGAATCTGCAAGTGGAGATTTGGACCGCTTTGAGGCCAGTGGTAGTGAAGGAAAGAACTTCATATAAAAACCAGACGGTAGCACTCTCAGAAAATTCTTTGTGACGATGGAGTTTAACTCAGGGAGCTGAACATTCGTTATGATGGAGCAGTTTCCAAACACACGTTTTGTAGAATCTGCAAGGGGATATTTGGACCTCTCTGAGGATTTCGTTGGAAACGGGATCAACTTCCCATAACTGAACGGAAGCAAACTCAGAACATTCTTTGTGATGTTTGTATTCAACTCACAGAGTTGAACCTTCCTTTGATAGTTCAGGTTTGCAACACCCTTGTAGTAGAATCTGCAAGTGTATATTTTGACCACTTTGTAGCCTTCGTTTGAAACGTCTATATCTTCACATCAAACCTAGACAGAAGCATTCTCAGAAAGTTTTCTGCGATGACTGCATTCAACTCACAGAGTTGAACAATCCTTCTGATGGAGCAGTTTTGAAACCCTCTTTCTTTGGAATCTGCAAGGGGATATGTGGACCTCTTTGAAGATTTCACTGGAAATGGGATCATCTTCACATAAAAACTAAACAGAAGCATTCTCGGAAACTACTTTGTGATGTTTGTATTCAACTCCCAGAGTTGAACTTTCCTTTTGAAAGAGCAGCTATGAAACACTCTTTTTCGAGAATCTGCAAGTGGACGTTTGGAGGGATTTGAGGCCTGCGGTGGAAAAGGAAATATCTTCACATAAAAACTAGATAGAAGCATTCTCAGAAACTACTTTGTGAGGATGGCATTCAACTCATGGAGTTGAACAATCCTATTGATAGAGCAGATTGGAATCACTCTTTTTGTAGAATCTGCAAATGGAGATTTGGACTGCTTTGAGGCCTACGGTCGTATAGGAAGGAACTTCATATAAAAGGCAAACGGAAGCATTCTCAGAATATTCTTTGTGATGATGGAGTTTCACTCACAGAGCGGAACATGCCTTTTGATGGAGCAGTTTCCAAATACACTTTTGGTAGAATCTGCAGGTGGATATTTGGAGCTCTCTGAGGATTTCGTTGGAAACGGGAATAATTTCCCATAACTAAACACAAACACTCTGAGAAAGTTCTTCATGATGAATGAATTTAACTCGCAGAGATGAACCTGCCTTTGAGAGTTCATGTTCGAAACACTCTTTCTGTAGAATCTGCAAGTGGATATTTGGACCACTGGGTGGCCTTCGTTCGAAACGGGTATATGTTCACGTAAAAACTAAAGAGAAGCATTCTCAGAAACTTCTGAGTGATGATTGCATTCAAGTCACACAGTTGAACCCTCCTTTTGATGGAGCAGTTTTGAAACTGTCTTTTTGTAGAATCTGTAAGTGGATACGTGGACCTCTTTGAAGATTTCTTTGGAAACGGGAATATTTCCACAGAAAAACTAAACTGAAACATTCTCAGAAACCGCTTTGTGATGTTTGTGTTCCAGCCACAGAGTTTAACATTGCTTTTCATAGAGCAGTTTTGAAATATTCTTTTCGCAGAATCTGCAAGTGGACATTTGGAGCGCTTTCAGGCCTGTGGTGGAACAGGCCTGAAAGCCTTTTCCTTTATCTTCACAGAAAGGCGAGAGAGAAGCATTGTCAGAAACTTCTTTGTGATGATTGCATTCAACTCACAGAGTTGAAGATTCCTTTTGAAACAGCAGTTTCGAAACACTCTTTCTGTGGGATCCGCAAGGGGATATTTGGACCTCTTTGAAGATTTCGTTGGAAACGGGATAATCTTCACCTAAAAGCTAAATGGAAGCATTCTCAGAAACTTCTTTGGGATGTTTGCATTCACCTCACAGAGTTGAACTTTCCCTTTGATAGCGCAGCTTCGACACACTTTTTCTACAATGTGCAAGTGGATATTTAGCGGGCTTGGAGGACTGTGTTGGAAAAGGAAATATCTTCTCCTAAAAACGACATAGAAGCATTCTCAGAAACTGCTCTGTGATGATTGCATTCAACTCCCAGAGTTGAACATTCCTTTTGATAGAGCAGTTTGCAAACACTCTTTTTGTAGAATCTGCAAGTGGAGATTTGGACCGCTTTGAGGCCTGTGGTAGTAAAGGAAAGAACTTCATATAAAAACCAGACGGTAGCACTCTCAGAACATTCTTTGTGACGATGGAGTTTAACTCAGAGAGCTGAACATTCGTTATGATGGAGCAGTTTCCAAACACACGTTTTGTAGAATCTGCAAGGGGATATTTGGCCCTCTCTGAGGATTTCGTTGGAAATGGGATCAACTTCCCATAAATGAACGGAAGCAAACTCAGAACATTCTTTGTGATGTTTGTATTCAATTCACAGAGTTGAACCTTCCTTTGATAGTTCACGTTTGCAACACCCTTGTAGTAGAATCTGCAAGTGTATATTTTGACCACTTTGTAGCCTTCGTTTGAAACGTCTATATCTTCACATCAAACCTAGACAGAAGCATTCTCAGAAAGTTTTCTGCGATGACTGCATTCAACTCACAGAGTTGAACAATCCTTCTGATGGAGCAGTTTTTAAACCCTCTTTCTTTGGAATCTGCAAGGGGATATGTGGACCTCTTTGAAGATTTCACTGGAAACGGGATCATCTTCACATAAAAACTAAACAGAAGCATTCTCGGAAACTACTTTGTGATGTTTGTATTCAACTCCCAGAGTTGAACTTTCCTTTTGAAAGAGCAGCTATGAAACACTCTTTTTCGAGAATCTGCAAGTGGACGTTTGGAGGGCTTTGAGGCCTGTGGTGGAAAAGGAAATATCTTCACATAAAAACTAGATAGAAGCATTCTCAGAGACTACTTTGTGAGGATGGCATTCAACTCATGGAGTTGAACAATCCTATTGATAGAGCAGATTGGAATCACTCTTTTTGTAGAATCTGCAAATGGAGATTTGGACTGCTTTGAGGCCTACGGTAGTATAGGAAGGAACTTCATATAAAAGGCAAACGGAAGCATTCTCAGAATATTCTTTGTGATGATGGAGTTTCACTCACAGAGCTGAACATGCCTTTTGATGGAGCAGTTTCCAAATACACTTTTGGTAGAATCTGCAGGTGGATATTTGGACCTCTCTGAAGATTTCGTTGGAAACGGGAATAATTTCCCATACCTAAACACAAACACTCTGAGAAAGTTCTTCATGATGAATGCATTGAACTCGCAGAGATGAACCTGCCTTTGAGAGTTCAGGTTCGAAACACTCTTTCTGTAGAATCTGCAAGTGGATATTTGGACCACTGGGTGGCCTTCGTTCGAAACGGGTATATGTTCACGTAAAAACTAAAGAGAAGCATTCTCAGAAACTTCTGAGTGATGATTGCATTCAAGTCACACGGTTGAACACTCCTTTTGATTGAGCAGTTTTGAAACTGTCTTTTTGTAGAATCTGTAAGTGGATACGTGGACCTCTTTGAAGATTTCTTTCGAAACGGGAATATTTCCACAGAAAAACTAAACTGAAGCATTCTCAGAAACCGCTTTGTGATGTTTGTGTTCGAGCCGCAGAGTTTAACATTGCTTTTCATAGAGCAGTTTTGAAATATTCTTTTGGCAGAATCTGCAAGTGGACATTTGGAGCGCTTTCAGGCCTGTGGTGGAAAAGGCCTGAAAGCCTTTTCCTTTATCTTCACAGAAAGACGAGAGAGAAGCATTGTCAGAAACTTCTTTGTGATGATTGCATTCAACTCACAGAGTTGAAGATTCCTTTTGAAACAGCAGTTTCGAAACACTCTTTCTGTGGGATCCGCAAGGGGATATTTGGACCTCTTTGAAGGTTTCGTTGGAAACGGGATAATCTTCACCTAAAAGCTAAATGGAAGCATTCTCAGAAACTTCTTTGGGATGTTTGCATTCACCTCACAGAGTTGAACTTTCCCTTTGATAGCGCAGCTTTGACACACTTTTTCTACAATGTGCAAGTGGCTATTTAGCAGGCTTGGAGGACTGTGTTGGAAAAGGAAATATCTTCTAAAAACGACATAGAAGCATTCTCAGAATCTGCTCTGTGATGATTGCATTCAACTCCCAGAGTTGAACATTCCTTTTGATAGAGCAGTTTGCAAACACTCTTTTTGTAGAATCTGCAAGTGGAGATTTGGACCGCTTTGAGGCCTGTGGTAGTGAAGGAAAGAACTTCATATAAAAACCAGACGGTAGCACTCTCAGAAAATTCTTTGTGACGATGGAGTTTAACTCAGGGAGCTGAACATTCGTTATGATGGAGCAGTTTCCAAACACACGTTTTGTAGAATCTGCAAGGGGATATTTGGACCTCTCCTGAGGATTTCGTTGGAAACGGGATCAACTTCCCATAACTGAACGGAAGCAAACTCAGAACATTCTTTGTGATGTTTGTATTCAACTCACAGAGTTGAACCTTCCTTTGATAGTTCAGGTTTGCAACACCCTTGTAGTAGAATCTGCAAGTGTATATTTTGACCACTTTGTAGCCTTCGTTTGAAACGTCTATATCTTCACATCAAACCTAGACAGAAGCATTCTCAGAAAGTTTTCTGCGATGACTGCATTCAACTCACAGAGTTGAACAATCCTTCTGATGGAGCAGTTTTGAAACCCTCTTTCTTTGGAATCTGCAAGGGGATATGTGGACCTCTTTGAAGATTTCACTGGAAACGGGATCATCTTCACATAAAAACTAAACAGAAGCATTCTCGGAAACTACTTTGTGATGTTTGTATTCAACTCCCAGAGTTGAACTTTCCTTTTGAAAGAGCAGCTATGAAACACTCTTTTTCGAGAATCTGCAAGTGGACGTTTGGAAGGCTTTGAGGCCTGTGGTGGAAAAGGAAATATCTTCACATAAAAACTAGATAGAAGCATTCTCAGAAACTACTTTGTGAGGATGGCATTCAACTCATGGAGTTGAACAATCCTATTGATAGAGCAGATTGGAATCACTCTTTTTGTAGAATCTGCAAACGGAGATTTGGACTGCTTTGAGGCCTACGGTAGTATAGGAAGGAACTTCATATAAAAGGCAAACGGAAGCATTCTCAGAATATTCTTTGTGATGATGGAGTTTCACTCACAAGAGCTGAACATGCCTTTTGATGGAGCAGTTTCCAAATACACTTTTGGTAGAATCTGCAGGTGGATATTTGGAGCTCTCTGAGGATTTCGTTGGAAACGGGAATAATTTCCCATAACTAAACACAAACACGCTGAGAAAGTTCTTCATGATGAATGCATTTAACTCGCAGAGATGAACCTGCCTTTGAGAGTTCAGGTTCAAAACACTCTTTCTGTAGAATCTGCAAGTGGATATTTGGACCACTGGCTGGCCTTCGTTCGAAACGGGTATATGTTCACGTAAAAACTAAAGAGAAGCGTTCTCAGAAACTTCTGAGTGATGAATGCATTCAAGTCACACAGTTGAACCCTCCTTTTGATTGAGCAGTTTTGAAACTGTCTTTTTGTAGAATCTGTAAGTGGATGCGTGGACCTCTTTGAAGATTTCTTTGGAAACGGGAATATTTCCACAGAAAAACTAAACTGAAGCATTCTCAGAAACTGCTTTGTGATGTTTGTGTTCGAGCCGCAGAGTTTAACATTGCTTTTCATAGAGCAGTTTTGAAATATTCTTTTGGCAGAATCTGCAAGTGGACATGTGGAGCGCTTTCAGGCCTGTGGTGGAAATGGCCTGAAAGCCTTTTCCTTTATCTTCACAGAAAGACGAGAGAGAAGCATTGTCAGAAACTTCTTTGTGATGATTGCATTCAACTCACAGAGTTGAAGATTCCTTTTGAAACAGCAGTTTCGAAACACTCTTTCTGTGGGATCCGCAAGGGGATATTTGGACCTCTTTGAAGGTTTCGTTGGAAACGGGATAATCTTCACCTAAAAGCTAAACGGAAGCATTCTCAGAAACTTCTTTGGGATGTTTGCATTCACCTGACAGAGTTGAACTTTCCCTTTGATAGCGCAGCTTTGACACACTTTTTCTACAATGTGCAAGGGGCTATTTAGCGGGCTTGGAGGACTGTGTTGGAAAAGGAAATATCTTCTCCTAAAAACGACATAGAAGCATTCTCAGAAACTGCTCTGTGATGATTGCATTCAACTCCCAGAGTTGAACATTCCTTTTGATAGAGCAGTTTGCAAACACTCTTTTTGTAGAATCTGCAAGTGGAGATTTGGACCGCTTTGAGGCCTGTGGTAGTGAAGGAAAGAACTTCATATAAAAACCAGACGGTAGCACTCTCAGAAAATTCTTTGTGACGATGGAGTTTAACTCAGGGAGCTGAACATTCGTTATGATGGAGCAGTTTCCAAACACACGTTTTGTAGAATCTGCAAGGGGATATTTGGACCTCTCTGAGGATTTCGTTGGAAACGGGATCAACTTCCCATAACTGAACGGAAGCAAACTCAGAACATTCTTTGTGATGTTTGTATTCAACTCACAGAGTTGAACCTTCCTTTGATAGTTCAGGTTTGCAACACCCTTGTAGTAGAATCTGCAAGTGTATATTTTGACCACTTTGTAGCCTTCATTTGAAACGTCTATATCTTCACATCAAACCTAGACAGAAGCATTCTCAGAAAGTTTTCTGCGATGACTGCATTCAACTCACAGAGTTGAACAATCCTATTGATGGAGCAGTTTTGAAACCCTCTTTCTTTGGAATCTGCAAGGGGATATGTGGACCTCTTTGAAGATTTCACTGGAAACGGGATCATCTTCACATAAAAACTAAACAGAAGCATTCTCGGAAACTACTTTGTGATGTTTGTATTCAACTCCCAGAGTTGAACTTTCCTTTTGAAAGAGCAGCTATGAAACACTCTTTTTCGAGAATCTGCAAGTGGACGTTTGGAGGGCTTTGAGGCCTGTGGTGGAAAAGGAAATATCTTCACATAAAAACTAGATAGAAGCATTCTCAGAAACTACTTTGTGAGGATGGCATTCAACTCATGGAGTTGAACAATCCTATTGATAGAGCAGATTGGAATCACTCTTTTTGTAGAATCTGCAAATGGAGATTTGCACTGCTTTGAGGCCTACGGTCGTATAGGAAGGAACTTCATATAAAAGGCAAACGGAAGCATTCTCAGAATATTCTTTGTGATGATGGAGTTTCACTCACAGAGCTGAACATGCCTGTTGATGGAGCAGTTTCCAAATACACTTTTGGTAGAATCTGCAGGTGGACATTTGGACCTCTCTGAGGATTTCGTTGGGAACGGGAATAATTTCCCATAACTAAACACAAACACGCTGAGAAAGTTCTTCATGATGAATGCATTTAACTCGCAGAGATGAACCTGCCTTTGAGAGTTCAGGTTCGAAACACTCTTTCTGTAGAATCTGCAAGTGGACATTTGGACCACTGGGTGGCCTTCGTTCGAAACGGGTATATGTTCACGTAAAAACTAAAGAGAAGCATTCTCAGAAACTTCTGAGTGATGATTGCATTCAAGTCACACAGTTGAACCCTCCTTTTGATGGAGCAGTTTTGAAACTGTCTTTTTGTAGAATCTGTAAGTGGATACGTGGACCTCTTTGAAGATTTCTTTGGAAACGGGAATATTTCCACAGAAAAACTAAACTGAAGCATTCTCAGAAACTGCTTTGTGATGTTTGTGTTCGAGCCACAGAGTTTAACATTGCTTTTCATAGAGCAGTTTTGAAATATTCTTTTCGCAGAATCTGCAAGTGGACATTTGGAGCGCTTTCAGGCCTGTGGTTGGAAAAGGCCTGAAAGCCTTTTCCTTTATCTTCACAGAAAGACGAGAGAGAAGCATTGTCAGAAACTTCTTTGTGATGATTGCATTCAACTCACAGAGTTGAAGATTCCTTTTGAAACAGCAGTTTCGAAACACTCTTTCTGTGGGATCCGCAAGGGGATATTTGGACCTCTTTGAAGGTTTCGTTGGAAACGGGATAATCCTCACCTAAAAGCTAAACGGGAAGCATTCTCAGAAACTTCTTTGGGATGTTTGCATTCACCTCACAGAGTTGAACTTTCCCTTTGATAGCGCAGCTTTGACACACTTTTTCTACAATGTGCAAGTGGCTATTTAGCGGGCTTGGAGGACTGTGTTGGAAAAGGAAATATCTTCTCCTAAAAACGACATAGAAGCATTCTCAGAAACTGCTCTGTGATGATTGCATTCAACTCCCAGAGTTGAACATTCCTTTTGATAGAGCAGTTTGCAAACTCTCTTTTTGTAGAATCTGCAAGTGGAGATTTGGACTGCTTTGAGGCCTGTGGTAGTGAAGGAAAGAACTTCATATAAAAACCAGACGGTAGCACTCTCAGAAAATTCTTTGTGACGATGGAGTTTAACTCAGGGAGCTGAACATTCGTTATGATGGAGCAGTTTCCAAACACACGTTTTGTAGAATCTGCAAGGGGATATTTGGACCTCTCTGAGGATTTCGTTGGAAACGGGATCAACTTCCCATAACTGAACGGAAGCAAACTCAGAACATTCTTTGTGATGTTTGTATTCAACTCACAGAGTTGAACCTTCCTTTGATAGTTCAGGTTTGCAACACCCTTGTAGTAGAATCTGCAAGTGTATATTTTGACCACTTTGTAGCCTTCGTTTGAAACGTCTATATCTTCACATCAAACCTAGAAAGAAGCATTCTCAGAAAGTTTTCTGCGATGACTGCATTCAACTCACAGAGTTGAACAATCCTTCTGATGGAGCAGTTTTGAAACCCTCTTTCTTTGGAATCTGCAAGGGGATATGTGGACCTCTTTGAAGATTTCACTGGAAACGGGATCATCTTCACATAAAAACTAAACAGAAGCATTCTCGGAAACTACTTTGTGATGTTTGTATTCAACTGCCAGAGTTGAACTTTCCTTTTGAAAGAGCAGCTATGAAACACTCTTTTTCGAGAATCTGCAAGTGGACGTTTGGAGGGCTTTGAGGCCTGTGGTGGAAAAGGAAATATCTTCACATAAAAACTAGATAGAAGCATTCTCAGAAACTACTTTGTGAGGATGGCATTCAACTCATGGAGTTGAACAATCCTATTGATAGAGCAGATTGGAATCACTCTTTTTGTAGAATCTGCAAATGGAGATTTGGACTGCTTTGAGGCCTACGGTCGTATAGGAAGGAACTTCATATAAAAGGCAAACGGAAGCATTCTCAGAATATTCTTTGTGATGATGGAGTTTCACTCACAGAGCTGAACATGCCTTTTGATGGAGCAGTTTCCAAATACACTTTTGGTAGAATCTGCAGGTGGATATTTGGAGCTCTTTGAGGATTTCGTTGGAAACGGGAATAATTTCCCATAACTAAACACAAACACGCTGAGAAAGTTCTTCATGATGAATGCATTTAACTCGCAGAGATGAACCTGCCTTTGAGAGTTCAGGTTCGAAACACTCTTTATGTAGAATCTGCAAGTGGATATTTGGACCACTGGGTGGCCTTCGTTCGAAACGGGTATATGTTCACGTAAAAACTAAAGAGAAGCATTCTCAGAAACTTCTGAGTGATGATTGCATTGAAGTCACACAGTTGAACCCTCCTTTTGATGGAGCAGTTTTGAAACTGTCTTTTTGTAGAATCTGTAAGTGGATACGTGGACCTCTTTGAAGATTTCTTTGGAAACGGGAATATTTCCACAGAAAAACTAAACTGAAGCATTCTCAGAAACCGCTTTGTGATGTTTGTGTTCCAGCCACAGAGTTTAACATTGCTTTTCATAGAGCAGTTTTGAAATATTCTTTTCGCAGAATCTGCAAGTGGACATTTGGAGCGCTTTCAGGCCTGTGGTGGAAAAGGCCTGAAAGCCTTTTCCTTTATCTTCACAGAAAGACGAGAGAGAAGCATTGTCAGAAACTTCTTTGTGATGATTGCATTCAACTCACAGAGTTGAAGATTCCTTTTGAAACAGCAGTTTCGAAACACTCTTTCTGTGGGATCCGCAAGGGGATATTTGGACCTCTTTGAAGGTTTCGTTGGAAACGGGATAATCTTCACCTAAAAGCTAAACGGAAGCATTCTCAGAAACTTCTTTGGGATGTTTGCATTCACCTCACAGAGTTGAACTTTCCCTTTGATAGCGCAGCTTTGACACACTTTTTCTACAATGTGCAAGGGGCTATTTAGCGGGCTTGGAGGACTGTGTTGGAAAAGGAAATATCTTCTCCTAAAAACGACATAGAAGCATTCTCAGAAACTGCTCTGTGATGATTGCATTCAACTCCCAGAGTTGAACATTCCTTTTGATAGAGCAGTTTGCAAACACTCTTTTTGTAGAATCTGCAAGTGGAGATTTGGACCGCTTTGAGGCCTGTGGTAGTGAAGGAAAGAACTTCATATAAAAACCAGACGGTAGCACTCTCAGAAAATTCTTTGTGACGATGGAGTTTAACTCAGGGAGCTGAACATTCGTTATGATGGAGCAGTTTCCAAACACACGTTTTGTAGAATCTGCGAGGGGATATTTGGACCTCTCTGAGGATTTCGTTGGAAACGGGATCAACTTCCCATAACTGAACGGAAGCAAACTCAGAACATTCTTTGTGATGTTTGTATTCAACTCACAGAGTTGAACCTTCCTTTGATAGTTCAGGTTTGCAACACCCTTGTAGTAGAATCTGCAAGTGTATATTTTGACCACTTTGTAGCCTTCGTTTGAAACGTCTATATCTTCACATCAAACCTAGACAGAAGCATTCTCAGAAAGTTTTCTGCGATGACTGCATTCTACTCACAGAGTTGAGCAATCCTTTTGATGGAGCAGTTTTGAAACCCACTTTCTTTGGAATCTGCAAGGGCATATGTGGACCTCTTTGAAGATTTCACTGGAAACGGGATCATCTTCACATAAGAACTAAACAGAAGCATTCTCGGAAACTACTTTGTGATGTTTGTATTCAACTCCCAGAGTTGAACTTTCCTTTTGAAAGAGCAGCTATGAAACACTCTTTTTCGAGAATCTGCAAGTGGATGTTTGGAGGGCTTTGAGGCCTGTGGTGGAAAAGGAAATATCTTCACATAAAAACTAGATAGAAGCATTCTCAGAAACGACTTTGTGAGGAAGGCATTCAACTCATGGAGTTGAACAATCCTATTGATAGAGCAGATTGGAATCACTCTTTTTGTAGAATCTGCAAATGGAGATTTGGACTGCTTTGAGGCCTACGGTAGTATAGGAAGGAACTTCATGTAAAAGGCAAACGGAAGCATTCTCAGAATATTCTTTGTGATGATGGAGTTTCACTCACAGAGCTGAACATGCCTTTTGATGGAGCAGTTTCCAAATACACTTTTGGTAGAATCTGCAGGTGGATATTTGGACCTCTCGGAGGATTTCGTTGGAAACGGGAATAATTTCCCATAACTAAACACAAACACTCTGAGAAAGTTCTTCATGATGAATGCATTTAACTCGCAGAGATGAACCTGCCTTTGAGAGTTCAGGTTCCAAACACTCTTTCTGTAGAATCTGCAAGTGGATATTTGGACCACTGGGTGGCCTTCGTTCGAAACGGGTATATGTTCACGTAAAAACTAAAGAGAAGCATTCTCAGAAACTTCTGAGTGATGATTGCATTCAAGTCACACAGTTGAACCCGCCTTTTGATTGAGCAGCTTTGAAACTGTCTTTTTGTAGAATCTGGAAGTGGATACGTGGACCTCTTTGAAGATTTCTTTGGAAATGGGAATATTTCCACAGAAAAACTAAACTGAAGCATTCTCAGAAACTGCGTTGTGATGTTGGTGTTCGAGCCGCAGAGTTTAACATTGCTTTTCATAGAGCAGTTTTGAAATATTCTTTTGGCAGAATCTGCAAGTGGACATTTGGAGCGCTTTCAGGCCTGTGGTGGAAAAGGCCTGAAAGCCTTTTCCTTTATCTTCACAGAAAGACGAGAGAGAAGCATTGTCAGAAACTTCTTTGTGATGATTGCATTCAACTCACAGAGTTGAAGATTCCTTTTGAAACAGCAGTTTCGAAACACTCTTTCTGTGGGATCCGCAAGGGGATATTTGGACCTCTTTGAAGATTTCGTTGGAAACGGGATAATCTTCACCTAAAAGCTAAACGGAAGCATTCTCAGAAACTTCTTTGGGATGTTTGCATTCACCTCACAGAGTTGAACTTTCCCTTTGATAGCGCAGCTTCGACACACTTTTTCTGCAATGTGCAAGTGGATATTTAGTGGGCTTGGAGGACTGTGGTGGAAAAGGAAATATCTTCTCCTAAAAACGACATAGAAGCATTCTCAGGAACTGCTCTGTGATGATTGCATTCAACTCCCAGAGTTGAACATTCCTTTTGATAGAGCAGTTTGCAAACACTCTTTTTGTAGAATCTGCAAGTGGAGATTTGGACCGCTTTGAGGCCTGTGGTAGTAAAGGAAAGAACTTCATATAAAAACTAGACGGTAGCACTCTCAGAAAATTCTTTGTGACGATGGAGTTTAACTCAGAGAGCTGAACATTCGTTATGATGGAGCAGTTTCCAAACACACGTTTTGTAGAATCTGCAAGGGGATATTTGGACCTCTCTGAGGATTTCGTTGGAAACGGTATCAATTTCCCATAACTAAACGGAAGCAAACTCAGAACATTTTTTGTGATGGTTGCATTCATCTCACAGAGTTGAACCTTCCTTTGATAGTTGAGGTTTGCATCACCCTTGTAGTAGAATCTGCAAGTGTATATTTTGACCACTTTGTAGCCTTCGTTTGAAACGTCTATATCTTCACATCAAACCTAGACAGAAGCATTCTCAGAAAGTTTTCTGCGATGACTGCATTCAACTCACAGAGTTGAACAATCCTTTTGATGGAGCAGTTTTGAAACCCTCTTTCTTTGGAATCTGCAAGGGGATATGTGGGACCTCTTTGAAGATTTCACTGGAAACGGGATCATCTTCACATAAAAACTAAACAGAAGCATTCTCGGAAACTACTTTGTGATGTTTGTATTCAACTCCCAGAGTTGAACTTTCCTTTTGAAAGAGCAGCTATGAAACACTCTTTTTCGAGAATCTGCAAGTGGACGTTTGGAGGGCTTTGAGGCCTGTGGTGGAAAAGGAAATATCTTCACATAAAAACTAGATAGAAGCATTCTCAGAAACGACTTTGTGAGGATGGCATTCAACTCATGGAGTTGAACAATCCTATTGATAGAGCAGATTGGAATCACTCTTTTTGTAGAATCTGCAAATGGAGATTTGGACTGCTTTGAGGCCTACGGTCGTATAGGAAGGAACTTCATATAAAAGGCAAACGGAAGCATTCTCAGAATATTCTTTGTGATGATGGAGTTTCACTCACAGAGCTGAACATGCCTTTTGATGGAGCAGTTTCCAAATACACTTTTGGTAGAATCTGCAGGTGGATATTTGGAGCTCTCTGAGGATTTCGTTGGAAACGGGAATAATTTCCCATAACTAAACACAAACACTCTGAGAAAGTTCTTCATGATGAATGCATTTAACTCGCAGAGATGAACCTGCCTTTGAGAGTTCAGGTTCGAAACACTCTTTCTGTAGAATCTGCAAGTGGATATTTGGACCACTGGCTGGCCTTCGTTCGAAACGGGTATATGTTCACGTAAAAACTAAAGAGAAGCATTCTCAGAAACTTCTGAGTGATGATTGCATTCAAGTCACACAGTTGAACCCTCCTTTTGATGGAGCAGTTTTGAAACTGTCTTTTTGTAGAATCTGTAAGTGGATACGTGGACCTCTTTGAAGATTTCTTTGGAAACGGGAATATTTCCACAGAAAAACTAAACTGAAGCATTCTCAGAAACCGCTTTGTGATGTTTGTGTTCGAGCCACAGAGTTTAACATTGCTTTTCATAGAGCAGTTTTGAAATATTCTTTTGGCAGAATCTGCAAGTGGACATTTGGAGCGCTTTCAGGCCTGTGGTGGAAAAGGCCTGAAAGCCTTTTCCTTTACCTTCACAGAAAGACGAGAGAGAAGCATTGTCAGAAACTTCTTTGTGATGATTGCATTCAACTCACAGAGTTGAAGATTCCTTTTGAAACAGCAGTTTCGAAACACTCTTTCTGTGGGATCCGCAAGGGGATATTTGGACCTCTTTGAAGGTTTCGTTGGAAACGGGATAATCTTCACCTAAAAGCTAAACGGAAGCATTCTCAGAAACTTCTTTGGGATGTTTGCATTCACCTCACAGAGTTGAACTTTCCCTTTGATAGCGCAGCTTTGACACACTTTTTCTACAATGTGCAAGTGGCTATTTAGCGGGCTTGGAGGACTGTGTTGGAAAAGGAAATATACTTCTCCTAAAAACGACATAGAAGCATTCTCAGCAAACTGCTCTGTGATGATTGCATTCAACTCCCAGGAGTTGAACATTCCTTTTGATAGAGCAGTTTGCAAACACTCTTTTTGTAGAATCTGCAAGTGGAGATTTGGACCGCTTTGAGGCCTGTGGTAGTAAAGGAAAGAACTTCATATAAAAACTAGACGGTAGCACTCTCAGAAAATTCTTTGTGACGATGGAGTTTAACTCAGGGAGCTGAACATTCGTTATGATGGAGCAGTTTCCAAACACACGTTTTGTAGAATCTGCAAGGGGATATTTGGACCTCTCTGAGGATTTCGTTGGAAACGGGATCAACTTCCCATAACTGAACGGAAGCAAACTCAGAACATTCTTTGTGATGTTTGTATTCAACTCACAGAGTTGAACCTTCCTTTGATAGTTCAGGTTTGCAACACCCTTGTAGTAGAATCTGCAAGTGTATATTTTGACCACTTTGTAGCCTTCGTTTGAAACGTCTATATCTTCACATCAAACCTAGAAAGAAGCATTCTCAGAAAGTTTTCTGCGATGACTGCATTCAACTCACAGAGTTGAACAATCCTTCTGATGGAGCAGTTTTGAAACCCTCTTTCTTTGGAATCTGCAAGGGGATATGTGGACCTCTTTGAAGATTTCACTGGAAACGGGATCATCTTCACATAAAAACTAAACAGAAGCATTCTCGGAAACTACTTTGTGATGTTTGTATTCAACTCCCAGAGTTGAACTTTCCTTTTGAAAGAGCAGCTATGAAACACTCTTTTTCGAGGATCTGCAAGTGGACGTTTGGAGGGCTTTGAGGCCTGTGGTGGAAAAGGAAATATCTTCACATAAAAACTAGATAGAAGCATTCTCAGAAACGACTTTGTGAGGATGGCATTCAACTCATGGAGTTGAACAATCCTATTGATAGAGCAGATTGGAATCACTCTTTTTGTAGAATCTGCAAATGGAGATTTGGACTGCTTTGAGGCCTACGGTAGTACAGGAAGGAACTTCATATAAAAGGCAAACGGAAGCATTCTCAGAATATTCTTTGTGATGATGGAGCTTCACTGACAGAGCTGAACATGCCTTTTGATGGAGCAGTTTCCAAATACACTTTTGGTAGAATCTGCAGGTGGATATTTGGAGCTCTCTGAGGATTTCGTTGGAAACGGGAATAATTTCCCATAACTAAACACAAACACTCTGAGAAAGTTCTTCATGATGAATGCATTTAACTCGCAGAGATGAACCTGCCTTTGAGAGTTCAGGTTCGAAACACTCTTTCTGTATAATCTGCAAGTGGATATTTGGACCACTGGGTGGCCTTCGTTCGAAACGGGTATATGTTCACGTAAAAACTAAAGAGAAGCATTCTCAGAAACTTCTGAGTGATGATTGCATTCAAGTCACACAGTTGAACCCTCCTTTTGATGGAGCAGTTTTGAAACTGTCTTTTTGTAGAATCTGTAAGTGGATACGTGGACCTCTTTGAAGATTTCTTTGGAAACGGGAATATTTCCACAGAAAAACTAAACTGAAGCATTCTCAGAAACCGCTTTGTGATGTTTGTGTTCGAGCCACAGAGTTTAACATTGCTTTTCATAGAGCAGTTTTGAAATATTCTTTTCGCAGAATCTGCAAGTGGACATTTGGAGCGCTTTCAGGCCTGTGGTGGCAAAGGCCTGAAAGCCTTTTCCTTTATCTTCACAGAAAGACGAGAGAGAAGCATTGTCAGAAACTTCTTTGTGATGATTGCATTCAACTCACAGAGTTGAAGATTCCTTTTGAAACAGCAGTTTCGAAACACTCTTTCTGTGGGATCCGCAAGGGGATATTTGGACCTACTTTGAAGGTTTCGTTGGAAACGGGATAATCTTCACCTAAAAGCTAAACGGAAGCATTCTCAGAAACTTCTTTGGGATGTTTGCATTCACCTCACAGAGTTGAACTTTCCCTTTGATAGCGCAGCTTTGACACACGTTTTCTACAATGTGCAAGTGGCTATTTAGCGGGCTTGGAGGACTGTGTTGGAAAAGGAAATATCTTCTCCTAAAAACGACATAGAAGCATTCTCAGAAACTGCTCTGTGATGATTGCATTCAACTCCCAGAGTTGAACATTCCTTTTGATAGAGCAGTTTGCAAACACTCTTTTTGTAGAATCTGCAAGTGGAGATTTGGACCGCTTTGAGGCCTGTGGTAGTGAAGGAAAGAACTTCATATAAAAACCAGACGGTAGCACTCTCAGAAAATTCTTTGTGACGATGGAGTTTAACTCAGGGAGCTGAACATTCGTTATGATGGAGCAGTTTCCAAACACACGTTTTGTAGAATCTGCGAGGGGATATTTGGACCTCTCTGAGGATTTCGTTGGAAACGGGATCAACTTCCCATAACTGAACGGAAGCAAACTCAGAACATTCTTTGTGATGTTTGTATTCAACTCACAGAGTTGAACCTTCCTTTGATAGTTCAGGTTTGCAACACCCTTGTAGTAGAATCTGCAAGTGTATATTTTGACCACTTTGTAGCCTTCGTTTGAAACGTCTATATCTTCACATCAAACCTAGACAGAAGCATTCTCAGAAAGTTTTCTGCGATGACTGCATTCAACTCACAGAGTTGAACAATCCTTCTGATGGAGCAGTTTTGAAACCCTCTTTCTTTGGAATCTGCAAGGGGATATGTGGACCTCTTTGAAGATTTCACTGGAAACGGGATCATCTTCACATAAAAACTAAACAGAAGCATTCTCAGAAACTACTTTGTGATGTTTGTATTCAACTCCCAGAGTTGAACTTTCCTTTTGAAAGAGCAGCTATGAAACACTCTTTTTCGAGAATCTGAAAGTGGACGTTTGGAGGGCTTTGAGGCCTGTGGTGGAAAAGGAAATATCTTCACATAAAAACTAGATAGAAGCATTCTCAGAAACGACTTTGTGAGGATGGCATTCAACTCATGGAGTTGAACAATCCTATTGATAGAGCAGATTGGAATCACTCTTTTTGTAGAATCTGCAAATGGAGATTTGGACTGCTTTGAGGCCTACGGTAGTATAGGAAGGAACTTCATATAAAAGGCAAACGGAAGCATTCTCAGAATATTCTTTGTGATGATGGAGTTTCACTCACAGAGCTGAACATGCCTTTTGATGGAGCAGTTTCCAAATACACTTTTGGTAGAATCTGCAGGTGGATATTTGGAGCTCTCTGAGGATTTCATTGGAAAAGGGAATAATTTCCCATAACTAAACACAAACACGCTGAGAAAGTTCTTCATGATGAATGCATTTAACTCGCAGAGATGAACCTGCCTTTGAGAGTTCAGGTTCGAAACACTCTTTCTGTAGAATCTGCAAGTGGATATTTGGACCACTGGGTGGCCTTCGTTCGAAACGGGTATATGTTCACGTAAAAACTAAAGAGAAGCGTTCTCAGAAACTTCTGAGTGATGATTGCATTCAAGTCACACAGTTGAACCCTCCTTTTGATTGAGCAGTTTTGAAACTGTCTTTTTGTAGAATCTGTAAGTGGATGCGTGGACCTCTTTGAAGATTTCTTTGGAAACGGGAATATTTCCACAGAAAAACTAAACTGAAGCATTCTCAGAAACTGCTTTCTGATGTTTGTGTTCGAGCCACAGAGTTTAACATTGCTTTTCATAGAGCAGTTTTGAAATATTCTTTTGGCAGAATCTGCAAGTGGACATTTGGAGCGCTTTCAGGCCTGTGGTGGAAAAGGCCTGAAAGCCTTTTCCTTTATCTTCGCAGAAAGACGAGAGAGAAGCATTGTCAGAAACTTCTTTGTGATGATTGCTTTCAACTCACAGAGTTGAAGATTCCTTTTGAAACAGCAGTTTCGAAACACTCTTTCTGTGGGATCCGCAAGGGGATATTTGGACCTCTTTGAAGGTTTCGTTGGAAACGGGATAATCTTCAGGTAAAAGCTAAACGGAAGCATTCACAGAAACTTCTTTGGGATGTTTGCATTCACCTCACAGAGTTGAACTTTCCCTTTGATAGCGCAGCTTCGACACACTTTTTCTACAATGTGCAAGTGGATATTTAGCGGGCTTGGAGCACTGTGTTGGAAAAGGAAATATCTTCTCCTAAAAACGACATAGAAGCATTCTCAGAAACTGCTCTGTGATGATTGCATGCAACTCCCAGAGTTGAACATTCCTTTTGATAGAGCAGTTTGCAAACACTCTTTTTGTAGAATCTGCAAGTGGAGATTTGGACCGCTTTGAGGCCTGTGGTAGTAAAGGAAAGAACTTCATATAAAAACTAGACGGTAGCACTCTCAGAAAATTCTTTGTGACGATGGAGTTTAACTCAGAGAGCTGAACATTCGTTATGATGGAGCAGTTTCCAAACACACGTTTTGTAGAATCTGCAAGGGGATATTTGGACCTCTCTGAGGATTTCGTTGGAAACGGGATCAACTTCCCATAACTGAACGGAAGCAAACTCAGAACATTTTTTGTGATGGTTGCATTCATCTCACAGAGTTGAACCTTCCTTTGATAGTTGAGGTTTGCATCACCCTTGTAGTAGAATCTGCAAGTGTATATTTTGACCACTTTGTAGCCTTCGTTTGAAACGTCTATATCTTCACATCAAACCTAGACAGAAGCATTCTCAGAAAGTTTTCTGCGATGACTGCATTCAACTCACAGAGTTGAACAATCCTTTTGATGGAGCAGTTTTGAAACCCTCTTTCTTTGGAATCTGCAAGGGGATATGTGGACCTCTTTGAAGATTTCACTGGAAACGGGATCATCTTCACATAAGAACTAAACAGAAGCATTCTCGGAAACTACTTTGTGAAGTTTGTATTCAACTCCCAGAGTTGAACTTTCCTTGTGAAAGAGCAGCTATGAAACACTCTTTTTCAAGAATCTGCAATAGGACGTTTGGAGGGCTTTGAGGCCTGTGGTGGAAAAGGAAATATCTTCACATAAAAACTAGATAGAAGCATTCTCAGAAACGACTTTGTGAGGATGGCATTCAACTCATGGAGTTGAACAATCCTATTGATAGAGCAGATTGGAATCACTCTTTTTGTAGAATCTGCAAATGGAGATTTGGACTGCTTTGAGGCCTACGGTAGTATAGGAAGGAACTTCATATAAAAGGCAAACGGAAGCATTCTCAGAATATTCTTTGTGATGATGGAGTTTCACTCACAGAGCTGAACATGCCTTTTGATGGAGCAGTTTCCAAATACACTTTTGGTAGAATCTGCAGGTGGATATTTGGAGCTGCTCTGAGGATTTCGTTGGAAACGGGAATAATTTCCCATAACTAAACACAAACACTCTGAGAAAGTTCTTCATGATGAATGCATTTAACTCGCAGAGATGAACCTGCCTTTGAGAGTTCAGGTTCGAAACACTCTTTCTGTAGAATCTGCAAGTGGATATTTGGACCACTGGGTGGCCTTCGTTCGAAACGGGTATATGTTCACGTAAAAACTAAAGAGAAGCATTCTCAGAAACTTCTGAGTGATGATTGCATTCAAGTCACACAGTTGGAACCCTCCTTTTGATGGAGCAGTTTTGAAACTGTCTTTTTGTAGAATCTGTAAGTGGATACGTGGACCTCTTTGAAGATTTCTTTGGAAACGGGAATATTTCCACGGAAAAACTAAACTGAAGCATTCTCAGAAACCGCTTTGTGATGTTTGTGTTCGAGCCGCAGAGTTTAACATTGCTTTTCATAGAGCAGTTTTGAAATATTCTTTTCGCAGAATCTGCAAGTGGACATTTGGAGCGCTTTCAGGCCTGTGGTGGAAAAGGCCTGAAAGCCTTTTCCTTTATCTTCACAGAAAGACGAGAGAGAAGCATTGTCAGAAACTTCTTTGTGATGATTGCATTCAACTCACAGAGTTGAAGATTCCTTTTGAAACAGCAGTTTCGAAACACTCTTTCTGTGGGATCCGCAAGGGGATATTTGGACCTCTTTGAAGGTTTCGTTGGAAACGGGATAATCTTCACCTAAAAGGTAAACGGAAGCATTCTCAGAAACTTCTTTGGGATGTTTGCATTCACCTCACAGAGTTGAACTTTCCCTTTGATAGCGCAGCTTTGACACACTTTTTCTACAATGTGCAAGTGGCTATTTAGCGGGCTTGGAGGACTGTGTTGGAAAAGGAAATATCTTCTCCTAAAAACGACATAGAAGCATTCTCAGAAACTGCTCTGTGATGATTGCATTCAACTCCCAGAGTTGAACATTCCTTTTGATAGAGCAGTTTGCAAACACTCTTTTTGTAGAATCTGCAAGTGGAGATTTGGACCGCTTTGAGGCCTGTGGTAGTGAAGGAAAGAACTTCATATAAAAACCAGACGGTAGCACTCTCAGAAAATTCTTTGTGACGATGGAGTTTAACTCAGGGAGCTGAACATTCGTTATGATGGAGCAGTTTCCAAACACACGTTTTGTAGAATCTGCGAGGGGATATTTGGACCTCTCTGAGGATTTCGTTGGAAACGGGATCAACTTCCCATAACTGAACGGAAGCATTCTCAGAAAGTTTTCTGCGATGACTGCATTCAACTCACAGAGTTGAACAATCCTTCTGATGGAGCAGTTTTTAAACCCTCTTTCTTTGGAATCTGCAAGGGGATATGTGGACCTCTTTGAAGATTTCACTGGAAACGGGATCATCTTCACATAAAAACTAAACAGAAGCATTCTCGGAAACTACTTTGTGATGTTTGTATTCAACTCCCAGAGTTGAACTTTCCTTTTGAAAGAGCAGCTATGAAACACTCTTTTTCGAGAATCTGCAAGTGGACGTTTGGAGGGCTTGGAGGCCTGTGCTGGAAAAGGAAATACCTTCACATAAAAACTAGATAGAAGCATTCTCAGAAACTACTTTGTGAGGATGGCATTCAACTCATGGAGTTGAACAATCCTATTGATAGAGCAGATTGGAATCACTCTTTTTGTAGAATCTGCAAATGGAGATTTGGACTGCTTTGAGGCCTACGGTCGTATAGGAAGGAACTTCAGATAAAAGGCAAACGGAAGCATTCTCAGAATATTCTTTGTGATGATGGAGTTTCACTCACAGAGCTGAACATGCCTTTTGATGGAGCAGTTTCCAAATACACTTTTGGTAGAATCTGCAGGTGGATATTTGGACCACTCTGAGGATTTCGTTGGAAACGGGAATAATTTCCCATAACTAAACACAAACACTCTGAGAAAGTTCTTCATGATGAATGCATTTAACTCGCAGAGATGAACCTGCCTTTGAGAGTTCAGGTTCGAAACACTCTTTCTGTAGAATCTGCAAGTGGATATTTGGACCACTGGGTGGCCTTCGTTCGAAACGGGTATATGTTCACGTAAAAACTAAAGAGAAGCATTCTCAGAAACTTCTGAGTGATGATTGCATTCAAGTCACACAGTTGAACCCTCCTTTTGATGGAGCAGTTTTGAAACTGTCTTTTTGTAGAATCTGTAAGTGGATGCGTGGACCTCTTTGAAGATTTCTTTGGAAACGGGAATATTTCCACAGAAAAACTAAACTGAAGCATTCTCAGAAACTGCTTTGTGATGTTTGTGTTCGAGCCACAGAGTTTAACATTGCTTTTCATAGAGCAGTTATGAAATATTCTTTTCGCAGAATCTGCAAGTGGACATTTGGAGCGCTTTCAGGCCTGTGGTGGCAAAGGCCTGAAAGCCTTTTCCTTTATCTTCACAGAAAGACGAGAGAGAAGCATTGTCAGAAACTTCTTTGTGATGATTGCATTCAACTCACAGAGTTGAAGATTCCTTTTGAAACAGCAGTTTCGAAACACTCTTTCTGTGGGATCCGCAAGGGGATATTTGGACCTCTTTGAAGGTTTCGTTGGAAACGGGATAATCTTCACCTAAAAGCTAAACGGAAGCATTCTCAGAAACTTCTTTAGGATGTTTGCATTCACCTCACAGAGTTGAACTTTCCCTTTGATAGCGCAGCTTTGACACACTTTTTCTACAATGTGCAAGTGGCTATTTAGCGGGCTTGGAGGACTGTGTTGGAAAAGGAAATATCTTCTCCTAAAAACGACATAGAAGCATTCTGAGAAACTGCTCTGTGATGATTGCATTCAACTCCCAGAGTTGAACATTCCTTTTGATAGAGCAGTTTGCAAACACTCTTTTTGTAGAATCTGCAAGTGGAGATTTGGACCGCTTTGAGGACTGGGGTAGTAAAGGAAAGAGCTTCATATAAAAACCAGACGGTTAGCACTCTCAGAAAATTCTTTGTGACGATGGAGTTTAACTCAGGGAGCTGAACATTCGTTATGATGGAGCAGTTTCCAAACACACGTTTTGTAGAATCTGCAAGGGGATATTTGGACCTCTCTGAGGATTTCGTTGGAAACGGGATCAACTTCCCATAACTGAACGGAAGCAAACTCAGAACATTCTTTGTGATGTTTGTATTCAACTCACAGAGTTGAACCTTCCTTTGATAGTTCAGGTTTGCAACACCCTTGTAGTACAATCTGCAAGTGTATATTTTGACCACTTTGTAGCCTTCATTTGAAACGTCTATATCTTCACATCAAACCTAGACAGAAGCATTCTCAGAAAGTTTTCTGCGATGACTGCATTCAACTCACAGAGTTGAACAATCCTTCTGATGGAGCAGTTTTGAAACCCTCTTTCTTTGGAATCTGCAAGGGGATATGTGGACCTCTTTGAAGATTTCACTGGAAACGGGATCATCTTCACATAAAAACTAAACAGAAGCATTCTCGGAAACTACTTTGTGATGTTTGTATTCAACTGCCAGAGTTGAACTTTCCTTTTGAAAGAGCAGCTATGAAACACTCTTTTTCGAGAATCTGCAAGTGGACGTTTGGAGGGCTTTGAGGCCTGTGGTGGAAAAGGAAATATCTTCACATAAAAACTAGATAGAAGCATTCTCAGAAACTACTTTGTGAGGATGGCATTCAACTCACGGAGTTGAACAATCCTATTGATAGAGCAGATTGGAAACACTCTTTTTGTAGAATCTGTAAATGGAGATTTGGACTGCTTTGAGGCCTACGGTAGTATAGGAAGGAACTTCATATAAAAAGCAAACGGAAGCATTCTCAGAATATTCTTTGTGATGATGGAGTTTAACTCACAGAGCTGAACATGCCTTTTGATGGAGCAGTTTCCAAATACACTTTTAGTAGAATCTGCAAGTGGATATTTGGACCTCTCTGAGGATTTCGTTGGAAATGGGAAAGACTTCCCATGACTAAACACAAACATTCTGAGAAAGTTCTTCATGATGAATGCATTTAACTCACAGTGATGAACCTTCCTTTGAGAGTTCAGGTTTGAAACACTCTTTCTGTAGAATCTGCAAGTGGATATTTGGACAACTGTGTGGCCTTCGTTCGAAACGGGTATATGTTCACGTAAAAACTAAAGAGAAGCATTCTGAGAAACTTCTGTGTGATGATTGCATTCAAGTCACAGGGTTGAACCCTCCTTTTGATTGAGCAGTTTTGAATCTGTCTTTTTGTAGAATCTGTAAGTGGATATGTGGACCTCTTTGAAGATTTCTTTGGAAATGGGATTATCTCCACAGAAAAACTAAACTGAAGCATTCTCAGAAACTGCTTTGTGATGTTTGTGTTCGAGCCACAGAGTTTAACATTGCTTTTCATAGAGCAGTTTTGAAATATTCTTTTGGCAGAATCTGCAAGTGGACTTTTGGAGCGCTTTCAGGCCTGTGGTGGAAAAGGCCTGAAAGCCTTTTCCTTTATCTTCACAGAAAGACGAGAGAGAAGCATTGTCAGAAACTTCTTTGTGATGATTGCATTCAACTCACAGAGTTGAAGATTCCTTTTGAAACAGCAGTTTCGAAACACTCTTTCTGTGGGATCCGCAAGGGGATATTTGGACCTCTTTGAAGGTTTCGTTGGAAACGGGATAATCTTCACCTAAAAGCTAAACGGAAGCATTCTCAGAAACTTCTTTGGGATGTTTGCATTCACCTCACAGAGTTGAACTTTCCCTTTGATAGCGCAGCTTTGACACACTTTTTCTACAATGTGCAAGTGGCTATTTAGCGGGCTTGGAGGACTGTGTTGGAAAAGGAAATATACTTCTCCTAAAAACGACATAGAAGCATTCTCAGAAACTGCTCTGTGACGATTGCATTCAACTCCCAGAGTTGAACATTCCTTTTGATAGAGCAGTTTGCAAACACTCTTTTTGTAGAATCTGCAAGTGGAGATTTGGACCGCTTTGAGGCCTGTGGTAGTGAAGGAAAGAAATTCATATAAAAACCAGACGGTAGCACTCTCAGAAAATTCTTTGTGACGATGGAGTTTAACTCAGGGAGCTGAACATTCGTTATGATGGAGCAGTTTCCAAACACACGTTTTGTAGAATCTGCGAGGGGATATTTGGACCTCTCTGAGGATTTCGTTGGAAACGGGATCAACTTCCCATAACTGAACGGAAGCAAACTCAGAACATTCTTTGTGATGTTTGTATTCAACTCACAGAGTTGAACCTTCCTTTGATAGTTCAGGTTTGCAACACCCTTGTAGTAGAATCTGCAAGTGTATATTTTGACCACTTTGTAGCCTTCGTTTGAAACGTCTATATCTTCACATCAAACCTAGACAGAAGCATTCTCAGAAAGTTTTCTGCGATGACTGCATTCAACTCACAGAGTTGAACAATCCTTCTGATGGAGCAGTTTTGAAACCCTCTTTCTTTGGAATCTGCAAGGGGATATGTGGACCTCTTTGAAGATTTCACTGGAAACGGGATCATCTTCACATAAAAACTAAACAGAAGCATTCTCGGAAACTACTTTGTGATGTTTGTATTCAACTCCCAGAGTTGAACTTTCCTTTTGAAAGAGCAGCTATGAAACACTCTTTTTCGAGAATCTGCAAGTGGACGTTTGGAGGGCTTTGAGGCCTGTGGTGGAAAAGGAAATATCTTCACATAAAAACTAGATAGAAGCATTCTCAGAAACGACTTTGTGAGGATGGCATTCAACTCATGGAGTTGAACAATCCTATTGATAGAGCAGATTGGAATCACTCTTTTTGTAGAATCTGCAAATGGAGATTTGGACTGCTTTGAGGCCTACGGTCGTATAGGAAGGAACTTCATATAAAAGGCAAACGGAAGCATTCTCAGAATATTCTTTGTGATGATGGAGTTTCACTCACAGAGCTGAACATGCCTTTTGATGGAGCAGTTTCCAAATCCACTTTTGGTAGAATCTGCAGGTGGATATTTGGAGCTCTCTGAGGATTTCGTTGGAAACGGGAATAATTTCCCATAACTAAACACAAACACTCTGAGAAAGTTCTTCATGATGAATGCATTTAACTCGCAGAGATGAACCTGCCTTTGAGAGTTCATGTTCGAAACACTCTTTCTGTAGAATCTGCAAGTGGATATTTGGACCACTGGGTGGCCTTCGTTCGAAAGGGGTATATGTTCACGTAAAAACTAAAGAGAAGCATTCTCAGAAACTTCTGAGTGATGATTGCATTCAAGTCACACAGTTGAACCCTCCTTTTGATGGAGCAGTTTTGAAACTGTCTTTTTGTAGAATCTGTAAGTGGATACGTGGACCTCTTTGAAGATTTCTTTGGAAACGGGAATATTTCCACAGAAAAACTAAACTGAAGCATTCTCAGAAACCGCCTTGTGATGTTTGTGTTCGAGCCACAGAGTTTAACATTGCGTTTCATAGAGCAGTTTTGAAATATTCTTTTGGCAGAATCTGCAAGTGGACATTTGGAGCGCTTTCAGGCCTGTGGTGGAAAAGGCCTGAAAGCCTTTTCCTTTATCTTCACAGAAAGACGAGAGAGAAGCATTGTCAGAAACTTCTTTGTGATGATTGCATTCAACTCACAGAGTTGAAGATTCCTTTTGAAACAGCAGTTTCGAAACACTCTTTCTGTGGGATCCGCAAGGGGATATTTGGACCTCTTTGAAGGTTTCGTTGGAAACGGGATAATCTTCACCTAAAAGCTAAACGGAAGCATTCTCAGAAACTTCTTTGGGATGTTTGCATTCACCTCACAGAGTTGAACTTTCCCTTTGATAGCGCAGCTTTGACACACGTTTTCTACAATGTGCAAGTGGATATTTAGCGGGCTTGGAGGACTGTGTTGGAAAAGGAAATATCTTCTAAAAACGACATAGAAGCATTCTCAGAAACTGCTCTGTGATGATTGCATTCAACTCCCAGAGTTGAACATTCCTTTTGATAGAGCAGTTTGCAAACACTCTTTTTGTAGAATCTGCAAGTGGAGATTTGGACCGCTTTGAGGCCTGTGGTAGTGAAGGAAAGAGCTTCATATAAAAACCAGACGGTAGCACTCTCAGAAAATTCTTTGTGACGATGGAGTTTAACTCAGGGAGCTGAACATTCGTTATGATGGAGCAGTTTCCAAACACACGTTTTGTAGAATCTGCAAGGGGATATTTGGACCTCTCTGAGGATTTCGTTGGAAACGGGATCAACTTCCCATAACTGAACGGAAGCAAACTCAGAACATTCTTTGTGATGTTTGTATTCAACTCACAGAGTTGAACCTTCCTTTGATAGTTCAGGTTTGCAACACCCTTGTAGTAGAATCTGCAAGTGTATATTTTGACCACTTTGTAGCCTTCGTTTGAAACGTCTATATCTTCACATCAAACCTAGACAGAAGCATTCTCAGAAAGTTTTCTGCGATGACTGCATTCAACTCACAGAGTTGAACAATCCTTCTGATGGAGCAGTTTTGAAACCCTCTTTCTTTGGAATCTGCAAGGGGATATGTGGACCTCTTTGAAGATTTCACTGGAAACGGGATCATCTTCACATAAAAACTAAACAGAAGCATTCTCGGAAACTGTTTTGTGATGTTTGTATTCAACTCCCAGAGTTGAACTTTCCTTTTGAAAGAGCAGCTATGAAACACTCTTTTTCGAGAATCTGCAAGTGGACGTTTGGAGGGCTTTGAGGCCTGTGGTGGAAAAGGAAATATCTTCACACAAAAACCAGATAGAAGCATTCTCAGAAACTACTTTGTGAGGATGGCATTCAACTCATGGAGTTGAACAATCCTATTGATAGAGCAGATTGGAATCACTCTTTTTATAGAATCTGCAAATGGAGATTTGGACTGCTTTGAGGCCTACGGTAGTACAGGAAGGAACTTCATATAAAAGGCAAACGGGAAGCATTCTCAGAATATTCTTTGTGATGATGGAGTTTCACTCACAGAGCTGAACATGCCTTTTGATGGAGCAGTTTCCAAATACACTTTTGGTAGAATCTGCAGGTGGATATTTGGAGCTCTCTGAGGATTTCGTTGGAAACGGGAATAATTTCCCATAACTAAACACAAACACTCTGAGAAAGTTCTTCATGATGAATGCATTTAACTCGCAGAGATGAACCTGCCTTTGAGAGTTCAGGTTCGAAACACCCTTTCTGTAGAATCTGCAAGTGGATATTTGGACCACTGGGTGGCCTTCGTTCGAAACGGGTATATGTTCACGTAAAAACTAAAGAGAAGCATTCTCAGAAACTTCTGAGTGATGATTGCATTCAAGTCACACAGTTGAACCCTCCTTTTGATGGAGCAGTTTTGAAACTGTCTTTTTGTAGAATCTGTAAGTGGATACGTGGACCTCTTTGAAGATTTCTTTGGAAACGGGAATATTTCCACAGAAAAACTAAACTGAAGCATTCTCAGAAACTGCTTTGTGATGTTTGTGTTCGAGCCACAGAGTTTAACATTGCTTTTCATAGAGCAGTTTTGCAATATTCTTTTCACAGAATCTGCAAGTGGACATTTGGAGCGCTTTCAGGCCTGTGGTGGAAAAGGCCTGAAAGCCTTTTCCTTTATCTTCACAGAAAGACGAGAGAGAAGCATTGTCAGAAACTTCTTTGTGATGATTGCATTCAACTCACAGAGTTGAAGATTCCTTTTGAAACAGCAGTTTCGAAACACTCTTTCTGTGGGATCCGCAAGGGGATATTTGGACCTCTTTGAAGGTTTCGTTGGAAACGGGATAATCTTCACCTAAAAGCTAAACGGAAGCATTCTCAGAAACTTCTTTGGGATGTTTGCATTCACCTCACAGAGTTGAACTTTCCCTTTGATAGCGCAGCTTTGACACACTTTTTCTACAATGTGCAAGTGACTATTTAGCGGGCTTGGAGGACTGTGTTGGAAAAGGAAATATCTTCTAAAAACGACATAGAAGCATTCTCAGAAACTGCTCTGTGATGATTGCATTCAACTCCCAGAGTTGAACATTCCTTTTGATAGAGCAGTTTGCAAACACTCTTTTTGTAGAATCTGCAAGTGGAGATTTGGACCGCTTTGAGGCCTGTGGTAGTAAAGGAAATAACTTCATATAAAAACCAGACGGTAGCACTCTCAGAAAATTCTTTGTGACGATGGAGTTTAACTCAGAGAGCTGAACATTCGTTATGATGGAGCAGTTTCCAAACACACGTTTTGTAGAATCTGCAAGGGGATATTTGGACCTCTCTGAGGATTTCGTTGGAAACGGGATCAACTTCCCATAACTGAACGGAAGCAAACTCAGAGCATTCTTTGTGATGTTTGTATTCAACTCACAGAGTTGAACCTTCCTTTGATAGTTCAGGTTTGCAACACCCTTGTAGTAGAATCTGCAAGTGTATATTTTGACCACTTTGTAGCCTTCGTTTGAAACGTCTATATCTTCACATCAAACCTAGACAGAAGCATTCTCAGAAAGTTTTCTGCGATGACTGCATTCAACTCACAGAGTTGAACAATCATTTTGATGGAGCAGTTTTGAAACCCTCTTTCTTTGGAATCTGCAAGGGGATATGTGGACCTCGTTGAAGATTTCACTGGAAACGGGATCATCTTCACATAAGAACTAAACAGAAGCATTCTCGGAAACTATTTTGTGATGTTTGTATTCAACTCCCAGAGTTGAACTTTCCTTTTGAAAGAGCAGCTATGAAACACTCTTTTTCGAGAATCTGCAAGTGGACGTTTGGAGGGCTTTGAGGCCTGTGGTGGAAAAGGAAATATCTTCACACAAAAACCAGATAGAAGCATTCTCAGAAACGACTTTGTGAGGATGGCATTCAACTCATGGAGTTGAACAATCCTATTGATAGAGCAGATTGGAATCACTCTTTTTGTAGAATCTGCAAATGGAGATTTGGACTGCTTTGAGGCCTACGGTAGTACAGGAAGGAACTTCATATAAAAGGCAAACGGAAGCATTCTCAGAATATTCTTTGTGATGATGGAGTTTCACTCACAGACCTGAACATGCCTTTTGATGGAGCAGTTTCCAAATACACTTTTGGTAGAATCAGCAGGTGGATATTTGGAGCTCTCTGAGGATTTCGTTGGAAACGGGAATAATTTCCCATAACTAAACACAAAACACTCTGAGAAAGTTCTTCATGATGAATGCATTTAACTCGCAGAGATGAACCTGCCTTTGAGAGTTCAGGTTCGAAACACTCTTTCTGTAGAATCTGCAAGTGGATATTTGGACCACTGGGTGGCCTTCGTTCGAAACGGGTATATGTTCACGTAAAAACTAAAGAGAAGCATTCTCAGAAACTTCTGAGTGATGATTGCATTCAAGTCACACGGTTGAACCCTCCTTTTGATGGAGCAGTTTTGAAACTGTCTTTTTGTAGAATCTGTAAGTGGATGCGTGGACCTCTTTGAAGATTTCTTTGGAAACGGGAATATTTCCACAGAAAAACTAAACTGAAGCATTCTCAGAAACCGCTTTGTGATGTTTGTGTTCGAGCCGCAGAGTTTAACATTGCTTTTCATAGAGCAGTTTTGAAATATTCTTTTCGCAGAATCTGCAAGTGGACATTTGGAGCGCTTTCAGGCCTGTGGTGGAAAAGGCCTGAAAGCCTTTTCCTTTATCTTCACAGAAAGACGAGAGAGAAGCATTGTCAGAAACTTCTTTGTGATGATTGCATTCAACTCACAGAGTTGAAGATTCCTTTTGAAACAGCAGTTTCGAAACACTCTTTCTGTGGGATCCGCAAGGGGATATTTGGACCTCTTTGAAGGTTTCGTTGGAAACGGGATAATCTTCACCTAAAAGCTAAACGGAAGTATTCTCAGAAACTTCTTTGGGATGTTTGCATTCACCTCACAGAGTTGAACTTTCCCTTTGATAGCGCAGCTTTGACACACTTTTTCTACAATGTGCAAGTGGCTATTTAGCGGGCTTGGAGGACTGTGTTGGAAAAGGAAATATCTTCTCCTAAAAACGACATAGAAGCATTCTCAGAAACTGCTCTGTGATGATTGCTTTCAACTCCCAGAGTTGAACATTCCTTTTGATAGAGCAGTTTGCAAACACTCTTTTTGTAGAATATGCAAGTGGAGATTTGGACCGCTTTGAGGCCTGTGGTAGTAAAGGAAAGAACTTCATATAAAAACTAGACGGTAGCACTCTCAGAAAATTCTTTGTGACGATGGAGTTTAACTCAGGGAGCTGAACATTCGTTATGATGGAGCAGTTTCCAAACACACGTTTTGTAGAATCTGCAAGGGGATATTTGGACCTCTCTGAGGATTTCGCTGGAAACGGGATCAACTTCCCATAACTGAACAGAAGCAAACTCAGAACATTCTTTGTGATGTTTGTATTCAACTCACAGAGTTGAACCTTCCTTTGATAGTTCAGGTTTGCAACACCCTTGTAGTAGAATCTGCAAGTGTATATTTTGACCACTTTGTAGCCTTCGTTTGAAACGTCTATATCTTCACATCAAACCTAGACAGAAGCATTCTCAGAAAGTTTTCTGCGATGACTGCATTCAACTCACAGAGTTGAACAATCCTTTTGATGGAGCAGTTTTGAAACCCTCTTTCTTTGGAATCTGCAAGGGGATATGTGGACCTCTTTGAAGATTTCACTGGAAACGGGATCATCTTCACATAAAAACTAAACAGAAGCATTCTCGGAAACTACTTTGTGATGTTTGTATTCAACTCCCAGAGTTGAACTTTCCTTTTGAAAGAGCAGCTATGAAACACTCTTTTTCGAGAATCTGCAAGTGGACGTTTGGAGGGCTTTGAGGCCTGTGGTGGAAAAGGAAATATCTTCACACAAAAACCAGATAGAAGCATTCTCAGAAACGACTTTGTGAGGATGGCATTCAACTCATGGAGTTGAACAATCCTATTGATAGAGCAGATTGGAATCACTCTTTTTGTAGAATCTGCAAATGGAGATTTGGACTGCTTTGAGGCCTACGGTAGTACAGGAAGGAACTTCATATAAAAGGCAAACGGAAGCATTCTCAGAATATTCTTTGTGATGATGGAGTTTCACTGACAGAGCTGAACATGCCTTTTGATGGAGCAGTTTCCAAATACACTTTTGGTAGAATCTGCAGGTGGATATTTGGAGCTCTCTGAGGATTTCGTTGGAAACGGGAATAATTTCCCATAACTAAACACAAACACTCTGAGAAAGTTCTTCATGATGAATGCATTTAACTCGCAGAGATGAACCTGCCTTTGAGAGTTCAGGTTCGAAACACTCTTTCTGTATAATCTGCAAGTGGATATTTGGACCACTGGGTGGCCTTCGTTCGAAACGGGTATATGTTCACGTAAAAACTAAAGAGAAGCATTCTCAGAAACTTCTGAGTGATGATTGCATTCAAGTCACACAGTTGAACCCTCCTTTTGAAGGAGCAGTTTTGAAACTGTCTTTTTGTAGAATCTGTAAGTGGATACGTGGACCTCTTTGAAGATTTCTTTGGAAACGGGAATATTTCCACAGAAAAACTAAACTGAAGCATTCTCAGAAACTGCTTTGTGATGTTTGTGTTCGAGCCACAGAGTTTAACATTGCTTTTCACAAAGCAGTTTTGAAATATTCTTTTGGCAGAATCTGCAAGTGGACATTTGGAGCGCTTTCAGGCCTGTGGTGGCAAAGGCCTGAAAGCATTTATTTATCTTCACAGAAAGACGAGAGAGAAGCATTGTCAGAAACTTCTTTGTGATGATTGCATTCAACTCACAGAGTTGAAGATTCCTTTTGAAACAGCAGTTTCGAAACACTCTTTCTGTGGGATCCGCAAGGGGATATTTGGACTTCTTTGAAGGTTTCGTTGGAAACGGGATAATCTTCACCTAAAAGCTAAACGGAAGCATTCTCAGAAACTTCTTTAGGATGTTTGCATTCACCTCACAGAGTTGAACTTTCCCTTTGATAGCGCAGCTTTGACACACTTTTTCTACAATGTGCAAGTGGCTATTTAGCGGGCTTGGAGGACTGTGTTGGAAAAGGAAATATCTTCTCCTAAAAACGACATAGAAGCATTCTCAGAAACTGCTCTGTGATGATTGCATTCAACTCCCAGAGTTGAACATTCCTTTTGATAGAGCAGTTTGCAAACACTCTTTTTGTAGAATCTGCAAGTGGAGATTTGGACCGCTTTGAGGCCTGTGGTAGTGAAGGAAAGAGCTTCATATAAAAACCAGACGGTAGCACTCTCAGAAAATTCTTTGTGACGATGGAGTTTAACTCAGGGAGCTGAACATTCGTTATGATGGAGCAGTTTCCAAACACACGTTTTGTAGAATCTGCAAGGGGATATTTGGACCTCTCTGAGGATTTCGTTGGAAACGGGATCAACTTCCCATAACTGAACGGAAGCAAACTCAGAACATTCTTTGTGATGTTTGTATTCAACTCACAGAGTTGAACCTTCCTTTGATAGTTCAGGTTTGCAACACCCTTGTAGTAGAATCTGCAAGTGTATATTTTGACCACTTTGTAGCCTTCGTTTGAAACGTCTATATCTTCACATCAAACCTAGACAGAAGCATTCTCAGAAAGTTTTCTGCGATGACTGCATTCAACTCACAGAGTTGAACAATCCTTCTGATGGAGCAGTTTTGAAACCCTCTTTCTTTGGAATCTGCAAGGGGATATGTGGACCTCTTTGAAGATTTCACTGGAAACGGGATCATCTTCACATAAAAACTAAACAGAAGCATTCTCGGAAACTATTTTGTGATGTTTGTATTCAACTCCCAGAGTTGAACTTTCCTTTTGAAAGAGCAGCTATGAAACACTCTTTTTCGAGAATCTGCAAGTGGACGTTTGGAGGGCTTTGAGGCCTGTGGTGGAAAAGGAAATATCTTCACACAAAAACCAGATAGAAGCATTCTCAGAAACTACTTTGTGAGGATGGCATTCAACTCATGGAGTTGAACAATCCTATTGATAGAGCAGATTGGAATCACTCTTTTTGTAGAATCTGCAAATGGAGATTTGGACTGCTTTGAGGCCTACGGTAGTACAGGAAGGAACTTCATATAAAAGGCAAACGGAAGCATTCTCAGAATATTCTTTGTGATGATGGAGTTTCACTCACAGAGCTGAACATGCCTTTTGATGGAGCAGTTTCCAAATACACTTTTGGTAGAATCTGCAGGTGGATATTTGGAGCTCTCTGAGGATTTCGTTGGAAACGGGAATAATTTCCCATAACTAAACACAAACACGCTGAGAAAGTTCTTCATGATGAATGCATTTAACTCGCAGAGATGAACGTGCCTTTGAGAGTTCAGGTTCGAAACACTCTTTCTGTAGAATCTGCAAGTGGATATTTGGACCACTGGCTGGCCTTCGTTCGAAACGGGTATATGTTCACGTAAAAACTAAAGAGAAGCGTTCTCAGAAACTTCTGAGTGATGATTGCATTCAAGTCACACAGTTGAACCCTCCTTTTGATTGAGCAGTTTTGAAACTGTCTTTTTGTAGAATCTGTAAGTGGATACGTGGACCTCTTTGAAGATTTCTTTGGAAACGGGAATATTTCCACAGAAAAACTTAACCGAAGCATTCTCAGAAACTGCTTTGTGATGTTTGTGTTCGAGCCGCAGAGTTTAACATTGCTTTTCATAGAGCAGTTTTGAAATATTCTTTTGGCAGAATCTGCAAGTGGACATTTGGAGCGCTTTCAGGCCTGTGGTGGAAAAGGCCTGAAAGCCTTTTCCTTTATCTTCACAGAAAGACGAGAGAGAAGCATTGTCAGAAACTTCTTTGTGATGATTGCATTCAACTCACAGAGTTGAAGATTCCTTTTGAAACAGCAGTTTCGAAACACTCTTTCTGTGGGATCCGCAAGGGGATATTTGGACCTCTTTGAAGGTTTCGTTGGAAACGGGATAATCCTCACCTAAAAGCTAAACGGGAAGCATTCTCAGAAACTTCTTTGGGATGTTTGCATTCACCTCACAGAGTTGAACTTTCCCTTTGATAGCGCAGCTTCGACACACTTTTTCTACAATGTGCAAGTGGATATTTAGCGGGCTTGGAGGACTGTGTTGGAAAAGGAAATATCTTCTCCTAAAAACGACATAGAAGCATTCTCAGAAACTGCTCTGTGATGATTGCATTCAACTCCCAGAGTTGAACATTCCTTTTGATAGAGCAGTTTGCAAACACTCTTTTTGTAGAATCTGCAAGTGGAGATTTGGACCGCTTTGAGGCCTGTGGTAGTAAAGGAAAGAACTTCCTATAAAAACTAGACGGTAGCACTCTCAGAAAATTCTTTGTGACGATGGAGTTTAACTCAGAGAGCTGAACATTCGTTATGATGGAGCAGTTTCCAAACACACGTTTTGTAGAATCTGCAAGGGGATATTTGGACCTCTCTGAGGATTTCGTTGGAAACGGGATCAACTTCCCATAACTGAACGGAAGCAAACTCAGAACATTCTTTGTGATGTTTCTATTCAACTCACAGAGATGAACCTTCCTTTGATAGTTCAGGTTTGCAACACCCTTGTAGTAGAATCTGCAAGTGTATATTTTGACCACTTTGTAGCCTTCGTTTGAAAGGTCTATATCTTCACATCAAACTTGGACAGAAGCATTCTCAGAAAGTTTTCTGCGATGACTGCATTCAACTCACAGAGTTGAACAATCCTTTTGATGGAGCAGTTTTGAAACCCTCTTTCTTTGGAATCTGCAAGGGGATATGTGGACCTCTTTGAAGATTTCACTGGAAACGGGATCATCTTCACATAAGAACTAAACAGAAGCATTCTCGGAAACTACTTTGTGATGTTTGTATTCAACTCCCAGAGTTGAACTTTCCTTTTGAAAGAGCAGCTATGAAACACTCTTTTTCGAGAATCTGCAAGTGGACGTTTGGAGGGCTTTGAGGCCTGTGGTGGAAAAGGAAATATCTTCACATAAAAAGTAGATAGAAGCATTCTCAGAAACGACTTTGTGAGGATGGCATTCAACTCATGGAGTTGAACAGTCCTATTGATAGAGCAGATTGGAATCACTCTTTTTGTAGAATCTGCAAATGGAGATTTGGACTGCTTTGAGGCCTACGGTAGTATAGGAAGGAACTTCATATAAAAGGCGAACGGAAGCATTCTCAGAATATTCTTTGTGATGATGGAGTTTCACTCACAGAGCTGAACATGCCTTTTGATGGAGCAGTTTCCAAATACACTTTTGGTAGAATCTGCAGGTGGATATTTGGAGCTCTCTGAGGATTTCGTTGGAAACGGGAATAATTTCCCATAACTAAACACAAACACTCTGAGAAAGTTCTTCATGATGAATGCATTTAACTCGCAGAGATGAACCTGCCTTTGAGAGTTAATGTTCGAAACTCTCTTTCTGTAGAATCTGCAAGTGGATATTTGGACCACTGGCTGGCCTTCGTTCGAAACGGGTATATGTTCACGTAAAAACTAAAGAGAAGCATTCTCAGAAACTTCTGAGTGATGATTGCATTCAAGTCACACAGTTGAACCCTCCTTTTGATGGAGCAGTTTTGAAACTGTCTTTTTGTAGAATCTGTAAGTGGACACGTGGACCTCTTTGAAGATTTCTTTGGAAACGGGAATATTTCCACAGAAAAACTAAACTGAAGCATTCTCAGAAACTGCTTTGTGATGTTTGTGTTCGAGCCACAGAGTTTAACATTGCTTTTCATAGAGCAGTTTTGAAATATTCTTTTCACAGAATCTGCAAGTGGACATTTGGAGCGCTTTCAGGCCTGTGGTGGAAAAGGCCTGAAAGCCTTTTCCTTTATCTTCACAGAAAGACGAGAGAGAAGCATTGTCAGAAACTTCTTTGTGATGATTGCATTCAACTCACAGAGTTGAAGATTCCTTTTGAAACAGCAGTTTCGATACACTCTTTCTGTGGGATCCGCAAGGGGATATTTGGACCTCTTTGAAGGTTTCGTTGGAAACGGGATAATCTTCACCTAAAAGCTAAACGGAAGCATTCTCAGAAACTTCTTTGGGATGTTTGCATTCACCTCACAGAGTTGAACTTTCCCTTTGATAGCGCAGCTTTGACACACTTTTTCTACAATGTGCAAGTGGCTATTTAGCGGGCTTGGAGGACTGTGTTGGAAAAGGAAATATCTTCTCCTAAAAACGACATAGAAGCATTCTCAGAAACTGCTCTGTGATGATTGCATTCAACTCCCAGAGTTGAACATTCCTTTTGATAGAGCAGTTTGCAAACACTCTTTTTGTAGAATCTGGAAGTGGAGATTTGGACGGCTTTGAGGTCTGTGGTAGTGAAGGAAAGAACTTCATATAAAAACCAGACGGTAGCACTCTCAGAAAATTCTTTGTGACGATGGAGTTTAACTCAGGGAGCTGAACATTCGTTATGATGGAGCAGTTTCCAAACACACGTTTTGTAGAATCTGCAAGGGGATATTTGGACCTCTCTGAGGATTTCGTTGGAAACGGGATCAACTTCCCATAACTGAACGGAAGCAAACTCAGAACATTCTTTGTGATGTTTGTATTCAACTCACAGAGTTGAACCTTCCTTTGATAGTTCAGGTTTGCAACACCCTTGTAGTAGAATCTGCAAGTGTATATTTTGACCACTTTGTAGCCTTCATTTGAAACGTCTATATCTTCACATCAATCCTAGACAGAAGCATTCTCAGAAAGTTTTCTGCGATGACTGCATTCAACTCACAGAGTTGAACAATCCTTCTGATGGAGCAGTTTTTAAACCCTCTTTCTTTGGAATCTGCAAGGGGATATGTGGACCTCTTTGAAGATTTCACTGGAAACGGGATCATCTTCACATAAAAACTAAACAGAAGCATTCTCGGAAACTACTTTGTGATGTTTGTATTCAACTCCCAGAGTTGAACTTTCCTTTTGAAAGAGCAGCTATGAAACACTCTTTTTCGAGAATCTGCAAGTGGACGTTTGGAGGGCTTGGAGGCCTGTGCTGGAAAAGGAAATACCTTCACATAAAAACTAGATAGAAGCATTCTCAGAAACTACTTTGTGAGGATGGCATTCAACTCATGGAGTTGAACAATCCTATTGATAGAGCAGATTGGAATCACTCTTTTTGTAGAATCTGCAAATGGAGATTTGGACTGCTTTGAGGCCTACGGTCGTATAGGAAGGAACTTCATATAAAAGGCAAACGGAAGCATTCTCAGAATATTCTTTGTGATGATGGAGTTTCACTCACAGAGCTGAACATGCCTTTTGATGGAGCAGTTTCCAAATACACTTTTGGTAGAATCTGCAGGTGGATATTTGGACCACTCTGAGGATTTCGTTGGAAACGGGAATAATTTCCCATAACTAAACACAAACACTCTGAGAAAGTTCTTCATGATGAATGCATTTAACTCGCAGAGATGAACCTGCCTTTGAGAGTTCAGGTTCGAAACACTCTTTCTGTATAATCTGCAAGTGGATATTTGGACCACTGGGTGGCCTTCGTTCGAAACGGGTATATGTTCACGTAAAAACTAAAGAGAAGCATTCTCAGAAACTTCTGAGTGATGATTGCATTCAAGTCACACGGTTGAACCCTCCTTTTGATGGAGCAGTTTTGAAACTGTCTTTTTGTAGAATCTGTAAGTGGATATGGTGGACCTCTTTGAAGATTTCTTTGGAAACGGGAATATTTCCACAGAAAAACTAAACTGAAGCATTCTCAGAAACCGCTTTGTGATGTTTGTGTTCGAGCCACAGAGTTTAACATTGCTTTTCATAGAGCAGTTTTGAAATATTCTTTTGGCAGAATCTGCAAGTGGACATTTGGACCGCTTTCAGGCCTGTGGTGGCAAAGGCCTGAAAGCCTTTTCCTTTATCTTCACAGAAAGACGAGAGAGAAGCATTGTCAGAAACTTCTTTGTGATGATTGCATTCAACTCACAGAGTTGAAGATTCCTTTTGAAACAGCAGTTTCGAAACACTCTTTCTGTGGGATCCGCAAGGGGATATTTGGACCTCTTTGAAGGTTTCGTTGGAAACGGGATAATCTTCACCTAAAAGCTAAACGGAAGCATTCTCAGAAACTTCTTTGGGATGTTTGCATTCACCTCACAGAGTTGAACTTTCCCTTTGATAGCGTAGCTTTGACACACTTTTTCTACAATGTGCAAGTGGCTATTTAGCGGGCTTGGAGGACTGTGTTGGAAAAGGAAATATCTTCTCCTAAAAACGACATAGAAGCATTCTCAGAAACTGCTCTGTGATGATTGCATTCAACTCCCAGAGTTGAACATTCCTTTTGATAGAGCAGTTTGCAAACACTCTTTTTGTAGAATCTGCAAGTGGAGATTTGGACCGCTTTGAGGCCTGTGGTAGTGAAGGAAAGAACTTCATATAAAAACCAGACGGTAGCACTCTCAGAAAATTCTTTGTGACGATGGAGTTTAACTCAGGGAGCTGAACATTCGTTATGATGGAGCAGTTTCCAAACACACGTTTTGTAGAATCTGCAAGGGGATATTTGGACCTCTCTGAGGATTTCGTTGGAAACGGGATCAACTTCCCATAACTGAACGGAAGCAAACTCAGAACATTCTTTGTGATGTTTGTATTCAACTCACAGAGTTGAACCTTCCTTTGATAGTTCAGGTTTGCAACACCCTTGTAGTAGAATCTGCAAGTGTATATTTTGACCACTTTGTAGCCTTCGTTTGAAACGTCTATATCTTCACATCAAACCTAGACAGAAGCATTCTCAGAAAGTTTTCTGCGATGACTGCATTCAACTCACAGAGTTGAACAATCCTTCTGATGGAGCAGTTTTGAAACCCTCTTTCTTTGGAATCTGCAAGGGGATATGTGGACCTCTTTGAAGATTTCACTGGAAACGGGATCATCTTCACATAAAAACTAAACAGAAGCATTCTCGGAAACTACTTTGTGATGTTTGTATTCAACTCCCAGAGTTGAACTTTCCTTTTGAAAGAGCAGCTATGAAACACTCTTTTTCGAGAATCTGCAAGTGGACGTTTGGAGGGCTTTGAGGCCTGTGGTGGAAAAGGAAATATCTTCACATAAAAACTAGATAGAAGCATTCTCAGAAACTACTTTGTGAGGATGGCATTCAACTCATGGAGTTGAACAATCCTATTGATAGAGCAGATTGGAATCACTCTTTTTGTAGAATCTGCAAATGGAGATTTGGACTGCTTTGAGGCCTACGGTCGTATAGGAAGGAACTTCATATAAAAGGCAAACGGAAGCATTCTCAGAATATTCTTTGTGATGATGGAGTTTCACTCACAGAGCTGAACATGCCTTTTGATGGAGCAGTTTCCAAATACACTTTTGGTAGAATCTGCAGGTGGATATTTGGACCTCTCTGAGGATTTCGTTGGAAACGGGAATAATTTCCCATAACTAAACACAAACACTCTGAGAAAGTTCTTCATGATGAATGCATTTAACTCGCAGAGATGAACCTGCCTTTGAGAGTTCAGGTTCGAAACACTCTTTCTGTAGAATCTGCAAGTGGATATTTGGACCACTGGCTGGCCTTCGTTCGAAACGGGTATATGTTCACGTAAAAACTAAAGAGAAGCATTCTCAGAAACTTCTGAGTGATGATTGCATTCAAGTCACACAGTTGAACCTTCCTTTTGATGGAGCAGTTTTGAAACTGTCTTTTTGTAGAATCTGTAAGTGGATACTTGGACCTCTTTGAAGATTTCTTTGGAAACGGGAATATTTCCACAGAAAAACTAAACTGAAGCATTCTCAGAAACCGCTTTGTGATGTTTGTGTTCGAGCCACAGAGTTTAACATTGCTTTTCATAGAGCAGTTTTGAAATATTCTTTTGGCAGAATCTGCAAGTGGACATTTGGAGCGCTTTCAGGCCTGTGGTGGAAAAGGCCTGAAAGCCTTTTCCTTTATCTTCACAGAAAGACGAGAGAGAAGCATTGTCAGAAACTTCTTTGTGATGATTGCATTCAACTCACAGAGTTGAAGATTCCTTTTGAAACAGCAGTTTCGAAACACTCTTTCTGTGGGATCCGCAAGGGGATATTTGGACCTCTTTGAAGGTTTCGTTGGAAACGGGATAATCTTCACCTAAAAGCTAAACGGAAGCATTCTCAGAAACTTCTTTGGGATGTTTGCATTCACCTCACAGAGTTGAACTTTCCCTTTGATAGCGCAGCTTTGACACACATTTTCTACAATGTGCAAGTGGCTATTTAGCGGGCTTGGAGGACTGTGTTGGAAAAGGAAATATCTTCTCCTAAAAACGACATAGAAGCATTCTCAGAAACTGCTCTGTGATGATTGCATTCAACTCCCAGAGTTGAACATTCCTTTTGATAGAGCAGTTTGCAAACACTCTTTTTGTAGAATCTGCAAGTGGAGATTTGGACCGCTTTGAGGCCTGTGGTAGTGAAGGAAAGAGCTTCATATAAAAACCAGACGGTAGCACTCTCAGAAAATTCTTTGTGACGATGGAGTTTAACTCAGGGAGCTGAACATTCGTTATGATGGAGCAGTTTCCAAACACACGTTTTGTAGAATCTGCAAGGGGATATTTGGACCTCTCTGAGGATTTCGTTGGAAACGGGATCAACTTCCCATAACTGAACGGAAGCAAACTCAGAACATTCTTTGTGATGTTTGTATTCAACTCACAGAGTTGAACCTTCCTTTGATAGTTCAGGTTTGCAACACCCTTGTAGTAGAATCTGCAAGTGTATATTTTGACCACTTTGTAGCCTTCATTTGAAACGTCTATATCTTCACATCAAACCTAGACAGAAGCATTCTCAGAAAGTTTTCTGCGATGACTGCATTCAACTCACAGAGTTGAACAATCCTTCTGATGGAGCAGTTTTGAAACCCTCTTTCTTTGGAATCTGCAAGGGGATATGTGGACCTCTTTGAAGATTTCACTGGAAACGGGATCATCTTCACATAAAAACTAAACTGAAGCATTCTCGGAAACTATTTTGTGATGTTTGTATTCAACTCCCAGAGTTGAACTTTCCTTTTGAAAGAGCAGCTATGAAACACTCTTTTTCGAGAATCTGCAAGTGGACGTTTGGAGGGCTTTGAGGCCTGTGGTGGAAAAGGAAATATCTTCACACAAAAACCAGATAGAAGCATTCTCAGAAACTACTTTGTGAGGATGGCATTCAACTCATGGAGTTGAACAATCCTATTGATAGAGCAGATTGGAATCACTCTTTTTATAGAATCTGCAAATGGAGATTTGGACTGCTTTGAGGCCTACGGTAGTACAGGAAGGAACTTCATATAAAAGGCAAACGGAAGCATTCTCAGAATATTCTTTGTGATGATGGAGTTTCACTCACAGAGCTGAACATGCCTTTTGATGGAGCAGTTTCCAAATACACTTTTGGTAGAATCTGCAGGTGGATATTTGGAGCTCTCTGAGGATTTCGTTGGAAACGGGAATAATTTCCCATAACTAAACACAAACACTCTGAGAAAGTTCTTCATGATGAATGCTTTTGACTCGCAGAGATGAACCTGCCTTTGAGAGTTCAGGTTCGAAACACTCTTTCTGTAGAATCTGCAAGTGGATATTTGGACCACTGGGTGGCCTTCGTTCGAAACGGGTATATGTTCACGTAAAAACTAAAGAGAAGCATTCTCAGAAACTTCTGAGTGATGATTGCATTCAAGTCACACAGTTGAACCCTCCTTTTGATGGAGCAGTTTTGAAACTGTCTTTTTGTAGAATCTGTAAGTGGATACGTGGACCTCTTTGAAGATTTCTTTGGAAACGGGAATATTTCCACAGAAAAACTAAACTGAAGCATTCTCAGAAACCGCTTTGTGATGTTTGTGTTCGAGCCACAGAGTTTAACATTGCTTTTCATAGAGCAGTTTTGAAATATTCTTTTGGCAGAATCTGCAAGTGGACATTTGGAGCGCTTTCAGGCCTGTGGTGGAAAAGGCCTGAAAGCCTTTTCCTTTATCTTCACAGAAAGACGAGAGAGAAGCATTGTCAGAAACTTCTTTGGGATGATTGCATTCAACTCACAGAGTTGAAGATTCCTTTTGAAACAGCAGTTTCGAAACACTCTTTCTGTGGGATCCGCAAGGGGATATTTGGACCTCTTTGAAGGTTTCGTTGGAAACGGGATAATCTTCACCTAAAAGCTAAACGGAAGCATTCTCAGAAACTTCTTTGGGATGTTTGCATTCACCTCACACAGTTGAACTTTCCCTTTGATAGCGCAGCTTTGACACACTTTTTCTACAATGTGCAAGTGGCTATTTAGCGGGCTTGGAGGACTGTGTTGGAAAAGGAAATATCTTCTCCTAAAAACGACATAGAAGCATTCTCAGAAACTGCTCTGTGATGATTGCATTCAACTCCCAGAGTTGAACATTCCTTTTGATAGAGCAGTTTGCAAACACTCTTTTTGTAGAATCTGCAAGTGGAGATTTGGACCGCTTTGAGGCCTGTGGTAGTGAAGGAAAGAGCTTCATATAAAAACCAGACGGTAGCACTCTCAGAAAATTCTTTGTGACGATGGAGTTTAACTCAGGGAGCTGAACATTCGTTATGATGGAGCAGTTTCCAAACACACGTTTTGTAGAATCTGCGAGGGGATATTTGGACCTCTCTGAGGATTTCGTTGGAAACGGGATCAACTTCCCATAACTGAACGGAAGCAAACTCAGAACATTCTTTGTGATGTTTGTATTCAACTCACAGAGTTGAACCTTCCTTTGATAGTTCAGGTTTGCAACACCCTTGTAGTAGAATCTGCAAGTGTATATTTTGACCACTTTGTAGCCTTCGTTTGAAACGTCTATATCTTCACATCAAACCTAGACAGGAAGCATTCTCAGAAAGTTTTCTGCGATGACTGCATTCAACTCACAGAGTTGAACAATCCTTTTGATGGAGCAGTTTTGAAACCCTCTTTCTTTGGAATCTGCAAGGGGATATGTGGACCTCTTTGAAGATTTCACTGGAAACGGGATCATCTTCACATAAAAACTAAACAGAAGCATTCTCGGAAACTATTTTGTGATGTTTGTATTCAACTCCCAGAGTTGAACTTTCCTTTTGAAAGAGCAGCTATGAAACACTCTTTTTCGAGAATCTGCAAGTGGACGTTTGGAGGGCTTTGAGGCCTGTGGTGGAAAAGGAAATATCTTCACACAAAAACCAGATAGAAGCATTCTCAGAAACGACTTTGTGAGGATGGCATTCAACTCATGGAGTTGAACAATCCTATTGATAGAGCAGATTGGAATCACTCTTTTTGTAGAATCTGCAAATGGAGATTTGGACTGCTTTGAGGCCTACGGTAGTACAGGAAGGAACTTCATATAAAAGGCAAACGGGAAGCATTCTCAGAATATTCTTTGTGATGATGGAGTTTCACTCACAGAGCTGAACATGTCTTTTGATGGAGCAGTTTCCAAATACACTTTTGGTAGAATCTGCAGGTGGATATTTGGAGCTCTTTGAGGATTTCGTTGGAAACGGGAATAATTTCCCATAACTAAACACAAACACGCTGAGAAAGTTCTTCATGATGAATGCATTTAACTCGCAGAGATGAACCTGCCTTTGAGAGTTCAGGTTCGAAACACTCTTTCTGTAGAATCTGCAAGTGGATATTTGGACCACTGGGTGGCCTTCGTTCGAAACGGGTATATGTTCACGTAAAAACTAAAGAGAAGCATTCTCAGAAACTTCTGAGTGATGATTGCATTCAAGTCACACAGTTGAACCCTCCTTTTGATGGAGCAGTTTTGAAACTGTCTTTTTGTAGAATCTGTAAGTGGATACGTGGACCTCTTTGAAGATTTCTTTGGAAACGGGAATATTTCCACAGAAAAACTAAACTGAAGCATTCTCAGAAACCGCTTTGTGATGTTTGTGTTCGAGCCGCAGAGTTTAACATTGCTTTTCATAGAGCAGTTTTGAAATATTCTTTTCGCAGAATCTGCAAGTGGACATTTGGACCGCTTTCAGGCCTGTGGTGGCAAAGGCCTGAAAGCCTTTTCCTTTATCTTCACAGAAAGACGAGAGAGAAGCATTGTCAGAAACTTCTTTGTGATGATTGCATTCAACTCACAGAGTTGAAGATTCCTTTTGAAACAGCAGTTTCGAAACACTCTTTCTGTGGGATCCGCAAGGGGATATTTGGACCTCTTTGAAGGTTTCGTTGGAAACGGGATAATCTTCACCTAAAAGCTAAACGGAAGCATTCTCAGAAACTTCTTTGGGATGTTTGCATTCACCTCACAGAGTTGAACTTTCCCTTTGATAGCGCAGCTTTGACACACTTTTTCTACAATGTGCAAGTGGCTATTTAGCGGGCTTGCAGGATTGTGTTGGAAAAGGAAATATCTTCTCCTAAAAACGACATAGAAGCATTCTCAGAAACTGCTCTGTGATGATTGCATTCAACTCCCAGAGTTGAACATTCCTTTTGATAGAGCAGTTTGCAAACACTCTTTTTGTAGAATCTGCAAGTGGAGATTTGGACCGCTTTGAGGCCTGTGGTAGTGAAGGAAAGAACTTCATATAAAAACCAGACGGTAGCACTCTCAGAAAATTCTTTGTGACGATGGAGTTTAACTCAGGGAGCTGAACATTCGTTATGATGGAGCAGTTTCCAAACACACGTTTTGTAGAATCTGCAAGGGGATATTTGGACCTCTCTGAGGATTTCGTTGGAAACGGGATCAACTTCCCATAACTGAACGGAAGCAAACTCAGAACATTCTTTGTGATGTTTGTATTCAACTCACAGAGTTGAACCTTCCTTTGATAGTTCAGGTTTGCAACACCCTTGTAGTAGAATCTGCAAGTGTATATTTTGACCACTTTGTAGCCTTCGTTTGAAACCTCTATATCTTCACATCAAACCTAGACAGAAGCATTCTCAGAAAGTTTTCTGCGATGGCTGCATTCAACTCACAGAGTTGAACAATCCTTCTGATGGAGCAGTTTTGAAACCCTCTTTCTTTGGAATCTGCAAGGGGATATGTGGACCTCTTTGAAGATTTCACTGGAAACGGGATCGATCATCTTCACATAAAAACTAAACAGAAGCATTCTCGGAAACTACTTTGTGATGTTTGTATTCAACTCCCAGAGTTGAACTTTCCTTTTGAAAGAGCAGCTATGAAACACTCTTTTTCGAGAATCTGCAAGTGGACGTTTGGAGGGCTTTGAGGCCTGTGGTGGAAAAGGAAATATCTTCACACAAAAACCAGATAGAAGCATTCTCAGAAACTACTTTGTGAGGATGGCATTCAACTCATGGAGTTGAACAATCCTATTGATAGAGCAGATTGGAATCACTCTTTTTATAGAATCTGCAAATGGAGATTTGGACTGCTTTGAGGCCTACGGTAGTACAGGAAGGAACTTCATATAAAAGGCAAACGGAAGCATTCTCAGAATATTCTTTGTGATGATGGAGTTTCACTCACAGAGCTGAACATGCCTTTTGATGGAGCAGTTTCCAAATACACTTTTGGTAGAATCTGCAGGTGGATATTTGGAGCTCTCTGAGGATTTCGTTGGAAACGGGAATAATTTCCCATAACTAAACACAAACACTCTGAGAAAGTTCTTCATGATGAATGCATTTAACTCGCAGAGATGAACCTGCCTTTGAGAGTTCAGGTTCGAAACACTCTTTCTGTATAATCTGCAAGTGGATATTTGGACCACTGGGTGGCCTTCGTTCGAAACGGGTATATGTTCACGTAAAAACTAAAGAGAAGCATTCTCAGAAACTTCTGAGTGATGATTGCATTCAAGTCACACAGTTGAACCCTCCTTTTGATGGAGCAGTTTTGAAACTGTCTTTTTGTAGAATCTGTAAGTGGATACGTGGACCTCTTTGAAGATTTCTTTGGAAACGGGAATATTTCCACAGAAAAACTAAACTGAAGCATTCTCAGAAACCGCTTTGTGATGTTTGTGTTCGAGCCGCAGAGTTTAACATTGCTTTTCATAGAGCAGTTTTGAAATATTCTTTTGGCAGAATCTGCAAGTGGACATTTGGACCGCTTTCAGGCCTGTGGTGGCAAAGGCCTGAAAGCCTTTTCCTTTATCTTCACAGAAAGACGAGAGAGAAGCATTGTCAGAAACTTCTTTGTGATGATTGCATTCAACTCACAGAGTTGAAGATTCCTTTTGAAACAGCAGTTTCGAAACACTCTTTCTGTGGGATCCGCAAGGGGATATTTGGACCTCTTTGAAGGTTTCGTTGGAAACGGGATAATCCTCACCTAAAAGCTAAACGGGAAGCATTCTCAGAAACTTCTTTGGGATGTTTGCATTCACCTCACAGAGTTGAACTTTCCCTTTGATAGCGCAGCTTTGACACACTTTTTCTACAATGTGCAAGTGGCTATTTAGCGGGCTTGGAGGACTGTGTTGGAAAAGGAAATATCTTCTAAAAACGACATAGAAGCATTCTCAGAAACTGCTCTGTGATGATTGCATTCAACTCCCAGAGTTGAACATTCCTTTTGATAGAGCAGTTTGCAAACACTCTTTTTGTAGAATCTGCAAGTGGAGATTTGGACCGCTTTGAGGCCTGTGGTAGTGAAGGAAAGAACTTCATATAAAAACCAGACGGTAGCACTCTCAGAAAATTCTTTGTGACGATGGAGTTTAACTCAGGGAGCTGAACATTCGTTATGATGGAGCAGTTTCCAAACACACGTTTTGTAGAATCTGCAAGGGGATATTTGGACCTCTCTGAGGATTTCGTTGGAAACGGGATCAACTTCCCATAACTGAACGGAAGCAAACTCAGAACATTCTTTGTGATGTTTGTATTCAACTCACAGAGTTGAACCTTCCTTTGATAGTTCAGGTTTGCAACACCCTTGTAGTAGAATCTGCAAGTGTATATTTTGACCACTTTGTAGCCTTCGTTTGAAACGTCTATATCTTCACATCAAACCTAGACAGAAGCATTCTCAGAAAGTTTTCTGCGATGACTGCATTCAACTCACAGAGTTGAACAATCCTTCTGATGGAGCAGTTTTGAAACCCTCTTTCTTTGGAATCTGCAAGGGGATATGTGGACCTCTTTGAAGATTTCACTGGAAACGGGATCATCTTCACATAAAAACTAAACAGAAGCATTCTCGGAAACTACTTTGTGATGTTTGTATTCAACTGCCAGAGTTGAACTTTCCTTTTGAAAGAGCAGCTATGAAACACTCTTTTTCGAGAATCTGCAAGTGGACGCTTGGAGGGCTTTGAGGCCTGTGGTGGAAAAGGAAATATCTTCACATAAAAACTAGATAGAAGCATTCTCAGAAACGACTTTGTGAGGATGGCATTCAACTCATGGAGTTGAACAATCCTATTGATAGAGCAGATTGGAATCACTCTTTTTGTAGAATCTGCAAATGGAGATTTGGACTGCTTTGAGGCCTACGGTCGTATAGGAAGGAACTTCATATAAAAGGCAAACGGAAGCATTCTCAGAATATTCTTTGTAATGATGGAGTTTCACTCACAGAGCGGAACATGCCTTTTGATGGAGCAGTTTCCAAATCCACTTTTGGTAGAATCTGCAGGTGGATATTTGGAGCTCTCTGAGGATTTCGTTGGAAACGGGAATAATTTCCCATAACTAAACACAAACACTCTGAGAAAGTTCTTCATGATGAATGCATTTAACTCGCAGAGATGAACCTGCCTTTGAGAGTTCATGTTCGAAACACTCTTTCTGTAGAATCTGCAAGTGGATATTTGGACCACTGGGTGGCCTTCGTTCGAAAGGGGTATATGTTCACGTAAAAACTAAAGAGAAGCATTCTCAGAAACTTCTGAGTGATGATTGCATTCAAGTCACACAGTTGAACCCTCCTTTTGATGGAGCAGTTTTGAAACTGTCTTTTTGTAGAATCTGTAAGTGGATACGTGGACCTCTTTGAAGATTTCTTTGGAAACGGGAATATTTCCACAGAAAAACTAAACTGAAGCATTCTCAGAAACCGCCTTGTGATGTTTGTGTTCGAGCCACAGAGTTTAACATTGCGTTTCATAGAGCAGTTTTGAAATATTCTTTTGGCAGAATCTGCAAGTGGACATTTGGAGCGCTTTCAGGCCTGTGGTGGAAAAGGCCTGAAAGCCTTTTCCTTTATCTTCACAGAAAGACGAGAGAGAAGCATTGTCAGAAACTTCTTTGTGATGATTGCATTCAACCCACAGAGTTGAAGATTCCTTTTGAAACAGCAGTTTCGAAACACTCTTTCTGTGGGATCCGCAAGGGGATATTTGGACCTCTTTGAAGATTTCGTTGGAAACGGGATAATCTTCACCTAAAAGCTAAACGGAAGCATTCTCAGAAACTTCTTTGGGATGTTTGCATTCACCTCACAGAGTTGAACTTTCCCTTTGATAGCGCAGCTTCGACACACTTTTTCTACAATGTGCAAGTGGCTATTTAGCGGGCTTGGAGGACTGTGTTGGAAAAGGAAATATCTTCTCCTAAAAACGACATAGAAGCATTCTCAGAAACTGCTCTGTGATGATTGCATTCAACTCCCAGAGTTGAACATTCCTTTTGATAGAGCAGTTTGCAAACACTCTTTTTGTAGAATCTGCAAGTGGAGATTTGGACCGCTTTGAGGCCTGTGGTAGGGAAGGAAAGAACTTCATATAAAAACCAGACGGTAGCACTCTCAGAAAATTCTTTGTGACGATGGAGTTTAACTCAGGGAGCTGAACATTCCTTATGATGGAGCAGTTTCCAAACACACGTTTTGTAGAATCTGCGAGGGGATATTTGGACCTCTCTGAGGATTTCGTTGGAAACGGGATCAACTTCCCATAACTGAACGGAAGCAAACTCAGAACATTCTTTGTGATGTTTGTATTCAACTCACAGAGTTGAACCTTCCTTTGATAGTTCAGGTTTGCAACACCCTTGTAGTAGAATCTGCAAGTGTATATTTTGACCACTTTGTAGCCTTCGTTTGAAACGTCTATATCTTCACATCAAACCTAGAAAGAAGCATTCTCAGAAAGTTTTCTGCGATGACTGCATTCAACTCACAGAGTTGAACAATCCTTTTGATGGAGCAGTTTTGAAACCCTCTTTCTTTGGAATCTGCAAGGGGATATGTGGACCTCTTTGAAGATTTCACTGGAAACGGGATCATCTTCACATAAAAACTAAACAGAAGCATTCTCGGAAACTACTTTGTGATGTTTGTATTCAACTCCCAGAGTTGAACTTTCCTTTTGAAAGAGCAGCTATGAAACACTCTTTTTCGAGAATCTGCAAGTGGACGTTTGGAGGGCTTTGAGGCCTGTGGTGGAAAAGGAAATATCTTCACATAAAAACTAGATAGAAGCATTCTCAGAAACGGCTTTGTGAGGATGGCATTCAACTCATGGAGTTGAACAATCCTATTGATAGAGCAGATTGGAATCACTCTTTTTGTAGAATCTGCAAATGGAGATTTGGACTGCTTTGAGGCCTACGGTCGTATAGGAAGGAACTTCATATAAAAGGCAAACGGAAGCATTCTCAGAATATTCTTTGTGATGATGGAGTTTCACTCACAGAGCTGAACATGCCTTTTGATGGAGCAGTTTCAAAATACACTTTTGGTAGAATCTGCAGGTGGATATTTGGACGTCTCTGAGGATTTCGTTGGAAACGGGAATAATTTCCCATAACTAAACACAAACACGCTGAGAAAGTTCTTCATGATGAATGCATTGAACTCGCAGAGATGAACCTGCCTTTGAGAGTTCAGGTTCGAAACACTCTTTCTGTAGAATCTGCAAGTGGATATTTGGACCACTGGGTGGCCTTCGTTCGAAACGGGTATATGTTCACGTAAAAACTAAAGAGAAGCGTTCTCAGAAACTTCTGCGTGATGATTGCATTCAAGTCACACGGTTGAACCCTCCTTTTGATTGAGCAGTTTTGAAACTGTCTTTTTGTAGAATCTGTAAGTGGATACGTGGACCTCTTTGAAGATTTCTTTCGAAACGGGAATATTTCCACAGAAAAACTAAACTGAAGCTTTCTCAGAAACTGCTTTGTGATGTTTGTGTTCGAGCCGCAGAGTTTAACATTGCTTTTCATAGAGCAGTTTTGAAATATTCTTTTGGCAGAATCTGCAAGTGGACATTTGGAGCGCTTTCAGGCCTGTGGTGGAAAAGGCCTGAAAGCCTTTTCCTTTATCTTCACAGAAAGACGAGAGAGAAGAAGCATTGTCAGAAACTTCTTTGTGATGATTGCATTCAACTCACAGAGTTGAAGATTCCTTTTGAAACAGCAGTTTCGAAACACTCTTTCTGTGGGATCCGCAAGGGGATATTTGGACCTCTTTGAAGGTTTCGTTGGAAACGGGATAATCTTCACCTAAAAGCTAAACGGAAGCATTCTCAGAAACTTCTTTGGGATGTTTGCATTCACCTCACAGAGTTGAACTTTCCCTTTGATAGCGCAGCTTTGACACACGTTTTCTACAATGTGCAAGTGGCTATTTAGCGGGCTTGGAGGACTGTGTTGGAAAAGGAAATATCTTCTCCTAAAAACGACATAGAAGCATTCTCAGAAACTGCTCTGTGATGATTGCATTCAACTCCCAGAGTTGAACATTCCTTTTGATAGAGCAGTTTGCAAACACTCTTTTTGTAGAATCTGCAAGTGGAGATTTGGACCGCTTTGAGGCCTGTGGTAGTGAAGGAAAGAACTTCATATAAAAACCAGACGGTAGCACTCTCAGAAAATTCTTTGTGACGATGGAGTTTAACTCAGGGAGCTGAACATTCGTTATGATGGAGCAGTTTCCAAAAACACGTTTTGTAGAATCTGCAAGGGGATATTTGGACCTCTCTGAGGATTTCGTTGGAAACGGGATCAACTTCCCATAACTGAACGGAAGCAAACTCAGAACATTCTTTGTGATGTTTGTATTCAACTCACAGAGTTGAACCTTCCTTTGATAGTTCAGGTTTGCAACACCCTTGTAGTAGTATCTGCAAGTGTATATTTTGACCACTTTGTAGCCTTCGTTTGAAACGTCTATATCTTCACATCAAACCTAGACAGAAGCATTCTCAGAAAGTTTTCTGCGATGACTGCATTCAACTCACAGAGTTGAACAATCCTATTGATGGAGCAGTTTTGAAACCCTCTTTCTTTGGAATCTGCAAGGGGATATGTGGACCTCTTTGAAGATTTCACTGGAAACGGGATCATCTTCACATAAAAACTAAACAGAAGCATTCTCGGAAACTACTTTGTGATGTTTGTATTCAACTCCCAGAGTTGAACTTTCCTTTTGAAAGAGCAGCTATGAAACACTCTTTTTCGAGAATCTGCAAGTGGACGTTTGGAGGGCTTTGAGGCCTGTGGTGGAAAAGGAAATATCTTCACATAAAAACTAGATAGAAGCATTCTCAGAAACGACTTTGTGAGGATGGCATTCAACTCATGGAGTTGAACAATCCTATTGATAGAGCAGATTGGAATCACTCTTTTTGTAGAATCTGCAAATGGAGATTTGCACTGCTTTGAGGCCTACGGTCGTATAGGAAGGAACTTCATATAAAAGGCAAACGGAAGCATTCTCAGAATATTCTTTGTGATGATGGAGTTTCACTCACAGAGCTGAACATGCCTGTTGATGGAGCAGTTTCCAAATACACTTTTGGTAGAATCTGCAGGTGGACATTTGGACCTCTCTGAGGATTTCGTTGGGAACGGGAATAATTTCCCACAACTAAACACAAACACGCTGAGAAAGTTCTTCATGATGAATGCATTTAACTCGCAGAGATGAACCTGCCTTTGAGAGTTCAGGTTCGAAACACTCTTTCTGTAGAATCTGCAAGTGGACATTTGGACCACTGGGTGGCCTTCGTTCGAAACGGGTATATGTTCACGTAAAAACTAAAGAGAAGCATTCTCAGAAACTTCTGAGTGATGATTGCATTCAAGTCACACAGTTGAACCCTCCTTTTGATTGAGCAGTTTTGAAACTGTCTTTTTGTAGAATCTGTAAGTGGATACGTGGACCTCTTTGAAGATGTCTTTGGAAACGGGAATATTTCCACAGAAAAACTAAACTGAAGCATTCTCAGAGACCGCTTTGTGATGTTTGTTTTCGAGCCACAGAGTTTAACATTGCTTTTCATAGAGCAGTTTTGAAATATTCTTTTGGCAGAATCTGCAAGTGGACATTTGGAGCGCTTTCAGGCCTGTGGTGGCAAAGGCCTGAACGCCTTTTCCTTTATGTTCACAGAAAGACGAGAGAGAAGCATTGTCAGAAACTTCTTTGTGATGATTGCATTCAACTCACAGAGTTGAAGATTCCTTTTGAAACAGCAGTTTCGAAACACTCTTTCTGTGGGATCCGCAAGGGGATATTTGGACCTCTTTGAAGGTTTCGTTGGAAACGGGATAATCTTCACCTAAAAGCTAAACGGAAGCATTCTCAGAAACTTCTTTGGGATGTTTGCATTGACCTCACAGAGTTGAACTTTCCCTTTGATAGCGCAGCTTTGACACACTTTTTCTACAATGTGCAAGTGGCTATTTAGCGGGCTTGGAGGACTGTGTTGGAAAAGGAAATATCTTCTCCTAAAAACGACATAGAAGCATTCTCAGAAACTGCTCTGTGATGATTGCATTCAACTCCCAGAGTTGAACATTCCTTTTGATAGAGCAGTTTGCAAACACTCTTTTTGTAGAATCTGCAAGTGGAGATTTGGACCGCTTTGAGGCCTGTGGTAGTGAAGGAAAGAACTTCATATAAAAACCAGACGGTAGCACTCTCAGAAAATTCTTTGTGACGATGGAGTTTAACTCAGGGAGCTGAACATTCGTTATGATGGAGCAGTTTCCAAACACACGTTTTGTAGAATCTGCAAGGGGATATTTGGACCTCTCTGAGGATTTCGTTGGAAACGGGATCAACTTCCCATAACTGAACGGAAGCAAACTCAGAACATTCTTTGTGATGTTTGTATTCAACTCACAGAGTTGAACCTTCCTTTGATAGTTCAGGTTTGCAACACCCTTGTAGTAGAATCTGCAAGTGTATATTTTGACCACTTTGTAGCCTTCGTTTGAAACGTCTATATCTTCACATCAAAACTAGACAGAAGCATTCTCAGAAAGTTTTCTGCGATGACTGCATTCAACTCACAGAGTTGAACAATCCTTCTGATGGAGCAGTTTTTAAACCCTCTTTCTTTGGAATCTGCAAGGGGATATGTGGACCTCTTTGAAGATTTCACTGGAAACGGGATCATCTTCACATAAAAACTAAACAGAAGCATTCTCGGAAACTATTTTGTGATGTTTGTATTCAACTCCCAGAGTTGAACTTTCCTTTTGAAAGAGCAGCTATGAAACACTCTTTTTCGAGAATCTGCAAGTGGACGTTTGGAGGGCTTTGAGGCCTGTGGTGGAAAAGGAAATATCTTCACACAAAAACCAGATAGAAGCATTCTCAGAAACTACTTTGTGAGGATGGCATTCAACTCATGGAGTTGAACAATCCTATTGATACAGCAGATTGGAATCACTCTTTTTGTAGAATCTGCAAATGGAGATTTGGACTGCTTTGAGGCCTACGGTAGTACAGGAAGGAACTTCATATAAAAGGCAAACGGAAGCATTCTCAGAATATTCTTTGTGATGATGGAGTTTCACTCACAGAGCTGAACATGCCTTTTGATGGAGCAGTTTCCAAATACACTTTTGGTAGAATCTGCAGGTGGATATTTGGAGCTCTCTGAGGATTTCGTTGGAAACGGGAATAATTTCCCATAACTAAACACAAACACTCTGAGAAAGTTCTTCATGATGAATGCATTTAACTCGCAGAGATGAACCTGCCTTTGAGAGTTCATGTTCGAAACACTCTTTCTGTAGAATCTGCAAGTGGATATTTGGACCACTGGCTGGCCTTCGTTCGAAACGGGTATATGTTCACGTAAAAACTAAAGAGAAGCATTCTCAGAAACTTCTGAGTGATGATTGCATTCAAGTCACACAGTTGAACCTTCCTTTTGATGGAGCAGTTTTGAAACTGTCTTTTTGTAGAATCTGTAAGTGGATACTTGGACCTCTTTGAAGATTTCTTTGGAAACGGGAATATTTCCACAGAAAAACTAAACTGAAGCATTCTCAGAAACCGCTTTGTGATGTTTGTGTTCGAGCCACAGAGTTTAACATTGCTTTTCATAGAGCAGTTTTGAAATATTCTTTTGGCAGAATCTGCAAGTGGACATTTGGAGCGCTTTCAGGCCTGTGGTGGAAAAGGCCTGAAAGCCTTTTCCTTTATCTTCACAGAAAGACGAGAGAGAAGCATTGTCAGAAACTTCTTTGTGATGATTGCATTCAACTCACAGAGTTGAAGATTCCTTTTGAAACAGCAGTTTCGAAACACTCTTTCTGTGGGATCCGCAAGGGGATATTTGGACCTCTTTGAAGGTTTCGTTGGAAACGGGATAATCTTCACCTAAAAGCTAAACGGAAGCATTCTCAGAAACTTCTTTGGGATGTTTGCATTCACCTCACAGAGTTGAACTTTCCCTTTGATAGCGCAGCTTTGACACACTTTTTCTACAATGTGCAAGTGGCTATTTAGCGGGCTTGGAGGATTGTGTTGGAAAAGGAAATATCTTCTCCTAAAAACGACATAGAAGCATTCTCAGAAACTGCTCTGTGATGATTGCATTCAACTCCCAGAGTTGAACATTCCTTTTGATAGAGCAGTTTGCAAACACTCTTTTTGTACAATCTGCAAGTGGAGATTTGGACCGCTTTGAGGCCTGTGGTAGTGAAGGAAAGAACTTCATATAAAAACCAGACGGTAGCACTCTCAGAAAATTCTTTGTGACGATGGAGTTTAACTCAGGGAGCTGAACATTCGTTATGATGGAGCAGTTTCCAAACACACGTTTTGTAGAATCTGCAAGGGGATATTTGGACCTCTCTGAGGATTTCTTTGGAAACGGGATCAACTTCCCATAACTGAACGGAAGCAAACTCAGAACATTCTTTGTGATGTTTGTATTCAACTCACAGAGTTGAACCTTCCTTTGATAGTTCAGGTTTGCAACACCCTTGTAGTAGAATCTGCAAGTGTATATTTTGACCACTTTGTAGCCTTCGTTTGAAACGTCTATATCTTCACATCAAACCTAGACAGAAGCATTCTCAGAAAGTTTTCTGCGATGACTGCATTCTACTCACAGAGTTGAGCAATCCTTTTGATGGAGCAGTTTTGAAACCCACTTTCTTTGGAATCTGCAAGGGCATATGTGGACCTCTTTGAAGATTTCACTGGAAACGGGATCATCTTCACATAAGAACTAAACAGAAGCATTCTCGGAAACTACTTTGTGATGTTTGTATTCAACTCCCAGAGTTGAACTTTCCTTTTGAAAGAGCAGCTATGAAACACTCTTTTTCGAGAATCTGCAAGTGGATGTTTGGAGGGCTTTGAGGCCTGTGGTGGAAAAGGAAATATCTTCACATAAAAACTAGATAGAAGCATTCTCAGAAACGACTTTGTGAGGAAGGCATTCAACTCATGGAGTTGAACAATCCTATTGATAGAGCAGATTGGAATCACTCTTTTTGTAGAATCTGCAAATGGAGATTTGGACTGCTTTGAGGCCTACGGTAGTATAGGAAGGAACTTCATATAAAAGGCAAACGGAAGCATTCTCAGAATATTCTTTGTGATGATGGAGTTTCACTCACAGAGCTGAACATGCCTTTTGATGGAGCAGTTTCCAAATACACTTTTGGTAGAATCTGCAGGTGGATATTTGGACCTCTCGGAGGATTTCGTTGGAAACGGGAATAATTTCCCATAACTAAACACAAACACTCTGAGAAAGTTCTTCATGATGAATGCATTTAACTCGCAGAGATGAACCTGCCTTTGAGAGTTAAGGTTCGAAACACTCTTTCTGTAGAATCTGCAAGTGGATATTTGGACCACTGGGTGGCCTTCGTTCGAAACGGGTATATGTTCACGTAAAAACTAAAGAGAAGCATTCTCAGAAACTTCTGAGTGATGATTGCATTCAAGTCACACAGTTGAACCCGCCTTTTGTTTGAGCAGTTTTGAAACTGTCTTTTTGTAGAATCTGTAAGTGGATACGTGGACCTCTTTGAAGATTTCTTTGGAAAGGGGAATATTTCCACAGAAAAACTAAACTGAAACATTCTCAAAAACCGCTTTGTGATGTTTGTGTTCGAGCCACAGAGTTTAACATTGCTTTTCATAGAGCAGTTTTGAAATATTCTTTTCGCAGAATCTGCAAGTGGACATTTGGAGTGCTTTCAGGCCTGTGGTGGCAAAGGCCTGAAAGCCTTTTCCTTTATCTTCACAGAAAGACGAGAGAGAAGCATTGTCAGAAACTTCTTTGTGATGATTGCATTCAACTCACAGAGTTGAAGATTCCTTTTGAAACAGCAGTTTCGAAACACTCTTTCTGTGGGATCCGCAAGGGGATATTTGGACCTCTTTGAAGGTTTCGTTGGAAACGGGATAATCTTCACCTAAAAGCTAAACGGAAGCATTCTCAGAAACTGCTCTGTGATGATTGCATTCAACTCCCAGAGTTGAACATTCCTTTTGATAGAGCAGTTTGCAAACACTCTTTTTGTAGAATCTGCAAGTGGAGATTTGGACCGCTTTGAGGCCTGTGGTAGTGAAGGAAAGAACTTCATATAAAAACCAGACGGTAGCACTCTCAGAAAATTCTTTGTGACGATGGAGTTTAACTCAGGGAGCTGAACATTCGTTATGATGGAGCAGTTTCCAAACACACGTTTTGTAGAATCTGCGAGGGGATATTTGGACCTCTCTGAGGATTTCGTTGGAAACGGGATCAACTTCCCATAACTGAACGGAAGCAAACTCAGAACATTCTTTGTGATGTTTGTATTCAACTCACAGAGTTGAACCTTCCTTTGATAGTTCAGGTTTGCAACACCCTTGTAGTAGAATCTGCAAGTGTATATTTTGACCACTTTGTAGCCTTCGTTTGAAACGTCTATATCTTCACATCAAACCTAGACAGAAGCATTCTCAGAAAGTTTTCTGCGATGACTGCATTCAACTCACAGAGTTGAACAATCCTTCTGATGGAGCAGTTTTGATACCCTCTTTCTTTGGAATCTGCAAGGGGATATGTGGACCTCTTTGAAGATTTCACTGGAAACGGGATCATCTTCACATAAAAACTAAACAGAAGCATTCTCGGAAACTACTTTGTGATGTTTGTATTCAACTCCCAGAGTTGAACTTTCCTTTTGAAAGAGCAGCTATGAAACACTCTTTTTCGAGAATCTGCAAGTGGACGTTTGGAAGGCTTTGAGGCCTGTGGTGGAAAAGGAAATATCTTCACATAAAAACTAGATAGAAGCATTCTCAGAAACGACTTTGTGAGGATGGCATTCAACTCATGGAGTTGAACAATCCTATTGATAGAGCAGATTGGAATCACTCTTTTTGTGGAATCTGCAAATGGAGATTTGGACTGCTTTGAGGCCTACGGTCGTATAGGAAGGAACTTCAGATAAAAGGCAAACGGAAGCATTCTCAGAATATTCTTTGTGATGATGGAGTTTCACTGACAGAGCTGAACATGCCTTTTGATGGAGCAGTTTCCAAATACACTTTTGGTAGAATCTGCAGGTGGATATTTGGAGCTCTCTGAGGATTTCGTTGGAAACGGGAATAATTTCCCATAACTAAACACAAACACTCTGAGAAAGTTCTTCATGATGAATGCATTTAACTCGCAGAGATGAACCTGCCTTTGAGAGTTCAGGTTCGAAACACTCTTTCTGTAGAATCTGCAAGTGGATATTTGGACCACTGGCTGGCCTTCGTTCGAAACGGGTATATGTTCACGTAAAAACTAAAGAGAAGCATTCTCAGAAACTTCTGAGTGATGATTGCATTCAAGTCACACAGTTGAACCCTCCTTTTGATGGAGCAGTTTTGAAACTGTCTTTTTGTAGAATCTGTAAGTGGATACGTGGACCTCTTTGAAGATTTCTTTGGAAACGGGAATATTTCCACAGAAAAACTAAACTGAAGTATTCTCAGAAACCGCTTTGTGATGTTTGTGATCGAGCCACAGAGTTTAACATTGCTTTTCATAGAGCAGTTTTGAAATATTCTTTTGGCAGAATCTGCAAGTGGACATTTGGAGCGCTTTCAGGCCTGTGGTGGAAAAGGCCTGAAAGCCTTTTCCTTTATCTTCACAGAAAGACGAGAGAGAAGCATTGTCAGAAACTTCTTTGTGATGATTGCATTCAACTCACAGAGTTGAAGATTCCTTTTGAAACAGCAGTTTTGAAACACTCTTTCTGTGGGATCCGCAAGGGGATATTTGGACCTCTTTGAAGGTTTCGTTGGAAACGGTATAATCTTCACCTAAAAGCTAAACGGAAGCATTCTCAGAAACTTCTTTGGGATGTTTGCATTCACCTCACAGAGTTGAACTTTCCCTTTGATAGCGCAGCTTTGACACACTTTTTCTACAATGTGCAAGTAGCTATTTAGCGGGCTTGGAGGACTGTGTTGGAAAAGGAATTATCTTCTCCTAAAAACGACATAGAAGCATTCTCAGAAACTGCTCTGTGATGATTGCATTCAACTCCCAGAGTTGAACATTCCTTTTGATAGAGCAGTTTGCAAACACTCTTTTTGTAGAATCTGCAAGTGGAGATTTGGACCGCTTTGAGGCCTGTGGTAGTGAAGGAAAGAACTTCATATAAAAACCAGACGGAAGCACTCTCAGAAAATTCTTTGTGACGATGGAGTTTAACTCAGGGAGCTGAACATTCGTTATGATGGAGCAGTTTCCAAACACACGTTTTGTAGAATCTGCAAGGGGATATTTAGACCTCTCTGAGGATTTCGTTGGAAACGGGATCAACTTCCCATAACTGAACGGAAGCAAACTCAGAACATTCTTTGTGATGTTTGTATTCAACTCACAGAGTTGAACCTTCCTTTGATAGTTCAGGTTTGCAACACCCTTGTAGTAGAATCTGCAAGTGTATATTTTGACCACTTTGTAGCCTTCATTTGAAACGTCTATATCTTCACATCAAACCTAGACAGAAGCATTCTCAGAAAGTTTTCTGCGATGACTGCATTCAACTCACAGAGTTGAACAATCCTTCTGATGGAGCAGTTTTGAAACCCTCTTTCTTTGGAATCTGCAAGGGGATATGTGGACCTCTTTGAAGATTTCACTGGAAACGGGATCATCTTCACATAAAAACTAAACAGAAGCATTCTCGGAAACTACTTTGTGATGTTTGTATTCAACTCCCAGAGTTGAACTTTCCTTTTGAAAGAGCAGCTATGAAACACTCTTTTTCGAGAATCTGCAAGTGGACGTTTGGAGGGCTTTGAGGCCTGTGGTGGAAAAGGAAATATCTTCACATAAAACTAGATAGAAGCATTCTCAGAAACTACTTTGTGAGGATGGCATTCAACTCATGGAGTTGAACAATCCTATTGATAGAGCAGATTGGAATCACTCTTTTTGTAGAATCTGCAAATGGAGATTTGGACTGCTTTGAGGCCTACGGTCGTATAGGAAGGAACTTCATATAAAAGGCAAACGGAAGCATTCTCAGAATATTCTTTGTGATGATGGAGTTTCACTCACAGAGCTGAACATGCCTTTTGATGGAGCAGTTTCCAAATACACTTTTGGTAGAATCTGCAGGTGGATATTTGGAGCTCTCTGAGGATTTCGTTGGAAACGGGAATAATTTCCCATAACTAAACACAAACACTCTGAGAAAGTTCTTCATGATGAATGCATTTAACTCGCAGAGATGAACCTGCCTTTGAGAGTTCAGGTTCGAAACACTCTTTCTGTAGAATCTGCAAGTGGATATTTGGACCACTGGGTGGCCTTCGTTCGAAACGGGTATATGTTCACGTAAAAACTAAAGAGAAGCATTCTCAGAAACTTCTGAGTGATGATTGCATTCAAGTCACACAGTTGAACCCTCCTTTTGATGGAGCAGTTTTGAAACTGTCTTTTTGTAGAATCTGTAAGTGGATACGTGGACCTCTTTGAAGATTTCTTTGGAAACGGGAATATTTCCACAGAAAAACTAAACTGAAGTATTCTCAGAAACCGCTTTGTGATGTTTGTGATCGAGCCACAGAGTTTAACATTGCTTTTCATAGAGCAGTTTTGAAATATTCTTTTGGCAGAATCTGCAAGTGGACATTTGGAGCGCTTTCAGGCCTGTGGTGGAAAAGGCCTGAAAGCCTTTTCCTTTATCTTCACAGAAAGACGAGAGAGAAGCATTGTCAGAAACTTCTTTGTGATGATTGCATTCAACTCACAGAGTTGAAGATTCCTTTTGAAACAGCAGTTTTGAAACACTCTTTCTGTGGGATCCGCAAGGGGATATTTGGACCTCTTTGAAGGTTTCGTTGGAAACGGTATAATCTTCACCTAAAAGCTAAACGGAAGCATTCTCAGAAACTTCTTTGGGATGTTTGCATTCACCTCACAGAGTTGAACTTTCCCTTTGATAGCGCAGCTTTGACACACTTTTTCTACAATGTGCAAGTAGCTATTTAGCGGGCTTGGAGGACTGTGTTGGAAAAGGAATTATCTTCTCCTAAAAACGACATAGAAGCATTCTCAGAAACTGCTCTGTGATGATTGCATTCAACTCCCAGAGTTGAACATTCCTTTTGATAGAGCAGTTTGCAAACACTCTTTTTGTAGAATCTGCAAGTGGAGATTTGGACCGCTTTGAGGCCTGTGGTAGTGAAGGAAAGAACTTCATATAAAAACCAGACGGTAGCACTCTCAGAAAATTCTTTGTGACGATGGAGTTTAACTCAGGGAGCTGAACATTCGTTATGATGGAGCAGTTTCCAAACACACGTTTTGTAGAATCTGCAAGGGGATATATGGACCTCTCTGAGGATTTCGCTGGAAACGGGATCAACTTCCCATAACTGAACGGAAGCAAACTCAGAACATTCTTTGTGATGTTTGTATTCAACTCACAGAGTTGAACCTTCCTTTGATAGTTCAGGTTTGCAACACCCTTGTAGTAGAATCTGCAAGTGTATATTTTGACCACTGTGTAGCCTTCGTTTGAAACGTCTATATCTTCACATCAAACCTAGACAGAAGCATTCTCAGAAAGTTTTCTGCGATGACTGCATTCAACTCACAGAGTTGAACAATCCTTTTGATGGAGCAGTTTTGAAACCCTCTTTCTTTGGAATCTGCAAGGGGATATGTGGACCTCTTTGAAGATTTCACTGGAAACGGGATCATCTTCACATAAGAACTAAACAGAAGCATTCTCAGAAACTACTTTGTGATGTTTGTATTCACCTCCCAGAGTTGAACTTTCCTTTTGAAAGAGCAGCTATGAAACACTCTTTTTCGAGAATCTGCAAGTGGACGTTTGGAGGGCTTTGAGTCCTGTGGTGGAAAAGGAAATATCTTCACATAAAAACTAGATAGAAGCATTCTCAGAAACTACTTTGTGAGGATGGCATTCAACTCATGGAGTTGAACAATCCTATTGATAGAGCAGATTGGAATCACTCTTTTTGTAGAATCTGCAAATGGAGATTTGGACTGCTTTGAGGCCTACGGTCGTATAGGAAGGAACTTCATATAAAAGGCAAACGGAAGCATTCTCAGAATATTCTTTGTGATGATGGAGTTTCACTCACAGAGCTGAACATGCCTTTTGATGGAGCAGTTTCCAAATACACTTTTGGTAGAATCAGCAGGTGGATATTTGGAGCTCTCTGAGGATTTCGTTGGAAACGGGAATAATTTCCCATAACTAAACACAAACACTCTGAGAAAGTTCTTCATGATGAATGCATTTAACTTGCAGAGATGAACCTGCCTTTGAGAGTTCAGGTTCGAAACACTCTTTCTGTAGAATCTGCAAGTGGATATTTGGACCACTGGGTGGCCTTCGTTCGAAACGGGTATATGTTCACGTAAAAACTAAAGAGAAGCATTCTCAGAAACTTCGGAGTGATGATTGCATTCAAGTCACACAGTTGAACCCTCGTTTTGATTGAGCAGGTTTGAAACTGTGTTTTTGTAGAATCTGTAAGTGGATGCGTGGACCTCTTTGAAGATTTCTTTGGAAACGGGAATATTTCCACCGAAAAACTAAACTGAAGCATTCTCAGAAACTGCTTTGTGATGTTTGTGTTCGAGCCGCAGAGTTTAACATTGCTTTTCATAGAGCAGTTTTGAAATATTCTTTTGGCAGAATCTGCAAGTGGACATTTGGAGCGCTTTCAGGCCTGTGGTGGAAAAGGCCTGAAAGCCTTTTCCTTTATCTTCACAGAAAGACGAGAGAGAAGCATTGTCAGAAACTTCTTTGTGATGATTGCATTCAACTCACAGAGTTGAAGATTCCTTTTGAAACAGCAGTTTCGAAACACTCTTTCTGTGGGAACCGCAAGGGGATATTTGGATCTATTTGAAGGTTTCGTTGGAAACTGGATAATCGTCACCTAAAAGCTAAACGGAAGCATTCTCAGAAACTTCTTTGGGATGTTTGCATTCACCTCACAGAGTTGAACTTTCCCTTTGATAGCGCAGCTTCGACACACTTTTTCTACAATGTGCAAGTGGATATTTAGCGGGCTTGGAGGACTGTGTTGGAAAAGGAAATATCTTCTCCTAAAAACGACATAGAAGCATTCTCAGAAACTGCTCTGTGATGATTGCATTCAACTCCCAGAGTTGAACATTCCTTTTGATAGAGCAGTTTGCAAACACTCTTTTTGTAGAATCTGCAAGTGGAGATTTGGACCGCTTTGAGGCCTGTGGTAGTAAAGGAAACAACTTCATATAAAAACCAGACGGTAGCACTCTCAGAAAATTCTTTGTGACGATGGAGTTTAACTCAGAGAGCTGAACATTCGTTATGATGGAGCAGTTTCCAAACACACGTTTTGTAGAATCTGCAAGGGGATATTTGGACCTCTCTGAGGATTTCGTTGGAAATGGGATCAACTTCCCATAACTGAACGGAAGCAAACTCAGAACATTCTTTGTGATGTTTGTATTCAACTCACAGAGTTGAACCTTCCTTTGATAGTTCAGGTTTGCAACACCCTTGTAGTAGAATCTGCAAGTGTATATTTTGACCACTTTGTAGCCTTCGTTTGAAACGTCTATATCTTCACATCAAACCTAGACAGAAGCATTCTCAGAAAGTTTTCTGCGATGACTGCATTCAACTCACAGAGTTGAACAATCCTTTTGATGGAGCAGTTTTGAAACCCTCTTTCTTTGGAATCTGCAAGGGGATATGTGGACCTCTTTGAAGATTTCACTGGAAACGGGATCATCTTCACATAAGAACTAAACAGAAGCATTCTCGGAAACTACTTTGTGATGTTTGTATTCAACTCCCAGAGTTGAACTTTCCTTTTGAAAGAGCAGCTATGAAACACTCTTTTTTGAGAATCTGCAAGCGGACGTTTGGAGGGCTTTGAGGCCTGTGGTGGAAAAGGAAATATCTTCACATTAAAACTAGATAGAAGCATTCTCAGAAACGACTTTGTGAGGATGGCATTCAACTCATGGAGTTGAACAATCCTATTGATAGAGCAGATTGGAATCAGTCTTTTTGTAGAATCTGCAAATGGAGATTTGGACTGCTTTGTGGCCTATGGTAGTATAGGAAGGAACTTCATATAAAAGGCAAACGGAAGCATTCTCAGAATATTCTTTGTGATGATGGAGTTTCACTCACAGAGCTGAACATGCCTTTTGATGGAGCAGTTTCCAAATACACTTTTGGTAGAATCTGCAGGTGGATATTTGGAGCTCTCTGAGGATTTCGTTGGAAACGGGAATAATTTCCCATAACTAAACACAAACACTCTGAGAAAGTTCTTCATGATGAATGCATTTAACTCGCAGAGATGAACCTGCCTTTGAGAGTTCAGGTTCGAAACACTCTTTCTGTAGAATCTGCAAGTGGATATTTGGACCACTGGGTGGCCTTCGTTCGAAACGGGTATATGTTCACGTAAAAACTAAAGAGAAGCATTCTCAGAAACTTCTGAGTGATGATTGCATTCAAGTCACACAGTTGAACCCTCCTTTTGATGGAGCAGTTTTGAAACTGTCTTTTTGTAGAATCTGTAAGTGGATACGTGGACCTCTTTGAAGATTTCTTTGGAAACGGGAATATTTCCACAGAAAAACTAAACTGAAGCATTCTCAGAAACCGCTTTGTGATGTTTGTGTTCCAGCCACAGAGTTTAACATTGCTTTTCATAGAGCAGTTTTGAAATATTCTTTTGGCAGAATCTGCAAGTGGACATTTGGAGCGCTTTCAGGCCTGTGGTGGAAAAGGCCTGAAAGCCTTTTCCTTTATCTTCACAGAAAGACGAGAGAGAAGCATTGTCAGAAACTTCTTTGTGATGATTGCATTCAACTCACAGAGTTGAAGATTCCTTTTGAAACAGCAGTTTCGAAACACTCTTTCTGTGGGATCCGCAAGGGGATATTTGGACCTCTTTGAAGGTTTCGTTGGAAACGGGATAATCTTCACCTAAAAGCTAAACGGAAGCATTCTCAGAAACTTCTTTGGGATGTTTGCATTCACTTCACAGAGTTGAACTTTCCCTTTGATAGCGCAGCTTTGACACACTTTTTCTACAATGTGCAAGTGGCTATTTAGCGGGCTTGGAGGACTGTGTTGGAAAAGGAAATATCTTCTCCTAAAAACGACATAGAAGCATTCTCAGAAACTGCTCTGTGATGATTGCATTCAACTCCCAGAGTTGAACATTCCTTTTGATAGAGCAGTTTGCAAACACTCTTTTTGTAGAATCTGGAAGTGGAGATTTGGACCGCTTTGAGGCCTGTGGTAGTGAAGGAAAGAACTTCATATAAAAACCAGACGGTAGCACTCTCAGAAAATTCTTTGTGACGATGGAGTTTAACTCAGGGAGCTGAACATTCGTTATGATGGAGCAGTTTCCAAACACACGTTTTGTAGAATCTGCAAGGGGATATTTGGACCTCTCTGAGGATTTCGTTGGAAACGGGATCAACTTCCCATAACTGAACGGAAGCAAACTCAGAACATTCTTTGTGATGTTTGTATTCAACTCACAGAGTTGAACCTTCCTTTGATAGTTCAGGTTTGCAACACCCTTGTAGTAGAATCTGCAAGTGTATATTTTGACCACTTTGTAGCCTTCATTTGAAACGTCTATATCTTCACATCAAACCTAGACAGAAGCATTCTCAGAAAGTTTTCTGTGATGACTGCATTCAACTCACAGAGTTGAACAATCCTTCTGATGGAGCAGTTTTGAAACCCTCTTTCTTTGGAATCTGCAAGGGGATATGTGGACCTCTTTGAAGATTTCACTGGAAACGGGATCATCTTCACATAAAAACTAAACAGAAGCATTCTCGGAAACTACTTTGTGATGTTTGTATTCAACTCCCAGAGTTGAACTTTCCTTTTGAAAGAGCAGCTATGAAACACTCTTTTTCGAGAATCTGCAAGTGGACGTTTGGAGGGCTTTGAGGCCTGTGGTGGAAAAGGAAATATCTTCACATAAAAACTAGATAGAAGCATTCTCAGAGACTACTTTGTGAGGATGGCATTCAACTCATGGAGTTGAACAATCCTATTGATAGAGCAGATTGGAATCACTCTTTTTGTAGGATCTGCAAATGGAGATTTGGACTGCTTTGAGGCCTACGGTAGTATAGGAAGGAACTTCATATAAAAGGCAAACGGAAGCATTCTCAGAATATTCTTTGTGATGATGGAGTTTCACTCACAGAGCTGAACATGCCTTTTGATGGAGCAGTTTCCAAATACACTTTTGGTAGAATCTGCAGGTGGATATTTGGACCTCTCTGAGGATTTCGTTGGAAACGGGAATAATTTCCCATACCTAAACAAAAACACTCTGAGAAAGTTCTTCATGATGAATGCATTGAACTCGCAGAGATGAACCTGCCTTTGAGAGTTCAGGTTCGAAACACTCTTTATGTAGAATCTGCAAGTGGATATTTGGACCACTGGGTGGCCTTCATTCGAAACGGGTATATGTTCACGTAAAAACTAAAGAGAAGCATTCTCAGAAACTTCTGCGTGATGATTGCATTCAAGTCACACGGTTGAACACTCCTTTTGATTGAGCAGTTTTGAAACTGTCTTTTTGTAGAATCTGTAAGCGGGTACGTGGACCTCTTTGAAGATTTCTTTGGAAACGGGAATATTTCCACAGAAAAACTAAACTGAAGCATTCTCAGAAACGGCTTTGTGATGTTTGTGTTCGAGCCACAGAGTTTAACATTGCTTTTCGTAGAGCAGCTTTGAAATATTCTTTTGGCAGAATCTGCAAGTGGACATTTGGAGCGCTTTCAGGCCTGTGGTGGAAAAGGCCTGAAAGCCTTTTCCTTTATCTTCACAGAAAGACGAGAGAGAAGCATTGTCAGAAACTTCTTTGTGATGATTGCATTCAACTCACAGAGTTGAAGATTCCTTTTGAAACAGCAGTTTCGAAACACTCTTTCTGTGGGATCCGCAAGGGGATATTTGGACCTCTTTGAAGGTTTCGTTGGAAACGGGATAATCTTCACCTAAAAGCTAAACGGAAGCATTCTCAGAAACTTCTTTGGGATGTTTGCATTCACCTCACAGAGTTGAACTTTCCCTTTGATAGCGCAGCTTTGACACACTTTTCCTACAATGTGCAAGTGGCTATTTAGCGGGCTTGGAAGACTGTGTTGGAAAAGGAAATATCTTCTCCTAAAAACGACATAGAAGCATTCTCAGAAACTGCTCTGTGATGATTGCATTCAACTCCCAGAGTTGAACATTCCTTTTGATAGAGCAGTTTGCAAACACTCTTTTTGTAGAATCTGCAAGTGGAGATTTGGACCGCTTTGAGGCCTGTGGTAGTGAAGGAAAGAACTTCATATAAAAACCAGACGGTAGCACTCTCAGAAAATTCTTTGTGACGATGGAGTTTAACTCAGGGAGCTGAACATTCGTTATGATGGAGCAGTTTCCAAACACACGTTTTGTAGAATCTGCAAGGGGATATTTGGACCTCTCTGAGGATTTCGTTGGAAACGGGATCAACTTCCCATAACTGAACGGAAGCAAACTCAGAACATTCTTTGTGATGTTTGTATTCAACTCACAGAGTTGAACCTTCCTTTGATAGTTCAGGTTTGCAACACCCTTGTAGTAGAATCTGCAAGTGTATATTTTGACCACTTTGTAGCCTTCGTTTGAAACGTCTATATCTTCACATCAAACCTAGACAGAAGCATTCTCAGAAAGTTTTCTGCGATGACTGCATTCAACTCACAGAGTTGAACAATCCTTCTGATGGAGCAGTTTTGAAACCCTCTTTCTTTGGAATCTGCAAGGGGATATGTGGACCTCTTTGAAGATTTCACTGGAAACGGGATCATCTTCACATAAAAACTAAACAGAAGCATTCTCGGAAACTACTTTGTGATGTTTGTATTCAACTCCCAGAGTTGAACTTTCCTTTTGAAAGAGCAGCTATGAAACACTCTTTTTCGAGAATCTGCAAGTGGACGTTTTGAGGGCTTTGAGGCCTGTGGTGGAAAAGGAAATATCTTCACATAAAAACTAGATAGAAGCATTCTCAGAAACTACTTTGTGAGGATGGCATTCAACTCATGGAGTTGAACAATCCTATTGATAGAGCAGATTGGAATCACTCTTTTTGTAGAATCTGCAAATGGAGATTTGGACTGCTTTGAGGCCTACGGTAGTATAGGAAGGAACTTCATATAAAAGGCAAACGGAAGCATTCTCAGAATATTCTTTGTGATGATGGAGTTTCACTCACAGAGCTGAACATGCCTTTTGATGGAGCAGTTTCCAAATACACTTTTGGTAGAATCTGCAGGTGGATATTTGGAGCTCTCTGAGGATTTCGTTGGAAACGGGAATAATTTCCCATAACTAAACACAAACACTCTGAGAATGTTCTTCATGATGAATGCATTTAACTCGCAGAGATGAACCTGCCTTTGAGAGTTCAGGTTCGAAACACTCTTTCTGTAGAATCTGCAAGTGGATATTTGGACCACTGGGTGGCCTTCGTTCGAAACGGGTATATGTTCACGTAAAAACTAAAGAGAAGCATTCTCAGAAACTTCTGAGTGATGATTGCATTCAAGTCACACAGTTGAACCCTCCTTTTGATGGAGCAGTTTTGAAACTGTCTTTTTGTAGAATCTGTAAGTGGATACGTGGACCTCTTTGAAGATTTCTTTGGAAACGGGAATATTTCCACAGAAAAACTAAACTGAAGCATTCTCAGAAACTGCTTTGTGATGTTTGTGTTCGAGCCACAGAGTTTAACATTGCTTTTCATAGAGCAGTTTTGAAATATTCTTTTGGCAGAATCTGCAAGTGGACATTTGGAGCGCTTTCAGGCCTGTGGTGGAAAAGGCCTGAAAGCCTTTTCCTTTATCTTCACAGAAAGACGAGAGAGAAGCATTGTCAGAAACTTCTTTGTGATGATTGCATTCAACTCACAGAGTTGAAGATTCCTTTTGAAACAGCAGTTTCGAAACACTCTTTCTGTGGGATCCGCAAGGGGATATTTGGACCTCTTTGAAGGTTTCGTTGGAAACGGGATAATCTTCACCTAAAAGCTAAACGGAAGCATTCTCAGAAACTTCTTTGGGATGTTTGCATTCACCTCACAGAGTTGAACTTTCCCTTTGATAGCGCAGCTTTGACACACTTTTTCTACAATGTGCAAGTGGCTATTTAGCGGGCTTGGAGGACTGTGTTGGAAAAGGAAATATCTTCTCCTAAAAACGACATAGAAGCATTCTCAGAAACTGCTCTGTGATGATTGCATTCAACTCCCAGAGTTGAACATTCCTTTTGATAGAGCAGTTTGCAAACACTCTTTTTCTAGAATCTGCAAGTGGAGATTTGGACCGCTTTGAGGCCTGTGGTAGTGAAGGAAAGAACTTCATATAAAAACCAGACGGTAGCACTCTCAGAAAATTCTTTGTGACGATGGAGTTTAACTCAGGGAGCTGAACATTCGTTATGATGGAGCAGTTTCCAAACACACGTTTTGTAGAATCTGCGAGGGGATATTTGGACCTCTCTGAGGATTTCGTTGGAAACGGGATCAACTTCCCATAACTGAACGGAAGCAAACTCAGAACATTCTTTGTGATGTTTGTATTCAACTCACAGAGTTGAACCTTCCTTTGATAGTTCAGGTTTGCAACACCCTTGTAGTAGAATCTGCAAGTGTATATTTTGACCACTTTGTAGCCTTCGTTTGAAACGTCTATATCTTCACATCAAACCTAGAAAGAAGCATTCTCAGAAAGTTTTCTGCGATGACTGCATTCAACTCACAGAGTTGAACAATCCTTCTGATGGAGCAGTTTTGAAACCCTCTTTCTTTGGAATCTGCAAGGGGATATGTGGACCTCTTTGATGATTTCACTGGAAACGGGGTCATCTTCACATAAAAACTAAACAGAAGCATTCTCGGAAACTACTTTGTGATGTTTGTATTCAACTCCCAGAGTTGAACTTTCCTTTTGAAAGAGCAGCTATGAAACACTCTTTTTCGAGAATCTGCAAGTGGACGTTTGGAGGGCTTTGAGGCCTGTGGTGGAAAAGGAAATATCTTCACATAAAAACTAGATAGAAGCATTCTCAGAAACTACTTTGTGAGGATGGCATTCAACTCATGGAGTTGAACAATCCTATTGATAGAGCAGATTGGAATCACTCTTTTTGTAGAATCTGCAAATGGAGATTTGGACTGCTTTGAGGCCTACGGTCGTATAGGAAGGAACTTCATATAAAAGGCAAACGGAAGCATTCTCAGAATATTCTTTGTGATGATGGAGTTTCACTCACAGAGCGGAACATGCCTTTTGATGGAGCAGTTTCCAAATACACTTTTGGTAGAATCTGCAGGTGGATATTTGGAGCTCTCTGAGGATTTCGTTGGAAACGGGAATAATTTCCCATAACTAAACACAAACACTCTGAGAAAGTTCTTCAGGATGAATGCATTGAACTCGCAGAGATGAACCTGCCTTTGAGAGTTCAGGTTCGAAACACTCTTTCTGTAGAATCTGCAAGTGGATATTTGGACCACTGGGTGGCCTTCGTTCGAAACGGTTATATGTTCACGTAAAAACTAAAGAGAAGCATTCTCAGAAACTTCTGAGTGATGATTGCATTCAAGTCACACGGTTGAACCCTCCTTTTGATTGAGCAGTTTTGAAACTGTCTTTTTGTAGAATCTGTAAGTGGATACGTGGACCTCTTTGAAGATTTCTTTCGAAACGGGAATATTTCCACAGAAAAACTAAACTGAAGCATTCTCAGAAACGGCTTTGTGATGTTTGTGTTCGAGCCACAGAGTTTAACATTGCTTTTCATAGAGCAGTTTTGAAATATTCTTTTGGCAGAATCTGCAAGTGGACATTTGGAGCGCTTTCAGGCCTGTGGTGGAAAAGGCCTGAAAGCCTTTTCCTTTATCTTCACAGAAAGACGAGAGAGAAGCATTGTCAGAAACTTCTTTGTGATGATTGCATTCAACCCACAGAGTTGAAGATTCCTTTTGAAACAGCATTTTCGAAACACTCTTTCTGTGGGATCCGCAATGGGATATTTGGACCTCTTTGAAGATTTCGTTGGAAACGGGATAATCTGCACCTAAAAGCTAAACGGAAGCATTCTCAGAAACTTCTTTGGGATGTTTGCATTCACCTCACAGAGTTGAACTTTCCCTTTGATAGCGCAGCTTCGACACACTGTTTCTACAATGTGCAAGTGGATATTTAGCGGGCTTGGAGGACTGTGTTGGAAAAGGAAATATCTTCTCCTAAAAACGACATAGAAGCATTCTCAGGAACTGCTCTGTGATGATTGCATTCAACTCCCAGAGTTGAACATTCCTTTTGATAGAGCAGTTTGCAAACACTCTTTTTGTAGAATCTGCAAGTGGAGATTTGGACCGCTTTGAGGCCTGTGGTAGTAAAGGAAAGAACTTCATATAAAAACTAGACGGTAGCACTCTCAGAAAATTCTTTGTGACGATGGAGTTTAACTCAGAGAGCTGAACATTCGTTATGATGGAGCAGTTTCCAAACACACGTTTTGCAGAATCTGCAAGGGGATATTTGGACCTCTCTGAGGATTTCGTTGCAAACGGGATCAACTTCCCATAACTGAACGGAAGCAAACTCAGAACATTCTTTGTGATGTTTGTATTCAACTCACAGAGTTGAACCTTCCTTTGATAGTTCAGGTTTGCAACACCCTTGTAGTAGAATCTGCAAGTGTATATTTTGACCACTTTGTAGCCTTCGTTTGAAACGTCTATATCTTCACATTAAACCTAGACAGAAGCATTCTCAGAAAGTTTTCTGCGATGACTGCATTCAACTCACAGAGTTGAACAATCCTTTTGATGGAGCAGTTTTGAAACCCTCTTTCTTTGGAATCTGCAAGGGGATATGTGGACCTCTTTGAAGATTTCACTGGAAACGGGATCATCTTCACATAAGAACTAAACAGAAGCATTCTCGGAAACTACTTTGTGATGTTTGTATTCAACTCCCAGAGTTGAACTTTCCTTTTGAAAGAGCAGCTATGAAACACTCTTTTTCGAGAATCTGCAAGTGGATGTTTGGAGGGCTTTGAGTCCTGTGGTGGAAAAGGAAATATCTTCACATAAAAACTAGATAGAAGCATTCTCAGAAACGACTTTGTGAGGAAGGCATTCAACTCATGGAGTTGAACAATCCTATTGATAGAGCAGATTGGAATCACTCTTTTTGTAGAATCTGCAAATGGAGATTTGGACTGCTTTGAGGCCTACGGTAGTATAGGAAGGAACTTCATATAAAAGGCAAACGGAAGCATTCTCAGAATATTCTTTGTGATGATGGAGTTTCACTCACAGAGCTGAACATGCCTTTTCATGGAGCAGTTTCCAAATACACTTTTGGTAGAATCTGAAGGTGGATATTTGGACCTCTCTGAGGATTTCGTTGGAAACGGGAATAATTTCCCATAACTGAACACAAACACTCTGAGAAAGTTCTTCATGATGAATGCATTTAACTCGCAGAGATGAACCTGCCTTTGAGAGTTCAGGTTCGAAACACTCTTTCTGTAGAATCTGCAAGTGGATATTTGGACCACTGGCTGGCCTTCGTTCGAAACGAGTATATGTTCACGTAAAAACTAAAGAGATGCATTCTCAGAAACTTCTGAGTGATGATTGCATTCAAGTCACACAGTTGAACCCTCCTTTTGATTGAGCAGTTTTGAAACTGTCTTTTTGTAGAATCTGTAAGTGGATGCGTGGACCTCTTTGAAGATTTCTTTGGAAACGGGAATATTTCCACAGAAAAACTAAACTGAAGCATTCTCAGAAACTGCTTTGTTATGTTTGTGTTCGAGCCGCAGAATTTAACATTGCTATTCATAGAGCAGTTTTGAAATATTCTTTTGGCAGAATCTGCAAGTGGACATTTGGAGCGCTTTCAGGCCTGTGGTGGAAAAGGCCTGAAAGCCTTTTCCTTTATCTTCACAGAAAGATGAGAGAGAAGCATTGTCAGAAACTTCTTTGTGATGATTGCATTCAACTCACAGAGTTGAAGATTCCTTTTGAAACAGCAGTTTCGAAACACTCTTTCTGTGGGATCCGCAAGGGGATATTTGGACCTCTTTGAAGATTTCGTTGCAAACGGGATAATCTTCACCTAAAAGCTAAACGGAAGCATTCTCAGAAACTTCTTTGGGATGTTTGCATTCACCTCACAGAGTTGAACATTCCCTTTGATAGCGCAGCTTCGACACACTTTTTCTAAAATGTGCAAGTGGATATTTAGCGGGCTTGGAGGACTGTGTTGGAAAAGGAAATATCTTCTCCTAAAAACCACATAGAAGCATTCTCAGAAACTGCTCTGTGATGATTGCATTCAACTCCCAGAGTTGAACATTCCTTTTGATAGAGCAGTTTGCAAACACTCTTTTTGTAGAATCTGCAAGTGGAGATTTGGACCGCTTTGAGGCCTGGGGTAGTAAAGGAAAGAACTTCATATAAAAACTAGACGGTAGCACTCTTCGAAAATTCTTTGTGACGATGGAGTTTAACTCAGAGAGCTGAACATTCGTTATGATGGAGCAGTTTCCAAACACACGTTTTGTAGAATCTGCAAGGGGATATTTGGACCTCTCTGAGGATTTCTTTGGAAACGGGATCAACTTCCCATAACTGAACTGAAGCAACCTCAGAACATTCTTTGTGATGTTTGTATTCAACTCACAGAGTTGAACCTTCCTTTGATAGTTCAGGTTTGCATCACCCTTGTAGTAGAATCTGCAAGTGTATATTTTGACCACTTTGTAGCCTTCGTTTGAAACGTCTATATCTTCACATCAAACCTAGACAGAAGCATTCTCAGAAAGTTTTCTGCGATGACTGCATTCAACTCACAGAGTTGAACAATCCTTTTGATGGAGCAGTTTTGAAACCCTCTTTCTTTGGAATCTGCAAGGGGATATGTGGACCTCTTTGAAGATTTCACTGGAAACGGGATCATCTTCACATAAGAACTAAACAGAAGCATTCTCGGAAACTACTTTGTGATGTTTGTATTCAACTCCCAGAGTTGAACTTTCCTTTTGAAAGAGCAGCTATGAAACACTCTTTTTCGAGAATCTGCAAGTGGACGTTTGGAGGGCTTTGAGGCCTGTGGTGGAAAAGGAAATATCTTCACATAAAAACTAGATAGAAGCATTCTCAGAAACTACTTTGTGAGGATGGCATTCAACTCATGGAGTTGAACAATCCTATTGATAGAGCAGATTGGAATCACTCTTTTTGTAGAATCTGCAAATGGAGATTTGGACTGCTTTGAGGCCTAAGGTCGTATAGGAAGGAACTTCATATAAAAGGCAAACGGAAGCATTCTCAGAATATTCTTTGTGATGATGGAGTTTCACTCACAGAGCTGAACATGCCTTTTGATGGAGCAGTTTCCAAATACACTTTTGGTAGAATCTGCAGGTGGATATTTGGAGCTCTTTGAGGATTTCGTTGGAAACGGGAATAATTTCCCATAACTAAACACAAACACGCTGAGAAAGTTCTTCATGATGAATGCATTTAACTCGCAGAGATGAACCTGCCTTTGAGAGTTCAGGTTCGAAACACTCTTTCTGTAGAATCTGCAAGTGGATATTTGGACCACTGGGTGGCCTTCGTTCGAAACGGGTATATGTTCACGTAAAAACTAAAGAGAAGCGTTCTCAGAAACTTCTGAGTGATGATTGCATTCAAGTCACACAGTTGAACCCTCGTTTTGATTGAGCAGTTTTGAAACTGTCTTTTTGTAGAATCTGTAAGTGGATGCGTGGACCTCTTTGAAGATTTCTTTGGAAACGGGAATATTTCCACAGAAAAACTAAACTGAAGCATTCTCAGAAACTGCTTTGTGATGTTTGTGTTCGAGCCACAGAGTTTAACATTGCTTTTCATAGAGCAGTTTTGAAATATTCTTTTGGCAGAATCTGCAAGTGGACATTTGGAGCGCTTTCAGGCCTGTGGTGGAAAAGGCCTGAAAGCCTTTTCCTTTATCTTCACAGAAAGACGAGAGAGAAGCATTGTCAGAAACTTCTTTGTGATGATTGCATTCAACTCACAGAGTTGAAGATTCCTTTTGAAACAGCAGTTTCGAAACACTCTTTCTGTGGGATCCGCAAGGGGATATTTGGACTTCTTTGAAGATTTCGTTGGAAACGGGATAATCTTCACCTAAAAGCTAAACGGAAGCATTCTCAGAAACTTCTTTGGGATGTTTGCATTCACCTCACAGAGTTGAACTTTCCCTTTGATAGCGCAGCTTCGACACACTTTTTCTAAAATGTGCAAGTGGATATTTAGCGGGCTTGCAGGACTGTGTTGGAAAAGGAAATATCTTCTCCTAAAAACCACATAGAAGCATTCTCAGAAACTGCTCTGTGATGATTGCATTCAACTCCCAGAGTTGAACATTCCTTTTGATAGAGCAGTTTGCAAACACTCTTTTTGTAGAATCTGCAAGTGGAGATTTGGAAAAGCTTTGAGGCCTGTGGTAGTAAAGGAAACAACTTCATATAAAAACTAGACGGTAGCACTCTCAGAAAATTCTTTGTGACGATGGAGTTTAACTCAGGGAGCTGAACATTCGTTATGATGGAGCAGTTTCCAAACACACGTTTTGTAGAATCTGCGAGGGGATATTTGGACCTCTCTGAGGATTTCGTTGGAAACGGGATCAACTTCCCATAACTGAACGGAAGCAAACTCAGAACATTCTTTGTGATGTTTGTATTCAATTCACAGAGTTGAACCTTCCTTTGATAGTTCAGGTTTGCAACACCCTTGTAGTAGAATCTGCAAGTGTATATTTTGACCACTTTGTAGCCTTCGTTTGAAACGTCTATATCTTCACATCAAACCTAGACAGAAGCATTCTCAGAAAGTTTTCTGCGATGACTGCATTCAACTCACAGAGTTGAACAATCCTTCTGATGGAGCAGTTTTGAAACCCTCTTTCTTTGGAATCTGCAAGGGGATATGTGGACCTCTTTGAAGATTTAACTGGAAACGGGATCATCTTCACATAAAAACTAAACAGAAGCATTCTCGGAAACTACTTTGTGATGTTTGTATTCAACTCCCAGAGTTGAACTTTCCTTTTGAAAGAGCAGCTATGAAACACTCTTTTTCGAGAATCTGCAAGTGGACGTTTGGAGGGCTTGGAGGCCTGTGGTGGAAAAGGAAATACCTTCACATAAAAACTAGATAGAAGCATTCTCAGAAACTACTTTGTGAGGATGGCATTCAACTCATGGAGTTGAGCAATCCTATTGATAGAGCAGATTGGAATCACTCTTTTTGTAGAATCTGCAAATGGAGATTTGGACTGCTTTGAGGCCTACGGTCGTATAGGAAGGAACTTCAGATAAAAGGCAAACGGAAGCATTCTCAGAATATTCTTTGTGATGATGGAGTTTCACTCACAGAGCTGAACATGCCTTTTGATGGAGCAGTTTCCAAATACACTTTTGGTAGAATCTGCAGGTGGATATTTGGACCACTCTGAGGATTTCGTTGGAAACGGGAATAATTTCCCATAACTAAACACAAACACTCTGAGAAAGTTCTTCATGATGAATGCATTTAACTCGCAGAGATGAACCTGCCTTTGAGAGTTCAGGTTCGAAACACTCTTTCTGTAGAATCTGCAAGTGGATATTTGGACCACTGGGTGGCGTTCGTTCGAAACGGGTATATGTTCACGTAAAAACTAAAGAGAAGCGTTCTCATAAACTTCTGAGTGATGATTGCATTCAAGTCACACAGTTGAACTCTCCTTTTGATTGAGCAGTTTTGAAACTGTCTTTTTGTAGAATCTGTAAGTGGATGCGTGGACCTCTTTGAAGATTTCTTTGGAAACGGGAATATTTCCACAGAAAAACTAAACTGAAGCATTCTCAGAAACCGCTTTGTGATGTTTGTGTTCGAACCACAGAGTTTAACATTGCTTTTCATAGAGCAGTTTTGAAATATTCTTTTGGCAGAATCTGCAAGTGGACATTTGGAGCGCTTTCAGGCCTGTGGTGGAAAAGGCCTGAAAGCCTTTTCCTTTATCTTCACAGAAAGACGAGAGAGAAGCATTGTCAGAAACTTCTTTGTGATGATTGCATTCAACTCACAGAGTTGAAGATTCCTTTTGAAACAGCAGTTTCGAAACACTCTTTCTGTGGGATCCGCAAGGGGATATTTGGACCTCTGTGAAGATTTCGTTGGAAACGGGATAATCTTCACCTAAAAGCTAAACGGAAGCATTCTCAGAAACTTCTTTGGGATGTTTGCATTCACCTCACAGAGTTGAACTTTCCCTTTGATAGCGCAGCTTCGACACACTTTTTCTACAATGTGCAAGTGGATATTTAGCGGGCTTGGAGGACTGTGTTGGAAAAGGAAATATCTTCTCCTAAAAACGACATAGAAGCATTCTCAGCAAACTGCTCTGTGATGATTGCATTCAACTCCCAGGAGTTGAACATTCCTTTTGATAGAGCAGTTTGCAAACACTCTTTTTGTAGAATCTGCAAGTGGAGATTTGGACCGCTTTGAGGCCTGTGGTAGTAAAGGAAAGAACTTCATATAAAAACTAGACGGTAGCACTCTCAGAAAATTCTTTGTGACGATGGAGTTTAACTCAGGGAGCTGAACATTCGTTATGATGGAGCAGTTTCCAAACACACGTTTTGTAGAATCTGCGAGGGGATATTTGGACCTCTCTGAGGATTTCGTTGGAAACGGGATCAACTTCCCATAACTGAACGGAAGCAAACTCAGAACATTCTTTGTGATGTTTGTATTCAATTCACAGAGTTGAACCTTCCTTTGATAGTTCAGGTTTGCAACACCCTTGTAGTAGAATCTGCAAGTGTATATTTTGACCACTTTGTAGCCTTCGTTTGAAACGTCTATATCTTCACATCAAACCTAGACAGAAGCATTCTCAGAAAGTTTTCTGCGATGACTGCATTCAACTCACAGAGTTGAACAATCCTTCTGATGGAGCAGTTTTGAAACCCTCTTTCTTTGGAATCTGCAAGGGGATATGTGGACCTCTTTGAAGATTTCACTGGAAACGGGATCATCTTCACATAAAAACTAAACAGAAGCATTCTCGGAAACTACTTTGTGATGTTTGTATTCAACTCCCAGAGTTGAACTTTCCTTTTGAAAGAGCAGCTATGAAACACTCTTTTTCGAGAATCTGAAAGTGGACGTTTGGAGGGCTTTGAGGCCTGTGGTGGAAAAGGAAATATCTTCACATAAAAACTAGATAGAAGCATTCTCAGAAACGACATTGTGAGGATGGCATTCAACTCATGGAGTTGAACAATCCTATTGATAGAGCAGATTGGAATCACTCTTTTTGTAGAATCTGCAAATGGAGATTTGGACTGCTTTGAGGCCTACGGTAGTATAGGAAGGAACTTCATATAAAAGGCAAACGGAAGCATTCTCAGAATATTCTTTGTGATGATGGAGTTTCACTCACAGAGCTGAACATGCCTTTTGATGGAGCAGTTTCCAAATACACTTTTGGTAGAATCTGCAGGTGGATATTTGGAGCTCTCTGAGGATTTCGTTGGAAACGGGAATAATTTCCCATAACTAAACACAAACACTCTGAGAAAGTTCTTCATGATGAATGCATTTAACTCGCAGAGATGAACGTGCCTTTGAGAGTTCAGGTTCGAAACACTCTTTCTGTAGAATCTGCAAGTGGATATTTGGACCACTGGCTGGCCTTCGTTCGAAACGGGTATATGTTCACGTAAAAACTAAAGAGAAGCATTCTCAGAAACTTGTGAGTGATGATTGCATTCAAGTCACACAGTTGAACCCTCCTTTTGATGGAGCAGTTTTGAAACTGTCTTTTTGTAGAATCTGTAAGTGGATACGTGGACCTCTTTGAAGATTTCTTTGGAAACGGGAATATTTCCACAGAAAAACTAAACTGAAGCTTTCTCAGAAACCGCTTTGTGATGTTTGTGTTCGAGCCACAGAGTTTAACATTGCTTTTCATAGAGCAGTTTTGAAATATTCTTTTCGCAGAATCTGCAAGTGGACATTTGGAGCGCTTTCAGGCCTGTGGTGGAAAAGGCCTGAAAGCCTTTTCCTTTATCTTCACAGAAAGACGAGAGAGAAGCATTGTCAGAAACTTCTTTGTGATGATTGCATTCAACTCACAGAGTTGAAGATTCCTTTTGAAACAGCAGTTTCGAAACACTCTTTCTGTGGGATCCGCAAGGGGATATTTGGACCTCTTTGAAGGTTTCGTTGGAAACGGGATAATCTTCACCTAAAAGCTAAACGGAAGCATTCTCAGAAACTTCTTTGGGATGTTTGCATTCACCTCACAGAGTTGAACTTTCCCTTTGATAGCGCAGCTTCGACACACTTTTTCTACAATGTGCAAGTGGATATTTAGCGGGCTTGGAGGAATGTGTTGGAAAAGGAAATATCTTCTCCTAAAAACCACATAGAAGCATTCTCAGAAACTGCTCTGTGATGATTGCATTCAACTCCCAGAGTTGAACATTCCTTTTGATAGAGCAGTTTGCAAACACTCTTTTTGTAGAATCTGCAAGTGGAGATTTGGACCGCTTTGAGGCCTGTGGTAGTGAAGGAAAGAACTTCATATAAAAACCAGACGGTAGCACTCTCAGAAAATTCTTTGTGACGATGGAGTTTAACTCAGGGAGCTGAACATTCCTTATGATGGAGCAGTTTCCAAACACACGTTTTGTAGAATCTGCGAGGGGATATTTGGACCTCTCTGAGGATTTCGTTGGAAACGGGATCAACTTCCCATAACTGAACGGAAGCAAACTCAGAACATTCTTTGTGATGTTTGTATTCAACTCACAGAGTTGAACCTTCCTTTGATAGTTCAGGTTTGCAACACCCTTGTAGTAGAATCTGCAAGTGTATATTTTGACCACTTTGTAGCCTTCGTTTGAAACGTCTATATCTTCACATCAAACCTAGACAGAAGCATTCTCAGAAAGTTTTCTGCGATGACTGCATTCAACTCACAGAGTTGAACAATCCTTCTGATGGAGCAGTTTTGAAACCCTCTTTCTTTGGAATCTGCAAGGGGATATGTGGACCTCTTTGAAGATTTCACTGGAAACGGGATCATCTTCACATAAAAACTAAACAGAAGCATTCTCGGAAACTACTTTGTGATGTTTGTATTCAACTCCCAGAGTTGAACTTTCCTTTTGAAAGAGCAGCTATGAAACACTCTTTTTCGAGAATCTGCAAGTGGACGTTTGGAGGGCTTTGAGGCCTGTGGTGGAAAAGGAAATATCTTCACATAAAAACTAGATAGAAGCATTCTCAGAAACTACTTTGTGAGGATGGCATTCAACTCATGGAGTTGAACAATCCTATTGATAGAGCAGATTGGAATCACTCTTTTTGTAGAATCTGCAAATGGAGATTTGGACTGCTTTGAGGCCTACGGTCGTATAGGAAGGAACTTCATATAAAAGGCAAACGGAAGCATTCTCAGAATATTCTTTGTGATGATGGAGTTTCACTCACAGAGCTGAACATGCCTTTTGATGGAGCAGTTTCCAAATACACTTTTGGTAGAATCTGCAGGTGGATATTTGGAGCTCTCTGAGGATTTCGTTGGAAACGGGAATAATTTCCCATAACTAAACACAAACACTCTGAGAAAGTTCTTCATGATGAATGCATTTAACTCGCAGAGATGAACCTGCCTTTGAGAGTTCAGGTTCGAAACACTCTTTCTGTAGAATCTGCAAGTGGATATTTGGACCACTGGCTGGCCTTCGTTCGAAACGGGTATATGTTCACGTAAAAACTAAAGAGAAGCATTCTCAGAAACTTCTGAGTGATGATTGCATTCAAGTCACACAGTTGAACCCTCCTTTTGATGGAGCAGTTTTGAAACTGTCTTTTTGTAGAATCTGTAAGTGGATACGTGGACCTCTTTGAAGATTTCTTTGGAAACGGGAATATTTCCACAGAAAAACTAAACTGAAGCATTCTCAGAAACTGCTTTGTGATGTTTGTGTTCGAGCCACAGAGTTTAACATTGCTTTTCATAGAGCAGTTTTGAAATATTCTTTTGGCAGAATCTGCAAGTGGACATTTGGAGCGCTTTCAGGCCTGTGGTGGAAAAGGCCTGAAAGCCTTTTCCTTTATCTTCACAGAAAGACGAGAGAGAAGCATTGTCAGAAACTTCTTTGTGATGATTGCATTCAACTCACAGAGTTGAAGATTCCTTTTGAAACAGCAGTTTCGAAACACTCTTTCTGTGGGATCCACAAGGGGATATTTGGACCTCTTTGAAGGTTTCGTTGGAAACGGGATAATCTTCACCTAAAAGCTAAACGGAAGCATTCTCAGAAACTTCTTTGGGATGTTTGCATTCACCTCACAGAGTTGAACTTTCCCTTTGATAGCGCAGCTTTGACACACTTTTTCTACAATGTGCAAGTGGCTATTTAGCGGGCTTGGAGGACTGTGTTGGAAAAGGAAATATCTTCTCCTAAAAACGACATAGAAGCATTCTCAGAAACTGCTCTGTGATGATTGCATTCAACTCCCAGAGTTGAACATTCCTTTTGATAGAGCAGTTTGCAAACACTCTTTTTGTAGAATCTGCAAGTGGAGATTTGGACCGCTTTGAGGCCTGTGGTAGTGAAGGAAAGAACTTCATATAAAAACCAGACGGTAGCACTCTCAGAAAATTCTTTGTGACGATGGAGTTTAACTCAGGGAGCTGAACATTCGTTATGATGGAGCAGTTTCCGAACACACGTTTTGTAGAATCTGCAAGGGGATATTTGGACCTCTCTGAGGATTTCGTTGGAAACGGGATCAACTTCCCATAACTGAACGGAAGCAAACTCAGAACATTCTTTGTGATGTTTGTATTCAACTCCCAGAGTTGAAATTTCCTTTTGAAAGAGCAGCTATGAAACACTCTTTTTCGAGAATCTGCAAGTGGACTTTTGGAGGGCTTTGAGGCCTGTGGTGGAAAAGGAAATATCTTCACATAAAAACTAGATAGAAGCATTCTCAGAAACTACTTTGTGAGGATGGCATTCAACTCATGGAGTTGAACAATCCTATTGATAGAGCAGATTGGAATCACTCTTTTTGTAGAATCTGCAAATGGAGATTTGGACTGCTTTGAGGCCTACGGTAGTATAGGAAGGAACTTCATATAAAAGGCAAACGGAAGCATTCTCAGAATATTCTTTGTGATGATGGAGTTTCACTCACAGAGCTGAACATGCCTTTTGATGGAGCAGTTTCCAAATACACTTTTGGTAGAATCTGCAGGTGGATATTTGGAGCTCTCTGAGGATTTCGTTGGAAACGGGAATAATTTCCCATAACTAAACACAAACACTCTGAGAAAGTTCTTCATGATGAATGCATTTAACTTGCAGAGATGAACCTGCCTTTGAGAGTTCAGGTTCGAAACACTCTTTCTGTAGAATCTGCAAGTGGATATTTGGACCACTGGGTGGCCTTCGTTCGAAACGGGTATATGTTCACGTAAAAACTAAAGAGAAGCATTCTCAGAAACTTCTGAGTGATGATTGCATTCAAGTCACACAGTTGAACCCTCCTTTTGATGGAGCAGTTTTGAAACTGTCTTTTTATAGAATCTGTAAGTGGATACGTGGACCTCTTTGAAGATTTCTTTGGAAACGGGAATATTTCCACAGAAAAACTAAACTGAAGCATTCTCAGAAACTGCTTTGTGATGTTTGTGTTCGAGCCACAGAGTTTAACATTGCTTTTCGTAGAGCAGCTTTGAAATATTCTTTTGGCAGAATCTGCAAGTGGACATTTGGAGCGCTTTCAGGCCTGTGGTGGAAAAGGCCTGAAAGCCTTTTCCTTTATCTTCACAGAAAGACGAGAGAGAAGCATTGTCAGAAACTTCTTTGTGATGATTGCATTCAACTCACAGAGTTGAAGATTCCTTTTGAAACAGCAGTTTCGAAACACTCTTTCTGTGGGATCCGCAAGGGGATATTTGGACCTCTTTGAAGGTTTCGTTGGAAACGGGATAATCTTCACCTAAAAGCTAAACGGAAGCATTCTCAGAAACTTCTTTGGGATGTTTGCATTCACCTCACAGAGTTGAACTTTCCCTTTGATAGCGCAGCTTCGACACACTTTTTCTACAATGTGCAAGTGGATATTTAGCGGGCTTGGAGGAATGTGTTGGAAAAGGAAATATCTTCTCCTAAAAACCACATAGAAGCATTCTCAGAAACTGCTCTGTGATGATTGCATTCAACTCCCAGAGTTGAACATTCCTTTTGATAGAGCAGTTTGCAAACACTCTTTTTGTAGAATCTGCAAGTGGAGATTTGGACCGCTTTGAGGCCTGTGGTAGTGAAGGAAAGAACTTCATATAAAAACCAGACGGTAGCACTCTCAGAAAATTCTTTGTGACGATGGAGTTTAACTCAGGGAGCTGAACATTCGTTATGATGGAGCAGTTTCCAAACACACGTTTTGTAGAATCTGCAAGGGGATATTTGGACCTCTCTGAGGATTTCGTTGGAAACGGGATCAACTTCCCATAACTGAACGGAAGCAAACTCAGAACATTCTTTGTGATGTTTGTATTCAACTCACAGAGTTGAACCTTCCTTTGATAGTTCAGGTTTGCAACACCCTTGTAGTAGAATCTGCAAGTGTATATTTTGACCACTTTGTAGCCTTCGTTTGAAACGTCTATATCTTCATATCAAACCTAGACAGAAGCATTCTCAGAAAGTTTTCTGCGATGACTGCATTCAACTCACAGAGTTGAACAATCCTTCTGATGGAGCAGTTTTGAAACCCTCTTTCTTTGGAATCTGCAAGGGGATATGTGGACCTCTTTGAAGATTTCACTGGAAACGGGATCATCTTCACATAAAAACTAAACAGAAGCATTCTCGGAAACTATTTTGTGATGTTTGTATTCAACTCCCAGAGTTGAACTTTCCTTTTGAAAGAGCAGCTATGAAACACTCTTTTTCGAGAATCTGCAAGTGGACGTTTGGAGGGCTTTGAGGCCTGTGGTGGAAAAGGAAATATCTTCACACAAAAACCAGATAGAAGCATTCTCAGAAACTACTTTGTGAGGATGGCATTCAACTCATGGAGTTGAACAATCCTATTGATAGAGCAGATTGGAATCACTCTTTTTGTAGAATCTGCAAATGGAGATTTGGACTGCTTTGAGGCCTACAGTAGTACAGGAAGGAACTTCATATAAAAGGCAAACGGAAGCATTCTCAGAATATTCTTTGTGATGATGGAGTTTCACTCACAGAGCTGAACATGCCTTTTGATGGAGCAGTTTCCAAATACACTTTTGGTAGAATCTGCAGGTGGATATTTGGAGCTCTCTGAGGATTTCGTTGGAAACGGGAATAATTTCCCATAACTAAACACAAACACTCTGAGAAAGTTCTTCATGATGAATGCATTTAACTCACAGAGATGAACCTGCCTTTGAGAGTTCAGGTTCGAAACACTCTTTCTGTAGAATCTGCAAGTGGATATTTGGACCACTGGGTGGCCTTCGTTCGAAACGGGTATATGTTCACGTAAAAACTAAAGAGAAGCATTCTCAGAAACTTCTGAGTGATGATTGCATTCAAGTCACACAGTTGAACCCTCCTTTTGATGGAGCAGTTTTGAAACTGTCTTTTTGTAGAATCTGTAAGTGGATACGTGGACCTCTTTGAAGATTTCTTTGGAAACGGGAATATTTCCACAGAAAAACTAAACTGAATCATTCTCAGAAACTGCTTTGTGATGTTTGTGTTCGAGCCACAGAGTTTAACATTGCGTTTCATAGAGCAGTTTTGAAATATTCTTTTCGCAGAATCTGCAAGTGGACATTTGGAGCGCTTTCAGGCCTGTGGTGGAAAAGGCCTGAAAGCCTTTTCCTTTATCTTCACAGAAAGACGAGAGAGAAGCATTGTCAGAAACTTCTTTGTGATGATTGCATTCAACTCACAGAGTTGAAGATTCCTTTTGAAACAGCAGTTTCGAAACACTCTTTCTGTGGGATCCGCAAGGGGATATTTGGACCTCTTTGAAGGTTTCGTTGGAAACGGGATAATCTTCACCTAAAAGCTAAACGGAAGCATTCTCAGAAACTTCTTTGGGATGTTTGCATTCACCTCACAGAGTTGAACTTTCCCTTTGATAGCGCAGCTTTGACACACTTTTTCTACAATGTGCAAGTGGCTATTTAGCGGGCTTGGAGGATTGTGTTGGAAAAGGAAATATCTTCTCCTAAAAACGACATAGAAGCATTCTCAGAAACTGCTCTGTGATGATTGCATTCAACTCCCAGAGTTGAACATTCCTTTTGATAGAGCAGTTTGCAAACACTCTTTTTGTAGAATCTGCAAGTGGAGACTTGGACCGCTTTGAGGCCTGTGGTAGTGAAGGAAAGAACTTCATATAAAAACCATACGGTAGCACTCTCAGAAAATTCTTTGTGAGGATGGAGTTTAACTCAGGGAGCTGAACATTCGTTATGATGGAGCAGTTTCCAAACACACCTTTTGTAGAATCTGCAAGGGGATATTTGGACCTCTCTGAGGATTTCGTTGGAAACGGGATCAACTTCCCATAACTGAACGGAAGCAAACTCAGAACATTCTTTGTGATGTTTGTATTCAACTCACAGAGTTGAACCTTCCTTTGATAGTTCAGGTTTGCAACACCCTTGTAGTAGAATCTGCAAGTGTATATTTTGACCACTTTGTAGCCTTCGTTTGAAACGTCTATATCTTCACATCAAACCTAGAAAGAAGCATTCTCAGAAAGTTTTCTGCGATGACTGCATTCAACTCACAGAGTTGAACAATCCTTCTGATGGAGCAGTTTTGAAACCCTCTTTCTTTGGAATCTGCAAGGGGATATGTGGACCTCTTTGAAGATTTCACTGGAAACGGGATCATCTTCACATAAAAACTAAACAGAAGCATTCTCGGAAACTACTTTGTGATGTTTGTATTCAACTCCCAGAGTTGAACTTTCCTTTTGAAAGAGCAGCTATGAAACACTCTTTTTCGAGGATCTGCAAGTGGACGTTTGGAGGGCTTTGAGGCCTGTGGTGGAAAAGGAAATATCTTCACATAAAAACTAGATAGAAGCATTCTCAGAAACTACTTTGTGAGGATGGCATTCAACTCATGGAGTTGAACAATCCTATTGATAGAGCAGATTGGAATCACTCTTTTTGTAGAATCTGCAAATGGAGATTTGGACTGCTTTGAGGCCTACGGTAGTATAGGAAGGAACTTCATATAAAAGGCAAACGGAAGCATTCTCAGAATATTCTTTGTGATGACGGAGTTTCACTCACAGAGCTGAACATGCCTTTTCATGGAGCAGTTTCCAAATACACTTTTGGTAGAATCTGCAGGTGGATATTTGGAGCTCTCTGAGGATTTCCTTGGAAACGGGAATAATTTCCCATAACTAAACACAAACACGCTGAGAAAGTTCTTCATGATGAATGCATTTAACTCGCAGAGATGAACCTGCCTTTGAGAGTTCAGGTTCGAAACACTCTTTCTGTGGAATCTTCAAGTGGATATTTGGACCACTGGCTGGCCTTCATTCCAAACGGGTATATGTTCACGTAAAAACTAAAGAGAAGCATTCTCAGAAACTTCTGAGTGATGATTGCATTCAAGTCACACAGTTGAACCCTCGTTTTGATGGAGCAGTTTTGAAACTGTCTTTTTGTAGAATCTGTAAGTGGATACGTGGACCTCTTTGAAGATTTCTTTGGAAACGGGAATATTTCCACAGAAAAACTAAACTGAAGCATTCTCAGAAACCGCTTTGTGATGTTTGTGTTTGAGCCGCAGAGTTTAACATTGCTTTTCATAGAGCAGTTTTGAAATATTCTTTTGGCAGAATCTGCAAGTGGACATTTGGAGCGCTTTCAGGCCTGTGGTGGAAAAGGCCTGAAAGCCTTTTCCTTTATCTTCACAGAAAGACGAGAGAGAAGCATTGTCAGAAACTTCTTTGTGATGATTGCATTCAACTCACAGAGTTGAAGATTCCTTTTGAAACAGCAGTTTCGAAACACTCTTTCTGTGGGATCCGCAAGGGGATATTTGGACCTCTTTGAAGGTTTCGTTGGAAACGGGATAATCTTCACCTAAAAGCTAAACGGAAGCATTCTCAGAAACATCTTTGGGATGTTTGCATTCACCTCACAGAGTTGAACTTTCCCTTTGATAGCGCAGCTTTGACACACTTTTTCTACAATGTGCAAGTGGCTATTTAGCGGGCTTGGAGGACTGTGTTGGAAAAGGAAATATCTTCTCCTAAAAACGACATAGAAGCATTCTCAGAAACTGCTCTGTGATGATTGCATTCAACTCCCAGAGTTGAACATTCCTTTTGATAGAGCAGTTTGCAAACACTCTTTTTGTAGAATCTGGAAGTGGAGATTTGGACCGCTTTGAGGCCTGGGGTAGTGAAGGAAAGAGCTTCATATAAAAACCAGACGGTAGCACTCTCAGAAAATTCTTTGTGACGATGGAGTTTAACTCAGGGACCTGAACATTCGTTATGATGGAGCAGTTTCCAAACACACGTTTTGTAGAATCTGCAAGGGGATATTTGGACCTCTCTGAGGATTTGGTTGGAAACGGGATCAACTTCCCATAACTGAACGGAAGCAAACTCAGAACATTCTTTGTGATGTTTGTATTCAACTCACAGAGTTGAACCTTCCTTTGATAGTTCAGGTTTGCAACACCCTTGTAGTAGAATCTGCAAGTGTATATTTTGACCACTTTGTAGCCTTCGTTTGAAACGTCTATATCTTCACATCAAACCTAGACAGAAGCATTCTCAGAAAGTTTTCTGCGATGACTGCATTCAACTCACAGAGTTGAACAATCCTTCTGATGGAGCAGTTTTGAAACCCTCTTTCTTTGGAATCTGCAAGGGGATATGTGGACCTCTTTGAAGATTTCACTGGAAACGGGATCATCTTCACATAAAAACTAAACAGAAGCATTCTCGGAAACTACTTTGTGATGTTTGTATTCAACTCCCAGAGTTGAACTTTCCTTTTGAAAGAGCAGCTATGAAACACTCTTTTTCGAGAATCTGCAAGTGGACGTTTGGAGGGCTTTGAGGCCTGTGGTGGAAAAGGAAATATCTTCACATAAAAACTAGATAGAAGCATTCTCACAAACGACATTGTGAGGATGGAATTCAACTCATGGAGTTGAACAATCCTATTGATAGAGCAGATTGGAATCACTCTTTTTGTAGAATCTGCAAATGGAGATTTGGACTGCTTTGAGGCCTACGGTAGTATAGGAAGGAACTTCATATAAAAGGGAAACGGAAGCATTCTCAGAATATTCTTTGTGATGATGGAGTTTCACTCACAGAGCTGAACATGCCTTTTGATGGAGCAGTTTCCAAATACACTTTTGGTAGAATCTGCAGGTGGATATTTGGAGCTCTCTGAGGATTTCGTTGGAAACGGGAATAATTTCCCATAACTAAACACAAACACTCTGAGAAAGTTCTTCATGATGAATGCATTTAACTCGCAGAGATGAACCTGCCTTTGAGAGTTCAGGTTCGAAACACTCTTTCTGTAGAATCTGCAAGTGGATATTTGGACCACTGGGTGGCCTTCGTTCGAAACGGGTATATGTTCACATAAAAACTAAAAAGAAGCATTCTCAGAAACTTCTGAGTGATGATTGCATTCAAGTCACATGGTTGAACCCTCCTTTTGATGGAGCAGTTTTGAAACTGTCTTTTTGTAGAATCTGTAAGTGGATACGTGGACCTCTTTGAAGATTTCTTTGGAAACGGGAATATTTCCACAGAAAAACTAAACTGAAGCATTCTCAGAAACTGCTTTGTGATGTTTGTGTTCGAGCCACAGAGTTTAACATTGCTTTTCATAGAGCAGTTTTGAAATATTCTTTTGGCAGAATCTGCAAGTGGACATTTGGAGCGCTTTCAGGCCTGTGGTGGAAAAGGCCTGAAAGCCTTTTCCTTTATCTTCACAGGAAGACGAGAGAGAAGCATTGTCAGAAACTTCTTTGTGATGATTGCATTCAACTCACAGAGTTGAAGATTCCTTTTGAAACAGCAGTTTCGAAACACTCTTTCTGTGGGATCCACAAGGGGATATTTGGACCTCTTTGAAGGTTTCGTTGGAAACGGGATAATCTTCACCTAAAAGCTAAACGGAAGCACTCTCAGAAACTTCTTTGGGATGTTTGCATTCACCTCTCAGAGTTGAACTTTCCCTTTGATAGCGCAGCTTTGACACACTTTTTCTACAATGTGCAAGTGGCTATTTAGCGGGCTTGGAGGACTGTGTTGGAAAAGGAAATATCTTCTCCTAAAAACGACATAGAAGCATTCTCAGAAACTGCTCTGTGATGATTGCATTCAACTCCCAGAGTTGAACATTCCTTTTGATAGAGCAGTTTGCAAACACTCTTTTTGTAGAATCTGCAAGTGGAGATTTGGACCGCTTTGAGGCCAGTGGTAGTGAAGGAAAGAACTTCATATAAAAACCAGACGGTAGCACTCTCAGAAAATTCTTTGTGACGATGGAGTTTAACTCAGGGAGCTGAACATTCGTTATGATGGAGCAGTTTCCAAACACACGTTTTGTAGAATCTGCAAGGGGATATTTGGACCTCTCTGAGGATTTCGTTGGAAACGGGATCAACTTCCCATAACTGAACGGAAGCAAACTCAGAACATTCTTTGTGATGTTTGTATTCAACTCACAGAGTTGAACCTTCCTTTGATAGTTCAGGTTTGCAACACCCTTGTAGTAGAATCTGCAAGTGTATATTTTGACCACTTTGTAGCCTTCGTTTGAAACGTCTATATCTTCACATCAAACCTAGACAGAAGCATTCTCAGAAAGTTTTCTGCCATGACTGCATTCAACTCACAGAGTTGAACAATCCTTCTGATGGAGCAGTTTTGAAACCCTCTTTCTTTGGAATCTGCAAGGGGATATGTGGACCTCTTTGAAGATTTCACTGGAAACGGGATCATCTTCACATAAAAACTAAACAGAAGCATTCTCGGAAACTACTTTGTGATGTTTGTATTCAACTCCCAGAGTTGAACTTTCCTTTTGAAAGAGCAGCTATGAAACACTCTTTTTCGAGAATCTGCAAGTGGACGTTTGGAGGGCTTTGAGGCCTGTGGTGGAAAAGGAAATATCTTCACATAAAAACTAGATAGAAGCATTCTCAGAAACGACTTTGTGAGGATGGCATTCAACTCATGGAGTTGAACAATCCTATTGATAGAGCAGATTGGAATCACTCTTTTGGTAGAATCTGCAAATGGAGATTTGGACTGCTTTGAGGCCTACGGTAGTATAGGAAGGAACTTCATATAAAAGGCAAACGGAAGCATTCTCAGAATATTCTTTGTGATGATGGAGTTTCACTCACAGAGCTGAACATGCCTTTTGATGGAGCAGTTTCCAAATACACTTTTGGTAGAATCTGCAGGTGGATATTTGGACCTCTCTGAAGATTTCGTTGGAAACGGGAATAATTTCCCATACCTAAACACAAACACTCTGAGAAAGTTCTTCATGATGAATGCATTGAACTCGCAGAGATGAACCTGCCTTTGAGAGTTCAGGTTCGAAACACTCTTTCTGTAGAATCTGCAAGTGGATATTTGGACCACTGGGTGGCCTTCGTTCGAAACGGGTATATGTTCACGTAAAAACTAAAGAGAAGCATTCTCAGAAACTTCTGAGTGATGATTGCATTCAAGTCACACGGTTGAACCCTCCTTTTGATTGAGCAGTTTTGAAACTGTCTTTTTGTAGAATCTGTAAGTGGATACGTGGACCTCTTTGAAGATTTCTTTGGAAACGGGAATATTTCCACAGAAAAACTAAACTGAAGCATTCTCAGAAACCGCTTTGTGATGTTTGTGTTCGAGCCACAGAGTTTAACATTGCTTTTCATAGAGCAGTTTTGAAATATTCTTTTCGCAGAATCTGCAAGTGGACATTTGGAGCGCTTTCAGGCCTGTGGTGGAAAAGGCCTGAAAGCCTTTTCCTTTATCTTCACAGAAAGACGAGAGAGAAGCATTGTCAGAAACTTCTTTGTGATGATTGCATTCAACTCACAGAGTTGAAGATTCCTTTTGAAACAGCAGTTTTGAAACACTCTTTCTGTGGGATCCGCAAGGGGATATTTGGACCTCTTTGAAGGTTTCGTTGGAAACGGGATAATCTTCACCTAAAAGCTAAACGGAAGCATTCTCAGAAACTTCTTTGGGATGTTTGCATTCACCTCACAGAGTTGAACTTTCCCTTTGATAGCGCAGCTTTGACACACTTTTTCTACAATGTGCAAGTGGCTATTTAGCGGGCTTGGAGGACTGTGTTGGAAAAGGAAATATCTTCTCCTAAAAACGACATAGAAGCATTCTCAGAAACTGCTCTGTGATGATTGCATTCAACTCCCAGAGTTGAACATTCCTTTTGATAGAGCAGTTTGCAAACACTCTTTTTGTAGAATCTGCAAGTGGAGATTTGGACCGCTTTGAGGCCTGTGGTAGTGAAGGAAAGAGCTTCATATAAAAACCAGACGGTAGCACTCTCAGAAAATTCTTTGTGACGATGGAGTTTAACTCAGGGAGCTGAACATTCGTTATGATGGAGCAGTTTCCAAACACACGTTTTGTAGAATCTGCAAGGGGATATTTGGACCTCTCTGAGGATTTCGTTGGAAACGGGATCAACTTCCCATAACTGAACGGAAGCAAACTCAGAACATTCTTTGTGATGTTTGTATTCAACTCACAGAGTTGAACCTTCCTTTGATAGTTCAGGTTTGCAACACCCTTGTAGTAGAATCTGCAAGTGTATATTTTGACCACTTTGTAGCCTTCGTTTGAAACGTCTATATCTTCACATCAAACCTAGAAAGAAGCATTCTCAGAAAGTTTTCTGCGATGACTGCATTCAACTCACAGAGTTGAACAATCCTTCTGATGGAGCAGTTTTGAAACCCTCTTTCTTTGGAATCTGCAAGGGGATATGTGGACCTCTTTGAAGATTTCACTGGAAACGGGATCATCTTCACATAAAAACTAAACAGAAGCATTCTCGGAAACTACTTTGTGATGTTTGTATTCAACTCCCAGAGTTGAACTTTCCTTTTGAAAGAGCAGCTATGAAACACTCTTTTTCGAGAATCTGCAAGTGGACGTTTGGAAGGCTTTGAGGCCTGTGGTGGAAAAGGAAATATCTTCACATAAAAACTAGATAGAAGCATTCTCAGAAACGACTTTGTGAGGATGGCATTCAACTCATGGAGTTGAACAGTCCTATTGATAGAGCAGATTGGAATCACTCTTTTTGTAGAATCTGCAAATGGAGATTTGGACTGCTTTGAGGCCTACGGTAGTATAGGAAGGAACTTCATATAAAAGGCAAACGGAAACACGCTGAGAAAGTTCTTCATGATGAATGCATTTAACTCGCAGAGATGAACCTGCCTTTGAGAGTTCAGGTTCGAAACACTCTTTCTGTAGAATCTGCAAGTGGATATTTGGACCACTGTGTGGCCTTCGTTCGAAACGGGTATATGTTCACGTAAAAACTAAAGAGAAGCATTCTCAGAAACTTCTGAGTGATGATTGCATTCAAGTCACACAGTTGAACCCTCGTTTTGATTGAGCAGTTTTGAAACTGTGTTTTTGTAGAATCTGTAAGTGGATGCGTGGACCTCTTTGAAGATTTCTTTGGAAACGGGAATATTTCCACAGAAAAACTAAACTGAAGCATTCTCAGAAACTGCTTTGTGATGTTTGTGTTCGAGCCGCAGAGTTTAACATTGCTTTTCATAGAGCAGTTTTGAAATATTCTTTTGGCAGAATCTGCAAGTGGACATTTGGAGCGCTTTCAGGCCTGTGGGTGGAAAAGGCCTGAAAGCCTTTTCCTTTATCTTCACAGAAAGACGAGAGAGAAGCATTGTCAGAAACTTCTTTGTGATGATTGCATTCAACTCACAGAGTTGAAGATTCCTTTTGAAACAGCAGTTTCGAAACACTCTTTCTGTGGGAACCGCAAGGGGATATTTGGATCTATTTGAAGGTTTCGTTGGAAACTGGATAATCTTCACCTAAAAGCTAAACGGAAGCATTCTCAGAAACTTCTTTGGGATGTTTGCATTCACCTCACAGAGTTGAACTTTCCCTTTGATAGCGCAGCTTCGACACACTTTTTCTACAATGTGCAAGTGGATATTTAGCGGGCTTGGAGGACTGTGTTGGAAAAGGAAATATCTTCTCCTAAAAACGACATAGAAGCATTCTCAGAAACTGCTCTGTGATGATTGCATTCAACTCCCAGATTTGAACATTCCTTTTGATAGAGCAGTTTTCAAACGCTCTTTTTGTAGAATCTGCAAGTGGAGATTTAGACCGCTTTGAGGCCTGTGGTCGTAAAGGAAAGAACTTCATATAAAAACTAGATGGTAGCAGTCTCAGAAAATTCTTTGTGACGATGCAGTTTAACTCAGAGAGCTGAACATTCGTTATGATGGAGAAGTTTCCAAACACACGTTTTGTAGAATCTGCAAGGGGATATTTGGACCTCTCTGAGGATTTCGTTGGAAAAGGGATCAACTTCCCATAACTGAACGGAAGCAAACTCAGAACATTCTTTGTGATGTTTGTATTCAACTCACAGAGTTGAACCTTCCTTTGATAGTTCAGGTTTGCAACACCCTTGTAGTAGAATCTGCAAGTGTATATTTTGACCACTTTGTAGCCTTCGTTTGAAACATGCTATATCTTCACATCAAACCTAGACAGAAGCATTCTCAGAAAGTTTTCTGCGATGACTGCATTCAACTCACAGAGTTGAACAATCCTTCTGATGGAGCAGTTTTGAAACCCTCTTTCTTTGGAATCTGCAAGGGGATATGTGGACCTCTTTGAAGATTTCACTGGAAACGGGATCATCTTCACATAAAAACTAAACAGGAAGCATTCTCGGAAACTACTTTGTGATGTTTGCATTCAACTGCCAGAGTTGAACATTCCTTTTGAAAGAGCAGCTATGAAACACTCTTTTTGGAGAATCTACAAGTGGACGTTTGGAGGGCTTTGAGGCCTGTGGTGGAAAAGGAAATATCTTCACATAAAAACTAGATAGAAGCATTCTCAGAAACTACTTTGTGAGGATGGCATTCAACTCATGGAGTTGAACAATCCTATTGATAGAGCAGATTGGAATCACTCTTTTTGTAGAATCTGCAAATGGAGATTTGGACTGCTTTGAGGCCTACGGTAGTACAGGAAGGAACTTCATATAAAAGGCAAACGGAAGCATTCTCAGAATATTCTTTGTGATGATGGAGTTTCACTGACAGAGCTGAACATGCCTTTTGATGGAGCAGTTTCCAAATACACTTTTGGTAGAATCTGCAGGTGGATATTTGGAGCTCTCTGAGGCTTTCGTTGGAAACGGGAATAATTTCCCATAACTAAACACAAACACTCTGAGAAAGTTCTTCATGATGAATGCATTTAACTCGCAGAGATGAACCTGCCTTTGAGAGTTCATGTTCGAAACACTCTTTCTGTAGAATCTGCAAGTGGATATTTGGACCACTGGCTGGCCTTCGTTCGAAACGGGTATATGTTCACGTAAAAACTAAAGAGAAGCATTCTCAGAAACTTCTGAGTGATGATTGCATTCAAGTCACACAGTTGAACCCTCCTTTTGATGGAGCAGTTTTGAAACTGTCTTTTTGTAGAATCTGTAAGTGGATACGTGGACCTCTTTGAAGATTTCTTTGGAAACGGGAATATTTCCACAGAAAAACTAAACTGAAGCATTCTCAGAAACCGCTTTGTGATGTTTGTGTTCGAGCCGCAGAGTTTAACATTGCTTTTCATAGAGCAGTTTTGAAATATTCTTTTGGCAGAATCTGCAAGTGGACATTTGGAGCGCTTTCAGGCCTGTGGTGGCAAAGGCCTGAAAGCCTTTTCCTTTATCTTCACAGAAAGACGAGAGAGAAGCATTGTCAGAAACTTCTTTGTGATGATTGCATTCAACTCACAGAGTTGAAGATTCCTTTTGAAACAGCAGTTTCGAAACACTCTTTCTGTGGGATCCGCAAGGGGATATTTGGACCTCTTTGAAGGTTTCGTTGGAAACGGGATAATCTTCACCTAAAAGCTAAACGGAAGCATTCTCAGAAACTTCTTTGGGATGTTTGCATTCACCTCACAGAGTTGAACTTTCCCTTTGATAGCGCAGCTTTGACACACTTTTTCTACAATGTGCAAGTGGCTATTTAGCGGGCTTGGAGGACTGTGTTGGAAAAGGAAATATCTTCTCCTAAAAACGACATAGAAGCATTCTCAGAAACTGCTCTGTGATGATTGCATTCAACTCCCAGAGTTGAACATTCCTTTTGATAGAGCAGTTTGCAAACACTCTTTTTGTAGAATCTGCAAGTGGAGATTTGGACCGCTTTGAGGCCTGTGGTAGTGAACGAAAGAACTTCATATAAAAACCAGACGGTAGCACTCTCAGAAAATTCTTTGTGACGATGGAGTTTAACTCAGGGAGCTGAACATTCGTTATGATGGAGCAGTTTCCAAACACACGTTTTGTAGAATCTGCAAGGGGATATTTGGACCTCTCTGAGGATTTCGTTGGAAACGGGATCAACTTCCCATAACTGAACGGAAGCAAACTCAGAACATTCTTTGTGATGTTTGTATTCAACTCACAGAGTTGAACCTTCCTTTGATAGTTCAGGTTTGCAACACCCTTGTAGTAGAATCTGCAAGTGTATATTTTGACCACTTTGTAGCCTTCATTTGAAACGTCTATATCTTCACATCAATCCTAGACAGAAGCATTCTCAGAAAGTTTTCTGCGATGACTGCATTCAACTCACAGAGTTGAACAATCCTTCTGATGGAGCAGTTTTGAAACCCTCTTTCTTTGGAATCTGCAAGGGGATATGTGGACCTCTTTGAAGATTTCACTGGAAACGGGATCATCTTCACATAAAAACTAAACAGAAGCATTCTCGGAAACTACTTTGTGATGTTTGTATTCAACTCCCAGAGTTCAACTTTCCTTTTGAAAGAGCAGCTATGAAACACTCTTTTTCGAGAATCTGCAAGTGGACGTTTGGAGGGCTTGGAGGCCTGTGGTGGAAAAGGAAATACCTAAACATAAAAACTAGATAGAAGCATTCTCAGAAACTACTTTGTGAGGATGGCATTCAACTCATGGAGTTGAACAATCCTATTGATAGAGCAGATTGGAATCACTCTTTTTGTAGAATCTGCAAATGGAGATTTGGACTGCTTTGAGGCCTACGGTCGTATAGGAAGGAACTTCAGATAAAAGGCAAACGGAAGCATTCTCAGAATATTCTTTGTGATGATGGAGTTTCACTCACAGAGCTGAACATGCCTTTTGATGGAGCAGTTTCCAAATACACTTTTGGTAGAATCTGCAGGTGGATATTTGGAGCTCTCTGAGGATTTCGTTGGAAACGGGAATAATTTCCCATAACTAAACACAAACACTCTGAGAAAGTTCTTCATGATGAATGCATTTAACTCGCAGAGATGAACCTGCCTTTGAGAGTTCAGGTTCGAAACACTCTTTCTGTATAATCTGCAAGTGGATATTTGGACCACTGGGTGGCCTTCGTTCGAAACGGGTATATGTTCACGTAAAAACTAAAGAGAAGCATTCTCAGAAACTTCTGAGTGATGATTGCATTCAAGTCACACAGTTGAACCCTCCTTTTGATGGAGCAGTTTTGAAACTGTCTTTTTGTAGAATCTGTAAGTGGATACGTGGACCTCTTTGAAGATTTCTTTGAAAACGGGAATATTTCCACAGAAAAACTAAACTGAAGCATTCTCAGAAACCGCTTTGTGATGTTTGTGTTCGAGCCACAGAGTTTAACATTGCTTTTCATAGAGCAGTTTTGAAATATTCTTTTCGCAGAATCTGCAAGTGGACATTTGGAGCGCTTTCAGGCCTGTGGTGGAAAAGGCCTGAAAGCCTTTTCCTTTATCTTCACAGAAAGACGAGAGAGAAGAAGCATTGTCAGAAACTTCTTTGTGATGATTGCATTCAACTCACAGAGTTGAAGATTCCTTTTGAAACAGCAGTTTCGAAACACTCTTTCTGTGGGATCCGCAAGGGGATATTTGGACTTCTTTGAAGGTTTCGTTGGAAACGGGATAATCTTCACCTAAAAGCTAAACGGAAGCATTCTCAGAAACTTCTTTGGGATGTTTGCATTCACCTCACAGAGTTGAACTTTCCCTTTGATAGCGCAGCTTTGACACACTTTTTCTACAATGTGCAAGTGGCTATTTAGCGGGCTTGGAGGACTGTGTTGGAAAAGGAAATATCTTCTCCTAAAAACGACATAGAAGCATTCTCAGAAACTGCTCTGTGACGATTGCATTCAACTCCCAGAGTTGAACATTCCTTTTGATAGAGCAGTTTGCAAACACTCTTTTTGTAGAATCTGCAAGTGGAGATTTGGACCGCTTTGAGGCCTGTGGTAGTGAAGGAAAGAACTTCATATAAAAACCAGACGGTAGCACTCTCAGAAAATTCTTTGTGACGATGGAGTTTAACTCAGGGAGCTGAACATTCGTTATGATGGAGCAGTTTCCAAACACACGTTTTGTAGAATCTGCAAGGGGATATTTGGACCTCTCTGAGGATTTCGTTGGAAACGGGATCAACTTCCCATAACTGAACGGAAGCAAACTCAGAACATTCTTTGTGATGTTTGTATTCAACTCACAGAGTTGAACCTTCCTTTGATAGTTCAGGTTTGCAACACCCTTGTAGTAGAATCTGCAAGTGTATATTTTGACCACTTTGTAGCCTTCGTTTGAAACGTCTATATCTTCACATCAAACCTAGACAGAAGCATTCTCAGAAAGTTTTCTGCGATGACTGCATTCAACTCACAGAGTTGAACAATCCTTCTGATGGAGCAGTTTTGAAACCCTCTTTCTTTGGAATCTGCAAGGGGATATGTGGACCTCTTTGAAGATTTCACTGGAAACGGGATCATCTTCACATAAAAACTAAACAGAAGCATTCTCAGAAACTACTTTGTGATGATTGTATTCAACTCCCAGAGTTGAACTTTCCTTTTGAAAGAGCAGCTATGAAACACTCTTTTTCGAGAATCTGCAAGTGGACGTTTGGAGGGCTTTGAGGCCTGTGGTGGAAAAGGAAATATCTTCACATAAAAACTAGATAGAAGCATTCTCAGAAACGACTTTGTGAGGATGGCATTCAACTCATGGAGTTGAACAATCCTATTGATAGAGCAGATTGGAATCACTCTTTTTGTAGAATCTGCAAATGGAGATTTGGACTGCTTTGAGGCCTACGGTCGTATAGGAAGGAACTTCATATAAAAGGCAAACGGAAGCATTCTCAGAATATTCTTTGTGATGATGGGGTTTCACTCACAGAGCTGAACATGCCTTTTGATGGAGCAGTTTCCAAATACACTTTTGGTAGAATCTGCAGGTGGATATTTGGACCTCTCTGAGGATTTCGTTGGAAACGGGAATAATTTCCCATAACTAAACACAAACATGCTGAGAAAGTTCTTCATGATGAATGCATTTAACTCGCAGAGATGAACCTGCCTTTGAGAGTTCAGGTTCGAAACACCCTTTCTGTAGAATCTGCAAGTGGATATTTGGACCACTGGGTGGCCTTCGTTCGAAACGGGTATATTTTCACGTAAAAACTAAAGAGAAGCATTCTCAGAAACTTCTGAGTGATGATTGCATTCAAGTCACACAGTTGAACCTTCCTTTTGATGGAGCAGTTTTGAAACTGTCTTTTTGTAGAATCTGTAAGTGGATACGTGGACCTCTTTGAAGATTTCTTTGGAAACGGGAATATTTCCACAGAAAAACTAAACTGAAGCATTCTCAGAAACTGCTTTGTGATGTTTGTGTTCGAGCCACAGAGTTTAACATTGCTTTTCATAGAGCAGTTTTGAAATATTCTTTTGGCACAATCTGCAAGTGGACATTTGGAGTGCTTTCAGGCCTGTGGTGGAAAAGGCCTGAAAGCCTTTTCCTTTATCTTCACAGAAAGACGAGAGAGAAGCATTGTCAGAAACTTCTTTGTGATGATTGCATTCAACTCACAGAGTTGAAGATTCTTTTTGAAACAGCAGTTTCGAAACACTCTTTCTGTGGGATCCGCAAGGGGATATTTGGACCTCTTTGAAGATTTCGTTGGAAACGGGATAATCTTCACCTAAAAGCTAAACGGAAGCATTCTCAGCAAACTTCTTTGGGATGTTTGCATTCACCTCACAGAGTTGAACTTTCCCTTTGATAGCGCAGCTTTGACACACTTTTTCTACAATGTGCAAGTGGCTATTTAGCGGGCTTGGAGGACTGTGTTGGAAAAGGAAATATCTTCTAAAAACGACATAGAAGCATTCTCAGAAACTGCTCTGTGATGATTGCATTCAACTCCCAGAGTTGAACATTCCTTTTGATAGAGCAGTTTGCAAACACTCTTTTTGTAGAATCTGCAAGTGGAGATTTGGACCGCTTTGAGGCCTGTGGTAGTGAACGAAAGAACTTCATATAAAAACCAGACGGTAGCACTCTCAGAAAATTCTTTGTGACGATGGAGTTTAACTCAGGGAGCTGAACATTCGTTATGATGGAGCAGTTTCCAAACACACGTTTTGTAGAATCTGCGAGGGGATATTTGGACCTCTCTGAGGATTTCGTTGGAAACGGGATCAACTTCCCATAACTGAACGGAAGCAAACTCAGAACATTCTTTGTGATGTTTGTATTCAATTCACAGAGTTGAACCTTCCTTTGATAGTTCAGGTTTGCAACACCCTTGTAGTAGAATCTGCAAGTGTATATTTTGACCACTTTGTAGCCTTCGTTTGAAACGTCTATATCTTCACATCAAACCTAGACAGAAGCATTCTCAGAAAGTTTTCTGCGATGACTGCATTCAACTCACAGAGTTGAACAATCCTTCTGATGGAGCAGTTTTGAAACCCTCTTTCTTTGGAATCTGCAAGGGGATATGTGGACCTCTTTGAAGATTTAACTGGAAACGGGATCATCTTCACATAAAAACTAAACAGAAGCATTCTCGGAAACTACTTTGTGATGTTTGTATTCAACTCCCAGAGTTGAACTTTCCTTTTGAAAGAGCAGCTATGAAACACTCTTTTTCGAGAATCTGCAAGTGGACGTTTGGAGGGCTTGGAGGCCTGTGGTGGAAAAGGAAATACCTTCACATAAAAACTAGATAGAAGCATTCTCAGAAACTACTTTGTGAGGATGGCATTCAACTCATGGAGTTGAACAATCCTATTGATAGAGCAGATTGGAATCACTCTTTTTGTAGAATCTGCAAATGGAGATTTGGACTGCTTTGAGGCCTACGGTCGTATAGGAAGGAACTTCATATAAAAGGCAAACGGAAGCATTCTCAGAATATTCTTTGTGATGATGGAGTTTCACTCACAGAGCTGAACATGCCTGTTGATGGAGCAGTTTCCAAATACACTTTTGGTAGAATCTGCAGGTGGATATTTGGAGCTCTCTGAGGATTTCGTTGGAAACGGGAATAATTTCCCATAACTAAACACAAACACTCTGAGAAAGTTCTTCATGATGAATGCATTTAACTCGCAGAGATGAACCTGTCTTTGAGAGTTCAGGTTCGAAACACTCTTTCTGTAGAATCTGCAAGTGGATATTTGGACCACTGGCTGGCCTTCGTTCGAAACGGGTATAAGTTCACGTAAAAACTAAAGAGAAGCATTCTCAGAAACTTCTGAGTGATGATTGCATTCAAGTCACACAGTTGAACCCTCCTTTTGATGGAGCAGTTTTGAAACTGTCTTTTTGTAGAATCTGTAAGTGGATACGTGGACCTCTTTGAAGATTTCTTTGGAAACGGGAATATTTCCACAGAAAAACTAAACTGAAGCATTCTCAGAAACCGCTTTGTGATGTTTGTGTTCGAGCCACAGAGGTTAACATTGTTTTTCATAGAGCAGTTTTGAAATATTCTTTTCGCAGAATCTGCAAGTGGACATTTGGAGCGCTTTCAGGCCTGTGGTGGCAAAGGCCTGAAAGCCTTTTCCTTTATCTTCACAGAAAGACGAGAGAGAAGCATTGTCAGAAACTTCTTTGTGATGATTGCATTCAACTCACAGAGTTGAAGATTCCTTTTGAAACAGCAGTTTCGAAACACTCTTTCTGTGGGATCCGCAAGGGGATATTTGGACCTCTTTGAAGGTTTCGTTGGAAACGGGATAATCTTCACCTAAAAGCTAAACGGAAGCATTCTCAGAAACTTCTTTGGGATGTTTGCATTCACCTCACAGAGTTGAACTTTCCCTTTGATAGCGCAGCTTTGACACACTTTTTCTACAATGTGCAAGTGGATCTTTAGCGGGCTTGGAGGACTGTGTTGGAAAAGGAAATATCTTCTCCTAAAAACGACATAGAAGCATTCTCAGAAACTGCTCTGTGATGATTGCATTCAACTCCCAGAGTTGAACATTCCTTTTGATAGAGCAGTTTGCAAACACTCTTTTTGTAGAATCTGCAAGTGGAGATTTGGACCGCTTTGAGGCCTGTGGTAGTGAAGGAAAGAACTTCATATAAAAACCAGACGGTAGCACTTTCAGAAAATTCTTTGTGACGATGGAGTTTAACTCAGGGAGCTGAACATTCGTTATGATGGAGCAGTTTCCAAACACACGTTTTGTAGAATCTGCAAGGGGATATTTGGACCTCTCTGAGGATTTCGTTGGAAACGGGATCAACTTCCCATAACTGAACGGAAGCAAACTCAGAACATTCTTTGTGATGTTTGTATTCAACTCACAGAGTTGAACCTTCCTTTGATAGTTCAGGTTTGCAACACCCTTGTAGTAGAATCTGCAAGTGTATATTTTGACCACTTTGTAGCCTTCGTTTGAAACGTCTATATCTTCACATCAAACCTAGACAGAAGCATTCTCAGAAAGTTTTCTGCGATGACTGCATTCAACTCACAGAGTTGAACAATCCTTCTGATGGAGCAGTTTTGAAACCCTCTTTCTTTGGAATCTGCAAGGGGATATGTGGACCTCTTTGAAGATTTCACTGGAAACGGGATCATCTTCACATAAAAACTAAACAGAAGCATTCTCGGAAACTACTTTGTGATGTTTGTATTCAACTCCCAGAGTTGAACTTTCCTTTTGAAAGAGCAGCTATGAAACACTCTTTTTCGAGAATCTGCAAGTGGACGTTTGGAGGGCTTTGAGGCCTGTGGTGGAAAAGGAAATATCTTCACATAAAAACTAGATAGAAGCATTCTCAGAAACGACTTTGTGAGGATGGCATTCAACTCATGGAGTTGAACAATCCTATTGATAGAGCAGATTGGAATCACTCTTTTTGTAGAATCTGCAAATGGAGATTTGGACTGCTTTGAGGCCTACGGTCGTATAGGAAGGAACTTCATATAAAAGGCAAACGGAAGCATTCTCAGAATATTCTTTGTGATGATGGAGTTTCACTCACAGAGCGGAACATGCCTTTTGATGGAGCAGTTTCCAAATACACTTTTGGTAGAATCTGCAGGTGGATATTTGGAGCTCTCTGAGGATTTCGTTGGAAACGGGAATAATTTCCCATAACTAAACACAAACACTCTGAGAAAGTTCTTCATGATGAATGCATTTAACTCGCAGAGATGAACCTGCCTTTGAGAGTTCATGTTCGAAACACTCTTTCTGTAGAATCTGCAAGTGGATATTTGGACCACTGGGTGGCCTTCGTTCGAAACGGGTATATGTTCACGTAAAAACTAAAGAGAAGCATTCTCAGAAACTTCTGAGTGATGATTGCATTCAAGTCACACAGTTGAACACTCCTTTTGATGGAGCAGTTTTGAAACTGTCTTTTTGTAGAATCTGTAAGTGGATACGTGGACCTCTTTGAAGATTTCTTTGGAAACGGGAATATTTCCACAGAAAAACTAAACTGAAGCATTCTCAGAAACCGCTTTGTGATGTTTGTGTTCGAGCCGCAGAGTTTAACATTGCTTTTCATAGAGCAGTTTTGAAATATTCTTTTGGCAGAATCTGCAAGTGGACATTTGGAGCGCTTTCAGGCCTGTGGTGGAAAAGGCCTGAAAGCCTTTTCCTTTATCTTCACAGAAAGACGAGAGAGAAGCATTGTCAGAAACTTCTTTGTGATGATTGCATTCAACTCACAGAGTTGAAGATTCCTTTTGAAACAGCAGTTTTGAAACACTCTTTCTGTGGGATCCGCAAGGGGATATTTGGACCTCTTTGAAGGTTTCGTTGGAAACGGGATAATCTTCACCTAAAAGCTAAACGGAAGCATTCTCAGAAACTTCTTTGGGATGTTTGCATTCACCTCACAGAGTTGAACTTTCCCTTTGATAGCGCAGCTTTGACACACTTTTTCTACAATGTGCAAGTGGCTATTTAGCGGGCTTGGAGGACTGTGTTGGAAAAGGAAATATCTTCTAAAAACGACATAGAAGCATTCTCAGAAACTGCTCTGTGATGATTGCATTCAACTCCCAGAGTTGAACATTCCTTTTGATAGAGCAGTTTGCAAACACTCTTTTTGTAGAATCTGCAAGTGGAGATTTGGACCGCTTTGAGGCCTGTGGTAGTGAAGGAAAGAACTTCATATAAAAACCAGACGGTAGCACTCTCAGAAAATTCTTTGTGACGATGGAGTTTAACTCAGGGAGCTGAACATTCGTTATGATGGAGCAGTTTCCAAACACACGTTTTGTAGAATCTGCAAGGGGATATTTGGACCTCTCTGAGGATTTCGTTGGAAACGGGATCAACTTCCCATAACTGAACGGAAGCAAACTCAGAACATTCTTTGTGATGTTTGTATTCAACTCACAGAGTTGAACCTTCCTTTGATAGTTCAGGTTTGCAACACCCTTGTAGTAGAATCTGCAAGTGTATATTTTGACCACTTTGTAGCCTTCGTTTGAAACATCTATATCTTCACATCAAACCTAGACAGAAGCATTCTCAGAAAGTTTTCTGCGATGACTGCATTCAACTCACAGAGTTGAACAATCCTTCTGATGGAGCAGTTTTGAAACCCTCTTTCTTTGGAATCTGCAAGGGGATATGTGGACCTCTTTGAAGATTTCACTGGAAACGGGATCATCTTCACATAAAAACTAAACAGAAGCATTCTCGGAAACTACTTTGTGATGTTTGTATTCAACTCCCAGAGTTGAACTTTCCTTTTGAAAGAGCAGCTATGAAACACTCTTTTTCGAGAATCTGCAAGTGGACGTTTGGAGGGCTTTGAGGCCTGTGGTGGCAAAGGAAATATCTTCACATAAAAACTACATAGAAGCATTCTCAGAAACTACTTTGTGAGGATGGCATTCAACTCATGGAGTTGAACAATCCTATTGATAGAGCAGATTGGAATCACTCTTTTTGTAGAATCTGCAAATGGAGATTTGGACTGCTTTGAGGCCTACGGTCGTATAGGAAGGAACTTCAGATAAAAGGCAAACGGAAGCATTCTCAGAATATTCTTTGTGATGATGGAGTTTCACTCACAGAGCTGAACATGCCTTTTGATGGAGCAGTTTCCAAATACACTTTTGGTAGAATCTGCAGGTGGATATTTGGAGCTCTCTGAGGATTTCTTTGGAAACGGGAATAATTTCCCATAACTAAACACAAACACTCTGAGAAAGTTCTTCATGATGAATGCATTTAACTCGCAGAGATGAACCTGCCTTTGAGAGTTCAGGTTCGAAACACTCTTTCTGTAGAATCTGCAAGTGGATATTTGGACCACTGGGTGGCCTTCGTTCGAAACGGGTATATGTTCACGTAAAAACTAAAGAGAAGCATTCTCAGAAACTTCTGAGTGATGATTGCATTCAAGTCACACAGTTGAACCCTCCTTTTGATGGAGCAGTTTTGAAACTGTCTTTTTGTAGTATCTGTAAGTGGATACGTGGACCTCTTTGAAGATTTCTTTGTAAACGGGAATATTTCCACAGAAAAACTAAACTGAAGCATTCTCAGAAACTGCTTTGTGATGTTTGTGTTCGAGCCACAGAGTTTAACATTGCTTTTCATAGAGCAGTTTTGAAATATTCTTTTGGCAGAATCTGCAAGTGGACATTTGGAGCGCTTTCAGGCCTGTGGTGGAAAAGGCCTGAAAGCCTTTTCCTTTATCTTCACAGGAAGACGAGAGAGAAGCATTGTCAGAAACTTCTTTGTGATGATTGCATTCAACTCACAGAGTTGAAGATTCCTTCTGAAACAGCAGTTTCGAAACACTCTTTCTGTGGGATCCGCAAGGGGATATTTGGACCTCTTTGAAGCTTTCGTTGGAAACGGGATAATCTTCACCTAAAAGCTGAACGGAAGCATTCTCAGAAACTTCTTTGGGATGTTTGCATTCACCTCACAGAGTTGAACTTTCCCTTTGATAGCGCAGCTTCGACACACTTTTTCTACAATGTGCAAGTGGATATTTAGCGGGCTTGGAGGACTGTGTTGGAAAAGGAAATATCTTCTCCTAAAAACGACATAGAAGCATTCTCAGAAACTGCTCTGTGATGATTGCATTCAACTCCCAGAGTTGAACATTCCTTTTGATAGAGCAGTTTGCAAACACTCTTTTTGTAGAATCTGCAAGTGGAGATTTGGACCGCTTTGAGGCCTGTGGTAGTAAAGGAAAGAACTTCATATAAAAACCAGACGGTAGCACTCTCAGAAAATTCTTTGTGACGATGGAGTTTAACTCAGAGAGCTGAACATTCGTTATGATGGAGCAGTTTCCAAACACACGTTTTGTAGAATCTGCAAGGGGATATTTGGACCTCTCTGAGGATTTCGTTGGAAACCCGATCAACTTCCCATAACTGAACAGAAGCAAACTGAGAACATTCTTTGTGATGTTTGTATTCAACTCACAGAGTTGAACCTTCCTTTGATAGTTGAGGTTTGCAACACCCTTGTAGTAGAATCTGCAAGTGTATATTTTGACCACTTTGTAGCCTTCGTTTGAAACGTCTATATCTTCACCTCAAACCTAGACAGAAGCATTCTCAGAAAGTTTTCTGCGATGACTGCATTCAACTCACAGAGTTGAACAATCCTTTTGATGGAGCAGTTTTGAAACCCTCTTTCTTTGGAATCTGCAAGGGGATATGTGGACCTCTTTGAAGATTTCACTGGAAACGGGATCATCTTCACATAAGAACTAAACAGAAGCATTCTCGGAAACTACTTTGTGATGTTTGTATTCAACTCCCAGAGTTGAACTTTCCTTTTGAAAGAGCAGCTATGAAACACTCTTTTTCGAGAATCTGCAAGTGGACGTTTGGAGGGCTTTGAGGCCTGTGGTGGAAAAGGAAATATCTTCACATAAAAACTAGATAGAAGCATTCTTAGAAACGACTTTTTGAGGATGGCATTCAACTCATGGAGTTGAACAATCCTATTGATAGAGCAGATTGGAATCACTCTTTTTGTAGAATCTGCAAATGGAGATTTGGACTGCTTTGAGGCCTACGGTCGTATAGGAAGGAACTTCATATAAAAGGCAAACGGAAGCATTCTCAGAATATTCTTTGTGATGATGGAGTTTCACTCACAGAGCTGAACATGCCTTTTGATGGAGCAGTTTCCAAATACACTTTTGGTAGAATCTGCAGGTGGATATTTGGAGCTCTCTGAGGATTTCGTTGGAAAAGGGAATAATTTCCCATAACTAAACACAAACACTCTGAGAAAGTTCTTCATGATGAATGCATTTAACTCGCAGAGATGAACCTGCCTTTGAGAGTTCAGGTTCGAAACACTCTTTCTGTAGAATCTGCAAGTGGATATTTGGACCACTGGGTGGCCTTCGTTCGAAACGGGTATATGTTCACGTAAAAACTAAAGAGAAGCATTCTCAGAAACTTCTGAGTGATGATTGCATTCAAGTCACACAGTTGAACCCTCCTTTTGATGGAGCAGTTTTGAAACTGTCTTTTTGTAGAATCTGTAAGTGGATACGTGGACCTCTTTGAAGATTTCTTTGGAAACGGGAATATTTCCACAGAAAAACTAAACTGAAGCATTCTCAGAAACTGCTTTGTGATGTTTGTGTTCGAGCCACAGAGTTTAACATTGCTTTTCATAGAGCAGTTTTGAAATATTCTTTTGGCAGAATCTGCAAGTGGACATTTGGAGCGCTTTCAGGCCTGTGGTGGAAAAGGCCTGAAAGCCTTTTCCTTTATCTTCACAGAAAGACGAGAGAGAAGCATTGTCAGAAACTTCTTTGTGATGATTGCATGCAACTCACAGAGTTGAAGATTCCTTTTGAAACAGCAGTTTCGAAACACTCTTTCTGTGGGATCCGCAAGGGGATATTTGGACCTCTTTGAAGGTTTCGTTGGAAACGGGATAATCTTCACCTAAAAGCTAAACGGAAGCATTCTCAGAAACTTCTTTGGGATGTTTGCATTCACCTCACAGAGTTGAACTTTCCCTTTGATAGCGCAGCTTTGACACACTTTTTCTACAATGTGCAAGTGGCTATTTAGCGGGCTTGGAGGACTGTGTTGGAAAAGGAAATATCTTCTCCTAAAAACGACATAGAAGCATTCTCAGAAACTGCTCTGTGATGATTGCATTCAACTCCCAGAGTTGAACATTCCTTTTGATAGAGCAGTTTGCAAACACTCTTTTTGTAGAATCTGCAAGTGGAGATTTGGACCGCTTTGAGGTCTGTGGTAGTGAAGGAAAGAGCTTCATATAAAAACCAGACGGTAGCACTCTCAGAAAATTCTTTGTGACGATGGAGTTTAACTCAGGGAGCTGAACATTCGTTATGATGGAGCAGTTTCCAAACACACATTTTGTAGAATCTGCAAGGGGATATTTGGACCTCTCTGAGGATTTCGTTGGAAACGGGATCAACTTCCCATAACTGAACGGAAGCAAACTCAGAACATTCTTTGTGATGTTTGTATTCAATTCACAGAGTTGAACCTTCCTTTGATAGTTCAGGTTTGCAACACCCTTGTAGTAGAATCTGCAAGTGTATATTTTGACCACTTTGTAGCCTTCGTTTGAAACGTCTATATCTTCACATCAAACCTAGACAGAAGCATTCTCAGAAAGTTTTCTGCGATGACTGCATTCAACTCACAGAGTTGAACAATCCTTCTGATGGAGCAGTTTTTAAACCCTCTTTCTTTGGAATCTGCAAGGGGATATGTGGACCTCTTTGAAGATTTCACTGGAAACGGGATCATCTTCACATAAAAACTAAACAGAAGCATTCTCGGAAACTATTTTGTGATGTTTGTATTCAACTCCCAGAGTTGAACTTTCCTTTTGAAAGAGCAGCTATGAAACACTCTTTTTCGAGAATCTGCAAGTGGACGTTTGGAGGGCTTTGAGGCCTGTGGTGGAAAAGGAAATATCTTCACACAAAAACCAGATAGAAGCATTCTCAGAAACTACTTTGTGAGGATGGCATTCAACTCATGGAGTTGAACAATCCTATTGATAGAGCAGATTGGAATCACTCTTTTTGTAGAATCTGCAAATGGAGATTTGGACTGCTTTGAGGCCTACGGTAGTACAGGAAGGAACTTCAGATAAAAGGCAAACGGAAGCATTCTCAGAATATTCTTTGTGATGATGGAGTTTCACTCACAGAGCTGAACATGCCTTTTGATGGAGCAGTTTCCAAATACACTTTTGGTAGAATCTGCAGGTGGATATTTGGAGCTCTCTGAGGATTTCGTTGGAAACGGGAATAATTTCCCATAACTAAACACAAACACTCTGAGAAAGTTCTTCATGATGAATGCATTTAACTCGCAGAGATGAACCTGCCTTTGAGAGTTCAGGTTCGAAACACTCTTTCTGTATAATCTGCAAGTGGATATTTGGACCACTGGGTGGCCTTCGTTCGAAACGGGTATATGTTCACGTAAAAACTAAAGAGAAGCATTCTCAGAAACTTCTGAGTGATGATTGCATTCAAGTCACACAGTTGAACCCTCCTTTTGATGGAGCAGTTTTGAAACTGTCTTTTTGTAGAATCTGTAAGTGGATACGTGGACCTCTTTGAAGATTTCTTTGGAAACGGGAATATTTCCACAGAAAAACTAAACTGAAACATTCTCAGAAACCGCTTTGTGATGTTTGTGTTCCAGCCACAGAGTTTAACATTGCTTTTCATAGAGCAGTTTTGAAATATTCTTTTGGCAGAATCTGCAAGTGGACATTTGGAGCGCTTTCAGGCCTGTGGTGGAAAAGGCCTGAAAGCCTTTTCCTTTATCTTCACAGAAAGACGAGAGAGAAGCATTGTCAGAAACTTCTTTGTGATGATTGCATTCAACTCACAGAGTTGAAGATTCCTTTTGAAACAGCAGTTTCGAAACACTCTTTCTGTGGGATCCGCAAGGGGATATTTGGACCTCTTTGAAGGTTTCGTTGGAAACGGGATAATCTTCACCTAAAAGCTAAACGGAAGCATTCTCAGAAACTTCTTTGGGATGTTTGCATTCACCTCACAGAGTTGAACTTTCCCTTTGATAGCGCAGCTTTGACACACTTTTTCTACAATGTGCAAGTGGCTATTTAGCGGGCTTGGAGGACTGTGTTGGAAAAGGAAATATCTTCTCCTAAAAACGACATAGAAGCATTCTCAGAAACTGCTCTGTGATGATTGCATTCAACTCCCAGAGTTGAACATTCCTTTTGATAGAGCAGTTTGCAAACACTCTTTTTGTAGAATCTGCAAGTGGAGATTTGGACCGCTTTGAGGCCTGTGGTAGTGAAGGAAAGAACTTCATATAAAAACCAGACGGTAGCACTCTCAGAAAATTCTTTGTGACGATGGAGTTTAACTCAGGGAGCTGAACATTCGTTATGATGGAGCAGTTTCCAAACACACGTTTTGTAGAATCTGCAAGGGGATATTTGGACCTCTCTGAGGATTTCGTTGGAAACGGGATCAACTTCCCATAACTGAACGGAAGCAAACTCAGAACATTCTTTGTGATGTTTGTATTCAACTCACAGAGTTGAACCTTCCTTTGATAGTTCAGGTTTGCAACACCCTTGTAGTAGAATCTGCAAGTGTATATTTTGACCACTTTGTAGCCTTCATTTGAAACGTCTATACCTTCACATCAAACCTAGACAGAAGCATTCTCAGAAAGTTTTCTGCGATGACTGCATTCAACTCACAGAGTTGAACAATCCTTCTGATGGAGCAGTTTTGAAACCCTCTTTCTTTGGAATCTGCAAGGGGATATGTGGACCTCTTTGAAGATTTCACTGGAAACGGGATCATCTTCAAATAAAAACTAAACAGAAGCATTCTCGGAAACTACTTTGTGATGTTTGTATTCAACTCCCAGAGTTGAACTTTCCTTTTGAAAGAGCAGCTATGAAACACTCTTTTTCGAGAATCTGAAAGTGGACGTTTGGAGGGCTTTGAGGCCTGTGGTGGAAAAGGAAATATCTTCACATAAAAACTAGATAGAAGCATTCTCAGAAACGACTTTGTGAGGATGGCATTCAACTCATGGAGTTGAACAATCCTATTGATAGAGCAGATTGGAATCACTCTTTTTGTAGAATCTGCAAATGGAGATTTGGACTGCTTTGAGGCCTACGGTAGTATAGGAAGGAACTTCATATAAAAGGCAAACGGAAGCATTCTCAGAATATTCTTTGTGATGATGGAGTTTCACTCACAGAGCTGAACATGCCTTTTGATGGAGCAGTTTCCAAATACACTTTTGGTAGAATCTGCAGGTGGATATTTGGAGCTCTCTGAGGATTTCGTTGGAAACGGGAATAATTTCCCATAACTAAACACAAACACTCTGAGAAAGTTCTTCATGATGAATGCATTGAACTCGCAGAGATGAACCTGCCTTTGAGAGTTCAGGTTCGAAACACTCTTTCTGTAGAATCTGCAAGTGGATATTTGGACCACTGGCTGGCCTTCGTTCGAAACGGGTATATGTTCACGTAAAAACTAAAGAGAAGCATTCTCAGAATCTTCTGAGTGATGATTGCTTTCAAGTCACACAGTTGAACCCTCCTTTTGATTGAGCAGTTTTGAAACTGTCTTTTTGTAGAATCTGTAAGTGGATACGTGGACCTCTTTGAAGATTTCTTTGGAAACGGGAATATTTCCACAGAAAAACTAAACTGAAGTATTCTCAGAAACTGCTTTGTGATGTTTGTGTTCGAGCCACAGAGTTTAACATTGCTTTTCATAGAGCAGTTTTGTAATATTCTTTTCGCAGTATCTGCAAGCGGATATTTGGAGCGCTTTCAGGCCTGTGGTGGAAAAGGCCTGAAAGCCTTTTCCTTTATCTTCACAGAAAGACGAGAGAGAAGCATTGTCAGAAACTTCTTTGTGATGATTGCATTCAACTCACAGAGTTGAAGATTCCTTTTGAAACAGCAGTTTCGAAACACTCTTTCTGTGGGATCCGCAAGGGGATATTTGGACCTCTTTGAAGGTTTCGTTGGAAACGGGATAATCTTCACCTAAAAGCTAAACGGAAGCACTCTCAGAAACTTCTTTGGGATGTTTGCATTCACCTCACAGAGTTGAACTTTCCCTTTGATAGCGCAGCTTTGACACACTTTTTCTACAATGTGCAAGTGGCTATTTAGCGGGCTTGGAGGACTGTGTTGGAAAAGGAAATATCTTCTCCTAAAAACGACATAGAAGCATTCTCAGAAACTGCTCTGTGATGATTGCATTCAACTCCCAGAGTTGAACATTCCTTTTGATAGAGCAGTTTGCAAACACTCTTTTTGTAGAATCTGCAAGTGGAGATTTGGACCGCTTTGAGGCCTGTGGTAGTGAAGGAAAGAACTTCATATAAAAACCAGACGGTAACACTCTCAGAAAATTCTTTGTGACGATGGAGTTTAACTCAGGGAGCTGAACATTCGTTATGATGGAGCAGTTTCCAAACACACGTTTTGTAGAATCTGCAAGGGGATATTTGGACCTCTCTGAGGATTTCGTTGGAAACGGGATCAACTTCCCATAACTGAACGGAAGCAAACTCAGAACATTCTTTGTGATGTTTGTATTCAACTCACAGAGTTGAACCTTCCTTTGATAGTTCAGGTTTGCAACACCCTTGTAGTAGAATCTGCAAGTGTATATTTTGACCACTTTGTAGCCTTCATTTGAAACGTCTATATCTTCACATCAAACCTAGACAAAAGCATTCTCAGAAAGTTTTCTGCGATGACTGCATTCAACTCACAGAGTTGAACAATCCTTCTGATGGAGCAGTTTTGAAACCCTCTTTCTTTGGAATCTGCAAGGGGATATGTGGACCTCTTTGAAGATTTCACTGGAAACGGGATCATCTTCACATAAAAACTAAACAGAAGCATTCTCGGAAACTACTTTGTGATGTTTGTATTCAACTCCCAGAGTTGAACTTTCCTTTTGAAAGAGCAGCTATGAAACACTCTTTTTCGAGAATCTGCAAGTGGACGTTTGGAGGGCTTTGAGGCCTGTGGTGGAAAAGGAAATATCTTCACATAAAACTAGATAGAAGCATTCTCAGAAACTACTTTGTGAGGATGGCATTCAACTCATGGAGTTGAACAATCCTATTGATAGAGCAGATTGGAATCACTCTTTTTGTAGAATCTGCAAATGGAGATTTGGACTGCTTTGAGGCCTACGGTCGTATAGGAAGGAACTTCATATAAAAGGCAAACGGAAGCATTCTCAGAATATTCTTTGTGATGATGGAGTTTCACTCACAGAGCTGAACATGCCTTTTGATGGAGCAGTTTCCAAATACACTTTTGGTAGAATCTGCAGGTGGATATTTGGAGCTCTCTGAGGATTTCGTTGGAAACGGGAATAATTTCCCATAACTAAACACAAAAACACTCTGAGAAAGTTCTTCATGATGAATGCATTTAACTCGCAGAGATGAACCTGCCTTTGAGAGTTCAGGTTCGAAACACTCTTTCTGTATAATCTGCAAGTGGATATTTGGACCACTGGGTGGCCTTCGTTCGAAACGGGTATATGTTCACGTAAAAACTAAAGAGAAGCATTCTCAGCAAACTTCTGAGTGATGATTGCATTCAAGTCACACAGTTGAACCCTCCTTTTGATGGAGCAGTTTTGAAACTGTCTTTTTGTAGAATCTGTAAGTGGATACGTGGACCTCTTTGAAGATTTCTTTGGAAACGGGAATATTTCCACAGAAAAACTAAACTGAAGCATTCTCAGAAACTGCTTTGTGATGTTTGTGTTCGAGCCACAGAGTTTAACATTGCTTTTCATAAAGCAGTTTTGCAATATTCTTTTCACAGAATCTGCAAGTGGACATTTGGAGCGCTTTCAGGCCTGTGGTGGAAAAGGCCTGAAAGCCTTTTCCTTTATCTTCACAGAAAGACGAGAGAGAAGCATTGTCAGAAACTTCTTTGTGATGATTGCATTCAACTCACAGAGTTGAAGATTCCTTTTGAAACAGCAGTTTCGAAACACTCTTTCTGTGGGATCCGCAAGGGGATATTTGGACCTCTTTGAAGGTTTCGTTGGAAACGGGATAATCTTCACCTAAAAGCTAAACGGAAGCATTCTCAGAAACTTCTTTGGGATGTTTGCATTCACCTCACAGAGTTGAACTTTCCCTTTGATAGCGCAGCTTTGACACACTTTTTCTACAATGTGCAAGTGGCTATTTAGCGGGCTTGGAGGACTGTGTTGGAAAAGGAAATATCTTCTAAAAACGACATAGAAGCATTCTCAGAAACTGCTCTGTGATGATTGCATTCAACTCCCAGAGTTGAACATTCCTTTTGATAGAGCAGTTTGCAAACACTCTTTTTGTAGAATCTGCAAGTGGAGATTTGGACCGCTTTGAGGCCTGTGGTAGTGAAGGAAAGAACTTCATATAAAAACCAGACGGTAGCACTCTCAGAAAATTCTTTGTGACGATGGAGTTTAACTCAGGGAGCTGAACATTCGTTATGATGGAGCAGTTTCCAAACACACGTTTTGTAGAATCTGCGAGGGGATATTTGGACCTCTCTGAGGATTTCGTTGGAAACGGGATCAACATCCCATAACTGAACGGAAGCAAACTCAGAACATTCTCTGTGATGTTTGTATTCAACTCACAGAGTTGAACCTTCCTTTGATAGTTCAGGTTTGCAACACCCTTGTAGTAGAATCTGCAAGTGTATATTTTGACCACTTTGTAGCCTTCGTTTGAAACGTCTATATCTTCACATCAAACCTAGACAGAAGCATTCTCAGAAAGTTTTCTGCGATGACTGCATTCAACTCACAGAGTTGAACAATCCTTCTGATGGAGCAGTTTTGAAACCCTCTTTCTTTGGAATCTGCAAGGGGATATGTGGACCTCTTTGAAGATTTCACTGGAAACGGGATCGATCATCTTCACATAAAAACTAAACAGAAGCATTCTCGGAAACTACTTTGTGATGTTTGTATTCAACTCCCAGAGTTGAACTTTCCTTTTGAAAGAGCAGCTATGAAACACTCTTTTTCGAGAATCTGCAAGTGGACGTTTGGAAGGCTTTGAGGCCTGTGGTGGAAAAGGAAATATCTTCACATAAAAACTAGATAGAAGCATTCTCAGAAACGACTTTGTGAGGATGGCATTCAACTCATGGAGTTGAACAATCCTATTGATAGAGCAGATTGGAATCACTCTTTTTGTAGAATCTGCAAATGGAGATTTGCACTGCTTTGAGGCCTACGGTCGTATAGGAAGGAACTTCATATAAAAGGCAAACGGAAGCATTCTCAGAATATTCTTTGTGATGATGGAGTTTCACTCACAGAGCTGAACATGCCTGTTGATGGAGCAGTTTCCAAATACACTTTTGGTAGAATCTGCAGGTGGACATTTGGACCTCTCTGAGGATTTCGTTGGGAACGGGAATAATTTCCCATAACTAAACACAAACACGCTGAGAAAGTTCTTCATGATGAATGCATTTAACTCGCAGAGATGAACCTGCCTTTGAGAGTTCAGGTTCGAAACACTCTTTCTGTAGAATCTGCAAGTGGACATTTGGACCACTGGGTGGCCTTCGTTCGAAACGGGTATATGTTCACGTAAAAACTAAAGAGAAGCATTCTCAGAAACTTCTGAGTGATGATTGCATTCAAGTCACACAGTTGAACCCTCCTTTTGATGGAGCAGTTTTGAAACTGTCTTTTTGTAGAATCTGTAAGTGGATACGTGGACCTCTTTGAAGATTTCTTTGGAAACGGGAATATTTCCACAGAAAAACTAAACTGAAGCATTCTCAGAAACTGCTTTGTGATGTTTGTGTTCGAGCCACAGAGTTTAACATTGCTTTTCATAGAGCAGTTTTGAAATATTCTTTTCGCAGAATCTGCAAGTGGACATTTGGAGCGCTTTCAGGCCTGTGGTTGGAAAAGGCCTGAAAGCCTTTTCCTTTATCTTCACAGAAAGACGAGAGAGAAGCATTGTCAGAAACTTCTTTGTGATGATTGCATTCAACTCACAGAGTTGAAGATTCCTTTTGAAACAGCAGTTTCGAAACACTCTTTCTGTGGGATCCGCAAGGGGATATTTGGACCTCTTTGAAGGTTTCGTTGGAAACGGGATAATCTTCACCTAAAAGCTAAACGGAAGCATTCTCAGAAACTTCTTTGGGATGTTTGCATTCACCTCACAGAGTTGAACTTTCCCTTTGATAGCGCAGCTTTGACACACTTTTTCTACAATGTGCAAGTGGCTATTTAGCGGGCTTGGAGGACTGTGTTGGAAAACGAAATATCTTCTCCTAAAAACGACATAGAAGCATTCTCAGAAACTGCTCTGTGACGATTGCATTCAACTCCCAGAGTTGAACATTCCTTTTGATAGAGCAGTTTGCAAACACTCTTTTTGTAGAATCTGCAAGTGGAGATTTGGACCGCTTTGAGGCCTGTGGTAGTGAAGGAAAGAACTTCATATAAAAACCAGACGGTAGCACTCTCAGAAAATTCTTTGTGACGATGGAGTTTAACTCAGGGAGCTGAACATTCGTTATGATGGAGCAGTTTCCAAACACACGTTTTGTAGAATCTGCAAGGGGATATTTGGACCTCTCTGAGGATTTCGTTGGAAACGGGATCAACTTCCCATAACTGAACGGAAGCAAACTCAGAACATTCTTTGTGATGTTTGTATTCAACTCACAGAGTTGAACCTTCCTTTGATAGTTCAGGTTTGCAACACCCTTGTAGTAGAATCTGCAACTGTATATTTTGACCACTTTGTAGCCTTCGTTTGAAACGTCTATATCTTCACATCAAACCTAGACAGAAGCATTCTCAGAAAGTTTTCTGCGATGACTGCATTCAACTCACAGAGCTGAACAATCCTTCTGATGGAGCAGTTTTGAAACCCTCTTTCTTTGGAATCTGCAAGGGGATATGTGGACCTCTTTGAAGATTTCACTGGAAACGGGATCATCTTCACATAAAAACTAAACAGAAGCATTCTCGGAAACTACTTTGTGATGTTTGTATTCAACTCCCAGAGTTGAACTTTCCTTTTGAAAGAGCAGCTATGAAACACTCTTTTTCGAGAATCTGCAAGTGGACGTTTGGAAGGCTTTGAGGCCTGTGGTGGAAAAGGAAATATCTTCACATAAAAACTAGATAGAAGCATTCTCACAAACGACATTGTGAGGATGGAATTCAACTCATGGAGTTGAACAATCCTATTGATAGAGCAGATTGGAATCACTCTTTTTGTAGAATCTGCAAATGGAGATTTGGACTGCTTTGAGGCCTACGGTAGTATAGGAAGGAACTTCATATAAAAGGCAAACGGAAGCATTCTCAGAATATTCTTTGTGATGATGGAGTTTCACTCACAGAGCTGAACATGCCTTTTGATGGAGCAGTTTCCAAATACACTTTTGGTAGAATCTGCAGGTGGATATTTGGAGCTCTCTGAGGATTTCTTTGGAAACGGGAATAATTTCCCATAACTAAACACAAATACTCTGAGAAAGTTCTTCATGATGAATGCATTTAACTCGCAGAGATGAACCTTCCTTTGAGAGTTCAGGTTCGAAACACTCTTTCTGTAGAATCTGCAAGTGGATATTTGGACCACTGGGTGGCCTTCGTTCGAAACGGGTATATGTTCACGTAAAAACTAAAGAGAAGCATTCTCAGAAACTTCTGAGTGATGATTGCATTCAAGTCACACAGTTGAACCCTCCTTTTGATGGAGCAGTTTTGAAACTGTCTTTTTGTAGAATCTGTAAGTGGATACGTGGACCTCTTTGAAGATTTCTTTGGAAACGGTAATATTTCCACAGAAAAACTAAACTGAAGCATTCTCAGAAACTGCTTTGTGATGTTTGTGTTCGAGCCACAGAGTTTAACATTGCTTTTCATAGAGCAGTTTTGAAATATTCTTTTCGCAGAATCTGCAAGTGGACATTTGGAGCGCTTTCAGGCCTGTGGTGGAAAAGGCCTGAAAGCCTTTTCCTTTATCTTCACAGAAAGACGAGAGAGAAGCATTGTCAGAAACTTCTTTGTGATGATTGCATTCAACTCACAGAGTTGAAGATTCCTTTTGAAACAGCAGTTTCGAAACACTCTTTCTGTGGGATCCGCAAGGGGATATTTGGACCTCTTTGAAGGTTTCGTTGGAAACGGGATAATCTTCACCTAAAAGCTAAACGGAAGCATTCTCAGAAACTTCTTTGGGATGTTTGCATTCACCTCACAGAGTTGAACTTTCCCTTTGATAGCGCAGCTTTGACACACGTTTTCTAAAATGTGCAAGTGGCTATTTAGCGGGCTTGGAGGACTGTGTTGGAAAAGGAAATATCTTCTCCTAAAAACGACATAGAAGCATTCTCAGAAACTGCTCTGTGATGATTGCATTCAACTCCCAGAGTTGAACATTCCTTTTGATAGAGCAGTTTGCAAACACTCTTTTTGTAGAATCTGCAAGTGGAGATTTGGACCGCTTTGAGGCCTGTGGTAGTGAAGGAAAGAGCTTCATATAAAAACCAGACGGTAGCACTCTCAGAAAATTCTTTGTGACGATGGAGTTTAACTCAGGGAGCTGAACATTCGTTATGATGGAGCAGTTTCCAAACACACGTTTTGTAGAATCTGCAAGGGGATATTTGGACCTCTCTGAGGATTTGGTTGGAAACGGGATCAACTTCCCATAACTGAACGGAAGCAAACTCAGAACATTCTTTGTGATGTTTGTATTCAACTCACAGAGTTGAACCTTCCTTTGATAGTTCAGGTTTGCAACACCCTTGTAGTAGAATCTGCAAGTGTATATTTTGATCACTTTGTAGCCTTCGTTTGAAACGTCTATATCTTCACATCAAACCTAGACAGAAGCATTCTCAGAAAGTTTTCTGCGATGACTGCATTCAACTCACAGAGTTGAACAATCCTTCTGATGGAGCAGTTTTGAAACCCTCTTTCTTTGGAATCTGCAAGGGGATATGTGGACCTCTTTGAAGATTTCACTGGAAACGGGATCATCTTCACATAATAACTAAACAGAAGCATTCTCGGAAACTATTTTGTGATGTTTGCATTCAACTCCCAGAGTTGAACTTTCCTTTTGAAAGAGCAGCTATGAAACACTCTTTTTCGAGAATCTGCAAGTGGACGTTTGGAGGGCTTTGAGGCCTGTGGTGGAAAAGGAAATATCTTCACACAAAAACCAGATAGAAGCATTCTCAGAAACTACTTTGTGAGGATGGCATTCAACTCACGGAGTTGAACAATCCTATTGATAGAGCAGATTGGAAACACTCTTTTTGTAGAATCTGTAAATGGAGATTTGGACTGCTTTGAGGCCTACGGTAGTATAGGAAGGAACTTCATATAAAAAGCAAACGGAAGCATTCTCAGAATATTCTTTGTGATGACGGAGTTTCACTCACAGAGCTGAACATGCCTTTTCATGGAGCAGTTTCCAAATACACTTTTGGTAGAATCTGCAGGTGGATATTTGGAGCTCTCTGAGGATTTCGTTGGAAACGGGAATAATTTCCCATAACTAAACACAAACACGCTGAGAAAGTTCTTCATGATGAATGCATTTAACTCGCAGAGATGAACCTGCCTTTGAGAGTTCAGGTTCAAAACACTCTTTCTGTAGAATCTGCAAGTGGATATTTGGACCACTGGCTGGCCTTCGTTCGAAACGGGTATATGTTCACGTAAAAACTAAAGAGAAGCATTCTCAGAAACTTCTGAGTGATGAATGCATTCAAGTCACACAGTTGAACCCTCCTTTTGATTGAGCAGTTTTGAAACTGTCTTTTTGTAGAATCTGTAAGTGGATGCGTGGACCTCTTTGAAGATTTCTTTGGAAACGGGAATATTTCCACAGAAAAACTAAACTGAAGCATTCTCAGAAACTGCTTTGTGATGTTTGTGTTCGAGCCGCAGAGTTTAACATTGCTTTTCATAGAGCAGTTTTGAAATATTCTTTTGGCAGAATCTGCAAGTGGACATTTGGAGCGCTTTCAGGCCTGTGGTGGAAAAGGCCTGAAAGCCTTTTCCTTTATCTTCACAAAAAGACGAGAGAGAAGCATTGTCAGAAACTTCTTTGTGATGATTGCATTCAACTCACAGAGTTGAAGATTCCTTTTGAAACAGCAGTTTCGAAACACTCTTTCTGTGGGATCCGCAAGGGGATATTTGGACCTCTTTGAAGCTTTCGTTGGAAACGGGATAATCTTCACCTAAAAGCTAAACGGAAGCATTCTCAGAAACTTCTTTGGGATGTTTGCATTCACCTCACAGAGTTGAACTTTCCCTTTGATAGCGCAGCTTCGACACACTTTTTCTACAATGTGCAAGTGGATATTTAGCGGGCTTGGAGGACTGTGTTGGAAAAGGAAATATCTTCTCCTAAAAACCACATAGAAGGATTCTCAGAAACTGCTCTGTGATGATTGCATTCAACTCCCAGAGTTGAACATTCCTTTTGATAGAGCAGTTTGCAAACACTCTTTTTGTAGAATCTGCAAGTGGAGATTTGGACCGCTTTGAGGCCTGTGGTAGTAACGGAAAGAACTACATATAAAAACTAGACGGTAGCACTCTCAGAAAATTCTTTGTGACGATGGAGTTTAACTCAGAGAGCTGAACATTCGTTATGATGGAGCAGTTTCCAAACACACGTTTTGTAGAATCTGCAAGGGGATATTTGGACCTCTCTGAGGATTTCGTTGGAAATGGGATCAACTTCCCATAACTGAACGGAAGCAAACTCAGAACATTCTTTATGATGTTTGAATTCAACTCACAGAGTTGAACCTTCCTTTGATAGTTCAGGTTTGCAACACCCTTGTAGTAGAATCTGCAAGTGTATATTTTGACCACTTTGTAGCCTTCGTTTGAAACGTCTATATCTTCACATCAAACCTAGACAGAACCATTCTCAGAAAGTTTTCTGCGATGACTGCATTCAACTCACAGAGGTGAACAATCCTTTTGATGGAGCAGTTTTGAAACCCTCTTTCTTTGGAATCTGCAAGGGGATATGTGGACCTCTTTGAAGATTTCACTGGAAACGGGATCATCTTCACATAAGAACTAAACAGAAGCATTCTCGGAAACTACTTTGTGATGTTTGTATTCAACTCCCAGAGTTGAACTTTCCTTTTGAAAGAGCAGCTATGAAACACTCTTTTTCGAGAATCTGCAAGTGGACGTTTGGAGGGCTTTGAGGCCTGTGGTGGAAAAGGAAATATCTTCACATAAAAACTAGATAGAAGCATTCTCAGAAACGACTTTGTGAGGATGGCATTCAACTCATGGAGTTGAACAATCCTATTGATAGAGCAGATTGGAATCACTCTTTTTGTAGAATCTGCAAATGGAGATTTGGACTGCTTTGAGGCCTACGGTCGTATAGGAAGGAACTTCATATAAAAGGCAAACGGAAGCATTCTCAGAATATTCTTTGTAATGATGGAGTTTCACTCACAGAGCGGAACATGCCTTTTGATGGAGCAGTTTCCAAATCCACTTTTGGTAGAATCTGCAGGTGGATATTTGGAGCTCTCTGAGGATTTCGTTGGAAACGGGAATAATTTCCCATAACTAAACACAAACACTCTGAGAAAGTTCTTCATGATGAATGCATTTAACTCGCAGAGATGAACCTGCCTTTGAGAGTTCAGGTTCGAAACACTCTTTCTGTAGAATCTGCAAGTGGATATTTGGACCACTGGCTGGCCTTCGTTCGAAACGGGTATATGTTCACGTAAAAACTAAAGAGAAGCATTCTCAGAAACTTCTGAGTGATGATTGCATTCAAGTCACACAGTTGAACCCTCCTTTTGATGGAGCAGTTTTGAAACTGTCTTTTTGTAGAATCTGTAAGTGGATACGTGGACCTCTTTGAAGATTTCTTTGGAAACGGGAATATTTCCACAGAAAAACTAAACTGAAGCATTCTCAGAAACCGCTTTGTGATGTTTGTGTTCGAGCCGCAGAGTTTAACATTGCTTTTCATAGAGCAGTTTTGAAATATTCTTTTGGCAGAATCTGCAAGTGGACATTTGGAGCGCTTTCAGGCCTGTGGTGGCAAAGGCCTGAAAGCCTTTTCCTTTATCTTCACAGAAAGACGAGAGAGAAGCATTGTCAGAAACTTCTTTGTGATGATTGCATTCAACTCACAGAGTTGAAGATTCCTTTTGAAACAGCAGTTTCGAAACACTCTTTCTGTGGGATCCGCAAGGGGATATTTGGACCTCTTTGAAGGTTTCGTTGGAAACGGGATAATCTTCACCTAAAAGCTAAACGGAAGCATTCTCAGAAACTTCTTTGGGATGTTTGCATTCACCTCACAGAGTTGAACTTTCCCTTTGATAGCGCAGCTTTGACACACTTTTTCTACAATGTGCAAGTGGCTATTTAGCGGGCTTGGAGGACTGTGTTGGAAAAGGAAATATCTTCTCCTAAAAACGACATAGAAGCATTCTCAGAAACTGCTCTGTGATGATTGCATTCAACTCCCAGAGTTGAACATTCCTTTTGATAGAGCAGTTTGCAAACACTCTTTTTGTAGAATCTGGAAGTGGAGATTTGGACCGCTTTGAGGCCTGTGGTAGTGAAGGAAAGAGCTTCATATAAAAACCAGACGGTAGCACTCTCAGAAAATTCTTTGTGACGATGGAGTTTAACTCAGGGAGCTGAACATTCGTTATGATGGAGCAGTTTCCAAACACACGTTTTGTAGAATCTGCAAGGGGATATTTGGACCTCTCTGAGGATTTCGTTGGAAACGGGATCAACTTCCCATAACTGAACGGAAGCAAACTCAGAACATTCTCTGCGATGTTTGTATTCAACCCACAGAGTTGAACCTTCCTTTGATAGTTCAGGTTTGCAACACCCTTTTAGTACAATCTGCAAGTGTATATTTTGACCACTTTGTAGCCTTCGTTTGAAACGTCTATATCTTCACATCAAACCTAGACAGAAGCATTCTCAGAAAGTTTTCTGCGATGACTGCATTCAACTCACAGAGTTGTACAATCCTTTTGATGGAGCAGTTTTGAAACCCTCTTTCTTTGGAATCTGCAAGGGGATATGTGGACCTCTTTGAAGATTTCCCTGGAAACGGGATCATCTTCACATAAGAACTAAACAGAAGCATTCTCGGAAACTACTTTGTGATGTTTGTATTCAACTCCCAGAGTTGAACTTTCCTTTTGAAAGAGCAGCTAGGAAACACTCTTTTTCGAGAATCTGCAAGTGGACGTTTGGAGAGCTTTGAGGCCTGTGGTGGAAAAGGAAATATCTTCACATAAAAACTAGATAGAAGCATTCTCAGAAACGACTTTGTGAGGATGGCATTCAACTCATGGAGTTGAACAATCCTATTGATAAAGCAGATTGGAATCACTCTTTTTGTAGAATCTGCAAATGGAGATTTGGACTGCTTTGAGGCCTATGGTAGTATAGGAAGGAACTTCATATAAAAGGCAAACGGAAGCATTCTCAGAATATCTCCTTTGTGATGATGGAGTTTCACTCACAGAGCTGAACATGCCTTTTGATGGAGCAGTTTCCAAATACACTTTTGGTAGAATCTGCAGGTGGATATTTGGACCTCTCTGAGGATTTCGTTGGAAACGGGAATAATTTCCCATAACTAAACACAAACACGCTGAGAAAGTTCTTCATGATGAATGCATTTAACTCGCAGAGATGAACCTGCCTTTGAGAGTTCAGGTTCGAAACACTCTTTCTGTAGAATCTGCAAGTGGATATTTGGACCACTGGCTGGCCTTCGTTCGAAACGGGTATATGTTCACGTAAAAACTAAAGAGAAGCGTTCTCAGCAAACTTCTGAGTGATGATTGCATTCAAGTCACACAGTTGAACCCTCCTTTTGATTGAGCAGTTTTGAAACTGTCTTTTTGTAGAATCTGTAAGTGGATGCGTGGACCTCTTTGAAGATTTCTTTGGAAACGGGAATATTTCCACAGAAAAACTAAACTGAAGCATTCTCAGAAACCGCTTTGTGATGTTTGTGTTCGAGCCGCAGAGTTTAACATTGCTTTTCATAGAGCAGTTTTGAAATATTCTTTTGGCAGAATCTGCAAGTGGACATTTGGAGCGCTTTCAGGCCTGTGGTGGAAAAGGCCTGAAAGCCTTTTCCTTTATCTTCACAGAAAGACGAGAGAGAAGCATTGTCAGAAACTTCTTTGTGATGATTGCATTCAACTCACAGAGTTGAAGATTCCTTTTGAAACAGCAGTTTCGAAACACTCTTTCTGTGGGATCCGCAAGGGGATATTTGGACCTCTTTGAAGGTTTCGTTGGAAACGGGATAATCTTCACCTAAAAGCTAAACGGAAGCATTCTCAGAAACTTCTTTGGGATGTTTGCATTCACCTCACAGAGTTGAACTTTCCCTTTGATAGCGCAGCTTTGACACACTTTTTCTACAATGTGCAAGTGGCTCTTTAGCGGGCTTGGAGGACTGTGTTGGAAAAGGAAATATCTTCTCCTAAAAACGACATAGAAGCATTCTCAGAAACTGCTCTGTGATGATTGCATTCAACTCCCAGAGTTGAACATTCCTTTTGATAGAGCAGTTTGCAAACACTCTTTTTGTAGAATCTGCAAGTGGAGATTTGGACCGCTTTGAGGCCTGTGGTAGTGAAGGAAAGAGCTTCATATAAAAACCAGACGGTAGCACTCTCAGAAAATTCTTTGTGACGATGGAGTTTAACTCAGGGAGCTGAACATTCGTTATGATGGAGCAGTTTCCAAACACACGTTTTGTAGAATCTGCAAGTGGATATGTGGACCTCTCTGAGGATTTCGTTGGAAACGGGATCAACTTCCCATAACTGAACGGAAGCAAACTCAGAACATTTTTTGTGATGTTTGTATTCAACTCACAGAGTTGAACCTTCCTTTGATAGTTCAGGTTTGCAACACCCTTGTAGTAGAATCTGCAAGTGTATATTTTGACCACTTTGTAGCCTTCGTTTGAAACGTCTATATCTTCACATCAAACCTAGACAGAAGCATTCTCAGAAAGTTTTCTGCGATGACTGCATTCAACTCACAGAGTTGAACAATCCTTCTGATGGAGCAGTTTTGAAACCCTCTTTCTTTGGAATCTGCAAGGGGATATGTGGACCTCTTTGAAGATTTCACTGGAAACGGGATCATCTTCACATAAAAACTAAACAGAAGCATTCTCGGAAACTACTTTGTGATGTTTGTATTCAACTCCCAGAGTTGAACTTTCCTTTTGAAAGAGCAGCTATGAAACACTCTTTTTCGAGAATCTGCAAGTGGACGTTTGGAGGGCTTTGAGGCCTGTGGTGGAAAAGGAAATATCTTCACATAAAAACTAGATAGAAGCATTCTCAGAAACTACTTTGTGAGGATGGCATTCAACTCATGGAGTTGAACAATCCTATTGATAGAGCAGATTGGAATCACTCTTTTTGTAGAATCTGCAAATGGAGATTTGGACTGCTTTGAGGCCTACGGTCGTATAGGAAGGAACTTCATATAAAAGGCAAACGGAAGCATTCTCAGAATATTCTTTGTGATGATGGAGTTTCACTCACAGAGCGGAACATGCCTTTTGATGGAGCAGTTTCCAAATACACTTTTGGTAGAATCTGCAGGTGGATATTTGGAGCTCTCTGAGGATTTCGTTGGAAACGGGAATAATTTCCCATAACTAAACACAAACACTCTGAGAAAGTTCTTCATGATGAATGCATTTAACTCGCAGAGATGAACCTGCCTTTGAGAGTTCAGGTTCGAAACACTCTTTCTGTAGAATCTGCAAGTTGATATTTGGACCACTGGCTGGCCTTCGTTCGAAACGGGTATATGTTCACGTAAAAACTAAAGAGAAGCATTCTCAGAAACTTCTGAGTGATGATTGCATTCAAGTCACACAGTTGAACCCTCCTTTTGATGGAGCAGTTTTGAAACTGTCTTTTTGTAGAATCTGTAAGTGGATACGTGGACCTCTTTGAAGATTTCTTTGGAAACGGGAATATTTCCACAGAAAAACTAAACTGAAGCATTCTCAGAAACCGCTTTGTGATGTTTGTGTTCGAGCCACAGAGTTTAACATTGCTTTTCATAGAGCAGTTTTGAAATATTCTTTTCGCAGAATCTGCAAGTGGACATTTGGAGCGCTTTCAGGCCTGTGGTGGAAAAGGCCTGAAAGCCTTTTCCTTTATCTTCACAGAAAGACGAGAGAGAAGCATTGTCAGAAACTTCTTTGTGATGATTGCATTCAACTCACAGAGTTGAAGATTCCTTTTGAAACAGCAGTTTCGAAACACTCTTTCTGTGGGATCCGCAAGGGGATATTTGGACCTCTTTGAAGGTTTCGTTGGAAACGGGATAATCTTCACCTAAAAGCTAAACGGAAGCATTCTCAGAAACTTCTTTGGGATGTTTGCATTCACCTCACAGAGTTGAACTTTCCCTTTGATAGCGCAGCTTTGACACACTTTTTCTACAATGTGCAAGTGGCTATTTAGCGGGCTTGGAGGACTGTGTTGGAAAAGGAAATATCTTCTCCTAAAAACGACATAGAAGCATTCTCAGAAACTGCTCTGTGATGATTGCATTCAACTCCCAGAGTTGAACATTCCTTTTGATAGAGCAGTTTGCAAACACTCTTTTTGTAGAATCTGCAAGTGGAGATTTGGACCGCTTTGAGGCCTGTGGTAGTGAAGGAAAGAACTTCATATAAAAACCAGACGGTAGCACTCTCAGAAAATTCTTTGTGACGATGGAGTTTAACTCAGGGAGCTGAACATTCGTTATGATGGAGCAGTTTCCAAACACACGTTTTGTAGAATCTGCAAGGGGATATTTGGACCTCTCTGAGGATTTCGTTGGAAACGGGATCAACTTCCCATAACTGAACGGAAGCAAACTCAGAACATTCTTTGTGATGTTTGTATTCAACTCACAGAGTTGAACCTTCCTTTGATAGTTCAGGTTTGCAACACCCTTGTAGTAGAATCTGCAAGTGTATATTTTGACCACTTTGTAGCCTTCGTTTGAAACGTCTATATCTTCACATCAAACCTAGACAGAAGCATTCTCAGAAAGTTTTCTGCGATGACTGCATTCAACTCACAGAGTTGAACAATCCTTCTGATGGAGCAGTTTTGAAACCCTCTTTCTTTGGAATCTGCAAGAGGATATGTGGACCTCTTTGAAGATTTCACTGGAAACGGGATCATCTTCACATAAAAACTAAACAGAAGCATTCTCGGAAACTACTTTGTGATGTTTGTATTCAGCTCCCAGAGTTGAACTTTCCTTTTGAAAGAGCAGCTATGAAACACTCTTTTTCGAGAATCTGCAAGTGGACGTTTGGAGGGCTTTGAGGCCTGTGGTGGAAAAGGAAATATCTTCACATAAAAACTAGATAGAAGCATTCTCAGAAACGACTTTGTGAGGATGGCATTCAACTCATGGAGTTGTACAGTCCTATTGATAGAGGAGATTGGAATCACTCTTTTTGTAGAATCTGCAAATGGAGATTTGGACTGCTTTGAGGCCTACGGTAGTATAGGAAGGAACTTCATATAAAAGGCAAACGGAAGCATTCTCAGAATATTTTGTGTGATGATGGAGTTTCACTCACAGAGCTGAACATGCCTTTTGATGGAGCAGTTTCCAAATACACTTTTGGTAGAATCTGCAGGTGGATATTTGGAGCTCTCTGAGGATTTCGTTGGAAACGGGAATAATTTCCCATAACTAAACACAAACACGCTGAGAAAGTTCTTCATGATGAATGCATTGAACTCGCAGAGATGAACCTGCCTTTGAGAGTTCAGGTTCGAAACACTCTTTCTGTAGAATCTGCAAGTGGATATTTGGACCACTGTCTGGCCTTCGTTCGAAACGGGTATATGTTCACGTAAAAACTAAAGAGAAGCGTTCTCAGAAACTTCTGAGTGATGATTGCATTCAAGTCACACAGTTGAACCCTCCTTTTGATTGAGCAGTTTTGAAACTGTCTTTTTGTAGAATCTGTAAGTGGATACGTGGACCTCTTTGAAGATTTCTTTGGAAACGGGAATATTTCCACAGAAAAACTAAACTGAAGCATTCTCAGAAACTGCTTTGTGATGTTTGTGTTCGAGCCACAGAGTTTAACATTGCTTTTCATAGAGCAGTTTTGAAATATTCTTTTGGCAGAATCTGCAAGTGGACATTTGGAGCGCTTTCAGGCCTGTGATGGGAAAGGCCTGAAAGCCTTTTCCTTTATCTTCACAGAAAGACGAGAGAGAAGCATTGTCAGAAACTTCTTTGTGATGATTGCATTCAACTCACAGAGTTGAAGATTCCTTTTGAAACAGCAGTTTCGAAACACTCTTTCTGTGGGATCCGCGAGGGGATATTTGGACCTCTTTGAAGATTTCGTTGGAAACGGGATAATCTTCACCTAAAAGCTAAACGGAAGCATTCTCAGAAACTTCTTTGGGATGTTTGCATTCACCTCACAGAGTTGAACTTTCCCTTTGATAGCGCAGCTTCGACACACTTTTTCTACAATGTGCAAGTGGATATTTAGCAGGCTTGGAGGACTGTGTTGGAAAACGAAATATCTTCTCCTAAAAACGAAATAGAAGCATTCTCAGAAACTGCTCTGTGATGATTGCATTCAACTCCCAGAGTTGAACATTCCTTTTGATAGAGCAGTTTGCAGACACTCTTTTTGTAGAATCTGCAAGTGGAGATTTGGACCGCTTTGAGGCCTGTGGTAGTAAAGGAAAGAACTTCATATAAAAACTAGACGGTAGCACTCTCAGAAAATTCTTTGTGACGATGGAGTTTAACTCAGAGAGCTGAACATTCGTTATGATGGAGCAGTTTCCAAACACACGTTTTGTAGAATCTGCAAGGGGATATTTGGACCTCTCTGAGGATTTCGTTGGAAACGGGATCAACTTCCCATAACTGAACGGAAGCAAACTCAGAACATTCTTTGTGATGTTTGTATTCAACTCACAGAGTTGAACCTTCCTTTGATAGTTCAGGTTTGCATCACCCTTGTAGTAGAATCTGCAAGTGTATATTTTGACCACTTAGTAGCCTTCGTTTGAAACGTCTATATCTTCACATCAAACCTAGACAGAAGCATTCTCAGAAAGTTTTCTGCGATGACTGCATTCAACTCACAGAGTTGAACAATCCTTTTGATGGAGCAGTTTTGAAACCCTCTTTTTTTGGAATCTGCAAGGGGATATGTGGACCTCTTTGAAGATTTCACTGGAAACGGGATCATCTTCACATAAGAACTAAACAGAAGCATTCTCGGAAACTACTTTGTGATGTTTGTATTCAACTCCCAGAGTTGAACTTTCCTTTTGAAAGAGCAGCTATGAAACACTCTTTTTCGAGAATATGCAAGTGGACGTTTGGAGGGCTTTGAGGCCTGTGGTGGAAAAGGAAATATCTTCACATAAAAACTACATAGAAGCATTCTCAGAAACGACTTTGTGAGGATGGCATTCAACTCATGGACTTGAACAATCCTATTGATAGAGCAGATTGGAATCACTCTTTTTGTAGAATCTGCAAATGGAGATTTGGACTGCTTTGAGGCCTACGGTAGTATAGGAAGGAACTTCATATAAAAGGCAAATGGAAGCATTCTCAGAATATTCTTTGTGATGACGGAGTTTCACTCACAGAGCTGAACATGCCTTTTCATGGAGCAGTTTCCAAATACACTTTTGGTACAATCTGCAGGTGGATATTTGGAGCTCTCTGAGGATTTCGTTGGAAACGGGAATAATTTCCCATAACTAAACACAAACACGCTGAGAAAGTTCTTCATGATGAATGCATTTAACTCGCAGAGATGAACCTGCCTTTGAGAGTTCAGGTTCAAAACACTCTTTCTGTAGAATCTGCAAGTGGATATTTGGACCACTGGCTGGCCTTCATTCGAAACGGGTATATGTTCACGTAAAAACTAAAGAGAAGCATTCTCAGAAACTTCTGAGTGATGAATGCATTCAAGTCACACAGTTGAACCCTCCTTTTGATTGAGCAGTTTTGAAACTGTCTTTTTGTAGAATCTGTAAGTGGATGCGTGGACCTCTTTGAAGATTTCTTTGGAAACGGGAATATTTCCACAGAAAAACTAAACTGAAGCATTCTCAGAAACTGCTTTGTGATGTTTGTGTTCGAGTCACAGAGTTTAACATTGCTTTTCATAGAGCAGTTTTGAAATATTCTTTTGGCAGAATCTGCAAGTGGACATTTGGAGCGCTTTCAGGCCTGTGGTGGAAAAGGCCTGAAAGCCTTTTCCTTTATCTTCACAGAAAGACGAGAGAGAAGCATTGTCAGAAACTTCTTTGTGATGATTGCATTCAACTCACAGAGTTGAAGATTCCTTTTGAAACAGCAGTTTCGAAACACTCTTTCTGTGGGATCCGCAAGGGGATATTTGGATCTCTTTGAAGGTTTCGTTGGAAACTGGATAATCGTCACCTAAAAGCTAAACGGAAGCATTCTCAGAAACTTCTTTGGGATGTTTGCATTCACCTCACAGAGTTGAACTTTCCCTTTGATAGCGCAGCTTTGACACACTTTTTCTACAATGTGCAAGTGGCTATTTAGCGGACTTGGAGGACTGTGTTGGAAAAGGAAATATCTTCTCCTAAAAACGACATAGAAGCATTCTCAGAAACTGCTCTGTGATGATTGCATTCAACTCCCAGAGTTGAACATTCCTTTTGATAGAGCAGTTTGCAAACACTCTTTTTGTAGAATCTGCAAGTGGAGATTTGGACCGCTTTGAGGCCTGTGGTAGTGAAGGAAAGAACTTCATATAAAAACCAGACGGTAGCACTCTCAGAAAATTCTTTGTGACGATGGAGTTTAACTCAGGGAGCTGAACATTCGTTATGATGGAGCAGTTTCCAAACACACGTTTTGTAGAATCTGCAAGGGGATATTTGGACCTCTCTGAGGATTTCGTTGGAAACGGGATCAACTTCCCATAACTGAACGGAAGCAAACTCAGAACATTCTTTGTGATGTTTGTATTCAACTCACAGAGTTGAACCTTCCTTTGATAGTTCAGGTTTGCAACACCCTTGTAGTAGAATCTGCAAGTGTATATTTTGACCACTTTGTAGCCTTCGTTTGAAACGTCTATATCTTCACATCAAACCTAGACAGAAGCATTCTCAGAAAGTTTTCTGCGATGACTGCATTCAACTCACAGAGTTGAACAATCCTTTTGATGGAGCAGTTTTGAAACCCTCTTTCTTTGGAATCTGCAAGGGGATATGTGGACCTCTTTGAAGATTTCACTGGAAACGGGATCATCTTCACATAAAAACTAAACAGAAGCATTCTCGGAAACTACTTTGTGATGTTTGTATTCAACTCCCAGAGTTGAACTTTCCTTTTGAAAGAGCAGCTATGAAACACTCTTTTTCGAGAATCTGCAAGTGGACGTTTGGAGGGCTTTGAGGCCTGTGGTGGAAAAGGAAATATCTTCACATAAAAACTAGATAGAAGCATTCTCAGAAACGACTTTGTGAGGATGGCATTCAACTCATGGAGTTGAACAATCCTATTGATAGAGCAGATTGGAATCACTCTTTTTGTAGAATCTGCAAATGGAGATTTGGACTGCTTTGGGGCCTACGGTCGTATAGGAAGGAACTTCATATAAAAGGCAAACGGAAGCATTCTCAGAATATTCTTTGTGATGATGGAGTTTCACTCACAGAGCTGAACATGCCTTTTGATGGAGCAGTTTCCAAATACACTTTTGGTAGAATCTGCAGGTGGATATTTGGAGCTCTCTGAGGATTTCGTTGGAAACGGGAATAATTTCCCATAACTAAACACAAACACGCTGAGAAAGTTCTTCATGATGAATGCATTTAACTCGCAGAGACGAACCTGCCTTTGAGAGTTCAGGTTCGAAACACTCTTTCTGCAGAATCTGCAAGTGGATATTTGGACCACTGGCTGGCCTTCATTCGAAACGTTTATATGTTCACGGAAAAACTAAAGAGAAGCGTTCTCAGAAACTTCTGAGTGATGATTGCATTCAAGTCACACAGTTGAACCCTCCTTTTGATTGAGCAGTTTTGAAACTGTCTTTTTGTAGAATCTGTAAGTGTATGCGTCGACCTCTTTGAAGATTTCTTTGGAAACGGGAATATTTCCACAGAAAAACTAAACTGAAGCATTCTGAGAAACTGCTTTGTGATGTTTGTGTTCGAGCCACAGAGTTTAACATTGCTTTTCATAGAGCAGTTTTGAAATATTCTTTTGGCAGAATCTGCAAGTGGACATTTGGAGCGCTTTCAGGCCTGTGGTGGAAAAGGCCTGAAAGCCTTTTCCTTTATCTTCACAGAAAGACGAGAGAGAAGCATTGTCAGAAACTTCTTTGTGATGATTGCATTCAACTCACAGAGTTGAAGATTCCTTTTGAAACAGCAGTTTCGAAACACTCTTTCTGTGGGATCCGCAAGGGGATATTTGGACCTCTTTGAAGATTTCGTTGCAAACGGGATAATCTTCACCTAAAAGCTAAACGGAAGCATTCTCAGAAACTTCTTTGGGATGTTTGCATTCACCTCACAGAGTTGAACATTCCCTTTGATAGCGCAGCTTCGACACACTTTTTCTAAAATGTGCAAGTGGATATTTAGCGGGCTTGGAGGACTGTGTTGGAAAAGGAAATATCTTCTCCTAAAAACCACATAGAAGCATTCTCAGAAACTGCTCTGTGATGATTGCATTCAACTCCCAGAGTTGAACATTCCTTTTGATAGAGCAGTTTGCAAACACTCTTTTTGTAGAATCTGCAAGTGGAGATTTGGACCGCTTTGAGGCCTGTGGTAGTGAAGGAAAGAACTTCATATAAAAACCAGACGGTAGCACTCTCAGAAAATTCTTTGTGACGATGGAGTTTAACTCAGGGAGCTGAACATTCGTTATGATGGAGCAATTTCCAAACACACGTTTTGTAGAATCTGTGAGGGGATATTTGGACCTCTCTGAGGATTTCGTTGGAAACGGGATCAACTTCCCATAACTGAACGGAAGCAAACTCAGAACATTCTTTGTGATGTTTGTATTCAACTCACAGAGTTGAACCTTCCTTTGATAGTTCAGGTTTGCAACACCCTTGTAGTAGAATCTGCAAGTGTATATTTTGACCACTTTGTAGCCTTCGTTTGAAACGTCTATATCTTCACATCAAACCTAGACAGAAGCATTCTCAGAAAGTTTTCTGCGATGACTGCATTCAACTCACAGAGTTGAACAATCCTTCTGATGGAGCAGTTTTGAAACCCTCTTTCTTTGGAATCTGCAAGGGGATATGTGGACCTCTTTGAAGATTTCACTGGAAACGGGATCATCTTCACATAAAAACTAAACAGAAGCATTCTCGGAAACTACTTTGTGATGTTTGTATTCAACTGCCAGAGTTGAACTTTCCTTTTGAAAGAGCAGCTATGAAACACTCCTTTTCGAGAATCTGCAAGTGGACGTTTGGAGGGCTTTGAGGCCTGTGGTGGAAAAGGAAATATCTTCACATAAAAACTAGATAGAAGCATTCTCAGAAACGATTTTGTGAGGATGGCATTCAACTCATGGAGTTGAACAATCCTATTGATACAGCAGATTGGAATCACTCTTTTTGTAGAATCTGCAAATGGAGATTTGGACTGCTTTGAGGCCTACGGTCGTATAGGAAGGAACTTCATATAAAAAGCAAACGGAAGCATTCTCAGAATATTCTTTGTGATGATGGAGTTTCACTCACAGAGCTGAACATGCCTGTTGATGGAGCAGTTTCCAAATACACTTTTGGTAGAATCTGCAGGTGGACATTTGGACCTCTCTGAGGATTTCGTTGGAAACGGGAATAATTTCCCATAACTAAACACAAACACGCTGAGAAAGTTCTTCATGATGAATGCATTGAACTCGCAGAGATGAACCTGCCTCTGAGAGTTCAGGTTCGAAACACTCTTTCTGTAGAATCTGCAAGTGGATATTTGGACCACTGGGTGGCCTTCGTTCGAAACGGTTATATGTTCACGTAAAAACTAAAGAGAAGCATTCTCAGAAACTTCTGAGTGATGATTGCATTCAAGTCACACAGTTGAACCCTCCTTTTGATGGAGCAGTTTTGAAACTGTCTTTTTGTAGAATCTGTAAGTGGATACGTGGACCTCTTTGAAGATTTCTTTGGAAACGGGAATATTTCCACAGAAAAACTAAACTGAAGCATTCTCAGAAACTGCTTTGTGATGTTTGTGTTCGAGCCGCAGAGTTTAACATTGCTTTTCATAGAGCAGTTTTGAAATATTCTTTTGGCAGAATCTGCAAGTGGACATTTGGAGCGCTTTCAGGCCTGTGGTGGAAAAGGCCTGAAAGCCTTTTCCTTTATCTTCACAGAAAGACGAGAGAGAAGCATTGTCAGAAACTTCTTTGTGATGATTGCATTCAACTCACAGAGTTGAAGATTCCTTTTGAAACAGCAGTTTCGAAACACTCTTTCTGTGGGATCCGCAAGGGGATATTTGGACCTCTTTGAAGGTTTCGTTGGAAACGGGATAATCTTCACCTAAAAGCTAAACGGAAGCATTCTCAGAAACTTCTTTGGGATGTTTGCATTCACCTCACAGAGTTGAACTTTCCCTTTGATAGCGCAGCTTCGACACACTTTTTCTACAATGTGCAAGTGGATATTTAGCGGGCTTGGAGGACTGTGTTGGAAAAGGAAATATCTTCTCCTAAAAACGACATAGAAGCATTCTCAGAAACTGCTCTGTGATGATTGCATTCAACTCCCAGAGTTGAACATTCCTTTTGATAGAGCAGTTTGCAAACACTCTTTTTGTAGAATCTGCAAGTGGAGATTTGGACCGCTTTGAGGCCTGTGGTAGTAAAGGAAAGAACTTCATATAAAAACTAGACGGTAGCACTCTCAGAAAATTCTTTGTGACGATGGAGATTAACTCAGAGAGCTGAACATTCGTTATGATGGAGCAGTTTCCAAACACACGTTTTGTAGAATCTGCAAGGGGATATTTGGACCTCTCTGAGGATTTCGTTGGAAACGGGATCAACTTCCCATAACTGAACGGAAGCAAACTCAGAACATTCTTTGTGATGTTTGTATTCAACTCACAGAGTTGAACCTTCCTTTGATAGTTCAGGTTTGCAACACCCTTGTAGTAGAATCTGCAAGTGTATATTTTGACCACTTTGTAGCCTTCGTTTGAAACGTCTATATCTTCACATCAAACCTAGACAGAAGCATTCTCAGAAAGTTTTCTGCGATGACTGCATTCAACTCACAGAGTTGAACAATCCTTTTGATGGAGCAGTTTTGAAACCCTCTTTCTTTGGAATCTGCAAGGGGATATGTGGACCTCTTTGAAGATTTCACTGGAAACGGGATCATCTTCACATAAGAACTAAACAGAAGCATTCTCGGAAACTACTTTGTGATGTTTGTATTCAACTCCCAGAGTTGAACTTTCCTTTTGAAAGAGCAGCTATGAAACACTCTTTTTCGAGAATCTGCAAGTGGACGTTTGGAGGGCTTTGAGGCCTGTGGTGGAAAAGGAAATATCTTCACATAAAAACTAGATAGAAGCATTCTCAGAAACTACTTTGTGAGGATGGCATTCAACTCATGGAGTTGAACAATCCTATTGATAGAGCAGATTGGAATCACTCTTTTTGTAGAATCTGCAAATGGAGATTTGGACTGCTTTGAGGCCTACGGTCGTATAGGAAGGAACTTCATATAAAAGGCAAACGGAAGCATTCTCAGAATATTCTTTGTGATGATGGAGTTTCACTCACAGAGCTGAACATGCCTTTTGATGGAGCAGTTTCCAAATACACTTTTGGTAGAATCTGCAGGTGGATATTTGGAGCTCTCTGAGGATTTCGTTGGAAACGGGAATAATTTCCCATAACTAAACACAAACACTCTGAGAAAGTTCTTCATGATGAATGCATTTAACTCGCAGAGATGAACCTGCCTTTGAGAGTTCAGGTTCGAAACACTCTTTCTGTATAATCTGCAAGTGGATATTTGGACCACTGGGTGGCCTTCGTTCGAAACGGGTATATGTTCACGTAAAAACTAAAGAGAAGCATTCTCAGAAACTTCTGAGTGATGATTGCATTCAAGTCACACAGTTGAACCCTCCTTTTGATGGAGCAGTTTTGAAACTGTCTTTTTGTAGAATCTGTAAGTGGATACGTGGACCTCTTTGAAGATTTCTTTGGAAACGGGAATATTTCCACAGAAAAACTAAACTGAAGCATTTTCAGAAACTGCTTTGTGATGTTTGTGTTCGAGCCACAGAGTTTAACATTGCTTTTCATAGAGCAGTTTTGAAATATTCTTTTCGCAGAATCTGCAAGTGGACATTTGGAGCGCTTTCAGGCCTGTGGTGGAAAAGGCCTGAAAACCTTTTCCTTTATCTTCACAGAAAGACGAGAGAGAAGCATTGTCAGAAACTTCTTTGTGATGATTGCATTCAACTCACAGAGTTGAAGATTCCTTTTGAAACAGCAGTTTCGAAACACTCTTTCTGTGGGATCCGCAAGGGGATATTTGGACCTCTTTGAAGGTTTCGTTGGAAACGGGATAATCTTCACCTAAAAGCTAAACGGAAGCATTCTCAGAAACTTCTTTGGGATGTTTGCATTCACCTCACAGAGTTGAACTTTCCCTTTGATAGCGCAGCTTTGACACACTTTTTCTACAATGTGCAAGTGGCTATTTAGCGGGCTTGGAGGACGGTGTTGGAAAAGGAAATATCTTCTCCTAAAAACGACATAGAAGCATTCTCAGAAACTGCTCTGTGATGATTGCATTCAACTCCCAGAGTTGAACATTCCTTTTGATAGAGCAGTTTGCAAACACTCTTTTTGTAGAATCTGCAAGTGGAGATTTGGACCGCTTTGAGGCCTGTGGTAGTGAAGGAAAGAACTTCATATAAAAACCAGACGGTAGCACTCTCAGAAAATTCTTTGTGACGATGGAGTTTAACTCAGGGAGCTGAACATTCGTTATGATGGAGCAGTTTCCAAACACACGTTTTGTAGAATCTGCAAGGGGATATTTGGACCTCTCTGAGGATTTCGTTGGAAACGGGATCAACTTCCCATAACTGAACGGAAGCAAACTCAGAACATTCTTTGTGATGTTTGTATTCAACTCACAGAGTTGAACCTTCCTTTGATAGTTCAGGTTTGCAACACCCTTGTAGTAGAATCTGCAAGTGTATATTTTGACCACTTTGTAGCCTTCGTTTGAAACGTCTATATCTTCACATCAAACCTAGACAGGAAGCATTCTCAGAAAGTTTTCTGCGATGACTGCATTCAACTCACAGAGTTGAACAATCCTTCTGATGGAGCAGTTTTGAAACCCTCTTTCTTTGGAATCTGCAAGGGGATATGTGGACCTCTTTGAAGATTTCACTGGAAACGGGATCATCTTCACATAAAAACTAAACAGAAGCATTCTCGGAAACTACTTTGTGATGTTTGTATTCAACTCCCAGAGTTGAACTTTCCTTTGGAAAGAGCAGCTATGAAACACTCTTTTTCGAGAATCTGCAAGTGGACGTTTGGAGGGCTTTGAGGCCTGTGGTGGAAAAGGAAATATCTTCACACAAAAACCAGATAGAAGCATTCTCAGAAACTACTTTGTGAGGATGGCATTCAACTCATGGAGTTGAACAATCCTATTGATAGAGCAGATTGGAATCACTCTTTTTATAGTATCTGCAAATGGAGATTTGGACTGCTTTGAGGCCTACGGTAGTACAGGAAGGAACTTCATATAAAAGGCAAACGGAAGCATTCTCAGAATATTCTTTGTGATGATGGAGTTTCACTCACAGAGCTGAACATGCCTTTTGATGGAGCAGTTTCCAAATACACTTTTGGTAGAATCTGCAGGTGGATATTTGGAGCTCTCTGAGGATTTCGTTGGAAACGGGAATAATTTCCCATAACTAAACACAAACACTCTGAGAAAGTTCTTCATGATGAATGCATTTAACTAACAGAGATGAACCTGCCTTTGAGAGTTCAGGTTCGAAACACTCTTTCTGTAGAATCTGCAAGTGGATATTTGGACCACTGGGTGGCCTTCGTTCGAAACGGGTATATGTTCACGTAAAAACTAAAGAGAAGCATTCTCAGAAACTTCTGAGTGATGATTGCATTCAAGTCACACAGTTGAACCCTCCTTTTGATGGAGCAGTTTTGAAACTGTCTTTTTGTAGAATCTGTAAGTGCATACGTGGACCTCTTTGAAGATTTCTTTGGAAACGGGAATATTTCCACAGAAAAACTAAACTGAAGCATTCTCAGAAACTGCTTTGTGATGTTTGTGTTCGAGCCACAGAGTTTAACATTGCTTTTCATAGAGCAGTTTTGAAATATTCTTTTGGCAGAATCTGCAAGTGGACATTTGGAGCGCTTTCAGGCCTGTGGTGGAAAAGGCCTGAAAGCCTTTTCCTTTATCTTCACAGGAAGACGAGAGAGAAGCATTGTCAGAAACTTCTTTTTGATGATTGCATTCAACTCACAGAGTTGAAGATTCCTTTTGAAACAGCAGTTTCGAAACACTCTTTCTGTGGGATCCGCAAGGGGATATTTGGACCTCTTTGAAGGTTTCGTTGGAAACGGGATAATCTTCACCTAAAAGCTAAACGGAAGCATTCTCAGAAACTTCTTTGGGATGTTTGCATTCACCTCACAGAGTTGAACTTTCCCTTTGATAGCGCAGCTTCGACACACTTTTTCTACAATGTGCAAGTGGATATTTAGCGGGCTTGGAGGACTGTGTTGGAAAAGGAAATATCTTCTCCTAAAAACGACATAGAAGCATTCTCAGAAACTGCTCTGTGATGATTGCATTAAACTCCCAGAGTTGAACATTCCTTTTGATAGAGCAGTTTGCAAACACTCTTTTTGTAGAATCTGCCAGTGGAGATTTGGACCGCTTTGAGGCCTGTGGTAGTAAAGGAAAGAACTTCATATAAAAACCAGACGGTAGCACTCTCAGAAAATTCTTTGTGACGATGGAGTTTAACTCAGAGAGCTGAACATTCGTTATGATGGAGCAGTTTCCAAACACACGTTTTGTAGGATCTGCAAGGGGATATTTGGACCTCTCTGAGGATTTCGTTGGAAACGGGATCAACTTCCCATAACTGAACGGAAGCAAACTCAGAACATTCTTTGTGATGTTTGTATTCAACTCACAGAGTTGAACCTTCCTTTGATAGTTCAGGTTTGCAACACCCTTGTAGTAGAATCTGCAAGTGTATATTTTGACCACTTTGTAGCCTTTGTTTGAAACGTCTATATCTTCACATCAAACCTAGACAGAAGCATTCTCAGAAAGTTTTCTGCGATGACTGCATTCAACTCACAGAGTTGAACAATCCTTCTGATGGAGCAGTTTTGAAACCCTCTTTCTTTGGAATCTGCAAGGGGATATGTGGACCTCTTTGAAGATTTCACTGGAAACGGGATCATCTTCACATAAAAACTAAACAGAAGCATTCTCGGAAACTACTTTGTGATGTTTGTATTCAACTCCCAGAGTTGAACTTTCCTTTTGAAAGAGCAGCTATGAAACACTCTTTTTCGAGAATCTGCAAGTGGACGTTTGGAGGGCTTTGAGGCCTGTGGTGGAAAAGGAAATATCTTCACATAAAAACTAGATAGAAGCATTCTCAGAAACGACTTTGTGAGGATGGCATTCAACTCATGGAGTTGAACAATCCTATTGATAGAGCAGATTGGAATCACTCTTTTTGTAGAATCTGCAAATGGAGATTTGGACTGCTTTGAGGCCTACGGTAGTATAGGAAGGAACTTCATATAAAAGGCAAACGGAAGCATTCTCAGAATATTCTTTGTGATGATGGAGTTTCACTCACAGAGCTGAACATGCCTTTTGATGGAGCAGTTTCCAAATACACTTTTGGTAGAATCTGCAGGTGGATATTTGGACCTCTCTGAGGATTTCGTTGGAAATGGCAATAATTTCCCATAACTAAACACAAACACGCTGAGAAAGTTCTTCATGATGAATGCATTGAACTCGCAGAGATGAACCTGCCTTTGAGAGTTCAGGTTCGAAACACTCTTTCTGTAGAATCTGCAAGTGGATATTTGGACCACTGGGTGGCCTTCGTTCGAAACGGGTATATGTTCACGTAAAAACTAAAGAGAAGCATTCTCAGAAACTTCTGAGTGATGATTGCATTCAAGTCACACAGTTGAACCCTCCTTTTGATGGAGCAGTTTTGAAACTGTCTTTTTGTAGAATCTGTAAGTGGATACGTGGACCTCTTTGAAGATTTCTTTGGAAACGGGAATATTTCCACAGAAAAACTAAACTGAAGCATTCTCAGAAACTGCTTTGTGATGTTTGTGTTCGAGCCACAGAGTTTAACATTGCTTTTCATAGAGCAGTTTTGAAATATTCTTTTCACAGAAACTGCAAGTGGACATTTGGAGCGCTTTCAGGCCTGTGGTGGAAAAGGCCTGAAAGCCTTTTCCTTTATCTTCACAGAAAGACGAGAGAGAAGCATTGTCAGAAACTTCTTTGTGATGATTGCATTCAACTCACAGAGTTGAAGATTCCTTTTGAAACAGCAGTTTCGAAACACTCTTTCTGTGGGATCCGCAAGGGGATATTTGGACCTCTTTGAAGGTTTCGTTGGAAACGGGATAATCTTCACCTAAAAGCTAAACGGAAGCATTCTCAGAAACTTCTTTGGGATGTTTGCATTCACCTCACAGAGTTGAACTTTCCCTTTGATAGCGCAGCTTTGACACACTTTTTCTACAATGTGCAAGGGGCTATTTAGCGGGCTTGGAGGACTGTGTTGGAAAAGGAAATATCTTCTCCTAAAAACGACATAGAAGCATTCTCAGAAACTGCTCTGTGATGATTGCATTCAACTCCCAGAGTTGAACATTCCTTTTGATAGAGCAGTTTGCAAACACTCTTTTTGTAGAATCTGCAAGTGGAGATTTGGACCGCTTTGAGGCCTGTGGTAGTGAAGGAAAGAACTTCATATAAAAACCAGACGGTAGCACTCTCAGAAAATTCTTTGTGACGATGGAGTTTAACTCAGGGAGCTGAACATTCGTTATGATGGAGCAGTTTCCAAACACACGTTTTGTAGAATCTGCGAGGGGATATTTGGACCTCTCTGAGGATTTCGTTGGAAACGGGATCAACTTCCCATAACTGAACGGAAGCAAACTCAGAACATTCTTTGTGATGTTTGTATTCAACTCACAGAGTTGAACCATCCTTTGATAGTTCAGGTTTGTAACACCCTTGTAGTAGAATCTGCAAGTGTATATTTTGACCACTTTGTAGCCTTCGTTTGAAACGTCTATATCTTCACATCAAACCTAGACAGAAGCATTCTCAGAAAGTTTTCTGCGATGACTGCATTCAACTCACAGAGTTGAACAATCCTTCTGATGGAGCAGTTTTGAAACCCTCTTTCTTTGGAATCTGCAAGGGGATATGTGGACCTCTTTGAAGATTTCACTGGAAACGGGATCATCTTCACATAAAAACTAAACAGAAGCATTCTCGGAAACTATTTTGTGATGTTTGTATTCAACTCCCAGAGTTGAACTTTCCTTTTGAAAGAGCAGCTATGAAACACTCTTTTTCGAGAATCTGCAAGTGGACGTTTGGAGGGCTTTGAGGCCTGTGGTGGAAAAGGAAATATCTTCACACAAAAACCAGATAGAAGCATTCTCAGAATATTCTTTGTGATGATGGAGTTTCACTCACAGAGCTGAACATGCCTTTTGATGGAGCAGTTTCCAAATACACTTTTGGTAGAATCTGCAGGTGGATATTTGGAGCTCTCTGAGGATTTCGTTGGAAACGGGAATAATTTCCCATAACTAAACACAAACACTCTGAGAAAGTTCTTCATGATGAATGCATTTAACTAACAGAGATGAACCTGCCTTTGAGAGTTCAGGTTCGAAACACTCTTTCTGTAGAATCTGCAAGTGGATATTTGGACCACTGGGTGGCCTTCGTTCGAAACGGGTATATGTTCACGTAAAAACTAAAGAGAAGCATTCTCAGAAACTTCTGAGTGATGATTGCATTCAAGTCACACAGTTGAACCCTCCTTTTGATGGAGCAGTTTTGAAACTGTCTTTTTGTAGAATCTGTAAGTGCATACGTGGACCTCTTTGAAGATTTCTTTGGAAACGGGAATATTTCCACAGAAAAACTAAACTGAAGCATTCTCAGAAACTGCTTTGTGATGTTTGTGTTCGAGCCACAGAGTTTAACATTGCTTTTCATAGAGCAGTTTTGAAATATTCTTTTGGCAGAATCTGCAGGTGGACATTTGGAGCGCTTTCAGGCCTGTGGTGGAAAAGGCCTGAAAGCCTTTTCCTTTATCTTCACAGAAAGACGAGAGAGAAGCATTGTCAGAAACTTCTTTGTGATGATTGCATTCAACTCACAGAGTTGAAGATTCCTTTTGAAACAGCAGTTTCGAAACACTCTTTCTGTGGGATCCGCAAGGGGATATTTGGACCTCTTTGAAGGTTTCGTTGGAAACGGGATAATCTTCACCTAAAAGCTAAACGGAAGCATTCTCAGAAACTTCTTTGGGATGTTTGCATTCACCTGACAGAGTTGAACTTTCCCTTTGATAGCGCAGCTTTGACACACTTTTTCTACAATGTGCAAGGGGCTATTTAGCGGGCTTGGAGGACTGTGTTGGAAAAGGAAATATCTTCTCCTAAAAACGACATAGAAGCATTCTCAGAAACTGCTCTGTGATGATTGCATTCAACTCCCAGAGTTGAACATTCCTTTTGATAGAGCAGTTTGCAAACACTCTTTTTGTAGAATCTGCAAGTGGAGATTTGGACCGCTTTGAGGCCTGTGGTAGTGAAGGAAAGAACTTCATATAAAAACCAGACGGTAGCACTCTCAGAAAATTCTTTGTGACGATGGAGTTTAACTCAGGGAGCTGAACATTCGTTATGATGGAGCAGTTTCCAAACACACGTTTTGTAGAATCTGCGAGGGGATATTTGGACCTCTCTGAGGATTTCGTTGGAAACGGGATCAACTTCCCATAACTGAACGGAAGCAAACTCAGAACATTCTTTGTGATGTTTGTATTCAACTCACAGAGTTGAACCTTCCTTTGATAGTTCAGGTTTGCAACACCCTTGTAGTAGAATCTGCAAGTGTATATTTTGACCACTTTGTAGCCTTCGTTTGAAACGTCTATATCTTCACATCAAACCTAGACAGAAGCACTCTCAGAAAGTTTTCTGCGATGACTGCATTCAACTCACAGAGTTGAACAATCCTTCTGATGGAGCAGTTTTGAAACCCTCTTTCTTTGGAATCTGCAAGGGGATATGTGGACCTCTTTGAAGATTTCACTGGAAACGGGATCATCTTCACATAAAAACTAAACAGAAGCATTCTCGGAAACTACTTTGTGATGTTTGTATTCAACTCCCAGAGTTGAACTTTCCTTTTGAAAGAGCAGCTATGAAACACTCTTTTTCGAGAATCTGCAAGTGGACGTTTGGAGGGCTTTGAGGCCTGTGGTGGAAAAGGAAATATCTTCACATAAAAACTAGATAGAAGCATTCTCAGAAACGACTTTGTGAGGATGGCATTCAACTCATGGAGTTGAACAATCCTATTGATAGAGCAGATTGGAATCACTCTTTTTGTAGAATCTGCAAATGGAGATTTGGACTGCTTTGAGGCCTACGGTAGTATAGGAAGGAACTTCATATAAAAGGCAAACGGAAGCATTCTCAGAATATTCTTTGTGATGATGGAGTTTCACTCACAGAGCTGAACATGCCTTTTGATGGAGCAGTTTCCAAATACACTTTTGGTAGAATCTGCAGGTGGATATTTGGACCTCTCTGAGGATTTCGTTGGAAACGGGAATAATTTCCCATACCTAAACACAAACACTCTGAGAAAGTTCTTCATGATGAATGCATTGAACTCGCAGAGATGAACCTGCCTTTGAGAGTTCAGGTTCGAAACACTCTTTCTGTAGAATCTGCAAGTGGATATTTGGACCACTGTGTGGCCTTCGTTCGAAACGGTTATATGTTCACGTAAAAACTAAAGAGAAGCATTCTCAGAAACTTCTGAGTGATGATTGCATTCAAGTCACACGGTTGAACCCTCCTTTTGATTGAGCAGTTTTGAAACTGTCTTTTTGTAGAATCTGTAAGTGGATACGTGGACCTCTTTGAAGATTTCTTTGGAAACGGGAATATTTCCACAGAAAAACTAAACTGAAGCATTCTCAGAAACTGCTTTGTGATGTTTGTGTTCGAGCCACAGAGTTTAACATTGCTTTTCATAGAGCAGTTTTGAAATATTCTTTTGGCAGAATCTGCAAGTGGACATTTGGAGCGCTTTCAGGCCTGTGGTTGAAAAGGCCTGAAAGCCTTTTCCTTTATCTTCACAGAAAGACGAGAGAGAAGCATTGTCAGAAACTTCTTTGTGATGATTGCATTCAACTCACAGAGTTGAAGATTCCTTTTGAAACAGCAGTTTCGAAACACTCTTTCTGTGGGATCCGCAAGGGGATATTTGGACCTCTTTGAAGGTTTCGTTGGAAACGGGATAATCTTCACCTAAAAGCTAAACGGAAGCATTCTCAGAAACTTCTTTGGGATGTTTGCATTCACCTCACAGAGTTGAACTTTCCCTTTGATAGCGTAGCTTTGACACACTTTTTCTACAATGTGCAAGTGGCTATTTAGCGGGCTTGGAGGACTGTGTTGGAAAAGGAAATATCTTCTCCTAAAAACGACATAGAAGCATTCTCAGAAACTGCTCTGTGATGATTGCATTCAACTCCCAGAGTTGAACATTCCTTTTGATAGAGCAGTTTGCAAACACTCTTTTTGTAGAATCTGCAAGTGGAGATTTGGACCGCTTTGAGGCCTGTGGTAGTGAAGGAAAGAACTTCATATAAAAACCAGACGGTAGCACTCTCAGAAAATTCTTTGTGACGATGGAGTTTAACTCAGGGAGCTGAACATTCGTTATGATGGAGCAGTTTCCAAACACACGTTTTGTAGAATCTGCAAGGGGATATTTGGACCTCTCTGAGGATTTCGTTGGAAACGGGATCAACTTCCCATAACTGAACGGAAGCAAACTCAGAACATTCTTTGTGATGTTTGTATTCAACTCACAGAGTTGAACCTTCCTTTTATAGTTCAGGTTTGCAACACCCTTGTAGTAGAATCTGCAAGTGTATATTTTGACCACTTTGTAGCCTTCATTTGAAACGTCTATATCTTCACATCAAACCTAGACAGAAGCATTCTCAGAAAGTTTTCTGCGATGACTGCATTCAACTCACAGAGTTGAACAATCCTTCTGATGGAGCAGTTTTGAAACCCTCTTTCTTTGGAATCTGCAAGGGGATATGTGGACCTCTTTGAAGATTTCACTGGAAACGGGATCATCTTCACATAAAAACTAAACTGAAGCATTCTCGGAAACTACTTTGTGATGTTTGTATTCAACTCCCAGAGTTGAACTTTCCTTTTGAAAGAGCAGCTATGAAACACTCTTTTTCGAGAATCTGCAAGTGGACGTTTGGAAGGCTTTGAGGCCTGTGGTGGAAAAGGAAATATCTTCACATAAAAACTAGATAGAAGCATTCTCAGAAACGACTTTGTGAGGATGGCATTCAATTCATGGAGTTGAACAATCCTATTGATAGAGCAGATTGGAATCACTCTTTTTGTAGAATCTGCAAATGGAGATTTGGACTGCTTTGAGGCCTACGGTAGTATAGGAAGGAACTTCATATAAAAGGCAAACGGAAGCATTCTCAGAATATTCTTTGTGATGATGGAGTTTCACTCACAGAGCTGAACATGCCTTTTGATGGAGCAGTTTCCAAATACACTTTTGGTAGAATGTGCAGGTGCATATTTGGAGCTCTCTGAGGAGTTCGTTGGAAACGGGAATAATTTCCCATAACTAAACACAAACACTCTGAGAAAGTTCTTCATGATGAATGCATTTAACTCGCAGAGATGAACCTGCCTTTGAGAGTTCAGGTTCGAAACACTCTTTCTGTAGAATCTGCAAGTGGATATTTGGACCACTGGCTGGCCTTCGTTCGAAACGGGTATATGTTCACGTAAAAACTAAAGAGAAGCATTCTCAGAAACTTCTGAGTGATGATTACATTCAAGTCACACAGTTGAACCCTCCTTTTGATGGAGCAGTTTTGAAACTGTCTTTTTGTAGAATCTGTAAGTGGATACGTGGACCTCTTTGAATATTTCTTTGGAAACGGGAATATTTCCACAGAAAAACTAAACTGAAGCATTCTCAGAAACTGCTTTGTGATGTTTGTGTTCGAGCCACAGAGTTTAACATTGCTTTTCATAGAGCAGTTTTGAAATATTCTTTTGGCAGAATCTGCAAGTGGACATTTGGAGCGCTTTCAGGCCTGTGGTGGAAAAGGCCTGAAAGCCTTTTCCTTTATCTTCACAGAAAGACGAGAGAGAAACATTGTCAGAAACTTCTTTGTGATGATTGCATTCAACTCACAGAGTTGAAGATTCCTTTTGAAACAGCAGTTTCGAAACACTCTTTCTGTGGGATCCGCAAGGGGATATTTGGACCTCTTTGAAGATTTCGTTGCAAACGGGATAATCTTCACCTAAAAGCTAAACGGAAGCATTCTCAGAAACTTCTTTGGGATGTTTGCATTCACCTCACAGAGTTGAACTTTCCCTTTGATAGCGCAGCTTTGACACACTTTTTCTACAATGTGCAAGTGGCTATTTAGCGGGCTTGGAGGACTGTGTTGGAAAAGGAAATATCTTCTCCTAAAAACGACATAGAAGCATTCTCAGAAACTGCTCTGTGATGATTGCATTCAACTCCCAGAGTTGAACATTCCTTTTGATAGAGCAGTTTGCAAACACTCTTTTTGTAGAATCTGCAAGTGGAGATTTGGACCGCTTTGAGGCCTGTGGTAGTGAAGGACAGAACTTCATATAAAAACCAGACGGTAGCACTCTCAGAAAATTCTTTGTGACGATGGAGTTTAACTCAGGGAGCTGAACATTCGTTATGACGGAGCAGTTTCCAAACACACGTTTTGTAGAATCTGCGAGGGGATATTTGGACCTCTCTGAGGATTTCGTTGGAAACGGGATCAACTTCCCATAACTGAACGGAAGCAAACTCAGAACATTCTTTGTGACGTTTGTATTCAACTCACAGAGTTGAACCTTCCTTTGATAGTTCAGGTTTGCAACACCCTTGTAGTAGAATCTGCAAGTGTATATTTTGACCACTTTGTAGCCTTCGTTTGAAACGTCTATATCTTCACATCAAACCTAGACAGAAGCATTCTCAGAAAGTTTTCTGCGATGACTGCATTCAACTCACAGAGTTGAACAATCCTTCTGATGGAGCAGTTTTGAAACCCTCTTTCTTTGGAATCTGCAAGGGGATATGTGGACCTCTTTGAAGATTTCACTGGAAACGGGATCATCTTCACATAAAAACTAAACAGGAAGCATTCTCGGAAACTACTTTGTGATGTTTGTATTCAACTCCCAGAGTTGAACTTTCCTTTTGAAAGAGCAGCTATGAAACACTCTTTTTCGAGAATCTGCAAGTGGACGTTTGGAGGGCTTTGAGGCCTGTGGTGGAAAAGGAAATATCTTCACATAAAAACTAGATAGAAGCATTCTCAGAAACTACTTTGTGAGGATGGCATTCAACTCATGGAGTTGAACAATCCTATTGATAGAGCAGATTGGAATCACTCTTTTTGTAGAATCTGCAAATGGAGATTTGGACTGCTTTGAGGCCTACGGTCGTATAGGAAGGAACTTCAGATAAAAGGCAAACGGAAGCATTCTCAGAATATTCTTTGTGATGATGGAGTTTCACTCACAGAGCTGAACATGCCTTTTGATGGAGCAGTTTCCAAATACACTTTTGGTAGAATCTGCAGGTGGATATTTGGACCACTCTGAGGATTTCGTTGGAAACGGGAATAATTTCCCATAACTAAACACAAACACTCTGAGAAAGTTCTTCATGATGAATGCATTTAACTTGCAGAGATGAACCTGCCTTTGAGAGTTCAGGTTCGAAACACTCTTTCTGTATAATCTGCAAGTGGATATTTGGACCACTGGGTGGCCTTCGTTCGAAACGGGTATATGTTCACGTAAAAACTAAAGAGAAGCATTCTCAGAAACTTCTGAGTGATGATTGCATTCAAGTCACACAGTTGAACCCTCCTTTTGATGGAGCAGTTTTGAAACTGTCTTTTTGTAGAATCTGTAAGTGGATACGTGGACCTCTTTGAAGATTTCTTTGGAAACGGGAATATTTCCACAGAAATCTAAACTGAAACATTCTCAGAAACCGCTTTGTGATGTTTGTGTTCCAGCCACAGAGTTTAACATTGCTTTTCATAGAGCAGTTTTGAAATATTCTTTTCGCAGAATCTGCAAGTGGACATTTGGAGCGCTTTCAGGCCTGTGGTGGAAAAGGCCTGAAAGCCTTTTCCTTTATCTTCACAGAAAGACGAGAGAGAAGTATTGTCAGAAACTTCTTTGTGATGATTGCATTCAACTCACAGAGTTGAAGATTCCTTTTGAAACAGCAGTTTCGAAACACTCTTTCTGTGGGATCCGCAAGGGGATATTTGGACCTCTTTGAAGGTTTCGTTGGAAACGGGATAATCTTCACCTAAAAGCTAAACGGAAGCATTCTCAGAAACTTCTTTGGGATGTTTGCATTCACCTCACAGAGTTGAACTTTCCCTTTGATAGCGCAGCTTTGACACACTTTTTCTACAATGTGCAAGTGGCTATTTAGCGGGCTTGGAGGACTGTGTTGGAAAAGGAAATATCTTCTCCTAAAAACGACATAGAAGCATTCTCAGAAACTGCTCTGTGACGATTGCATTCAACTCCCAGAGTTGAACATTCCTTTTGATAGAGCAGTTTGCAAACACTCTTTTTGTAGAATCTGCAAGTGGAGATTTGGACCGCTTTGAGGCCTGTGGTAGTGAAGGAAAGAACTTCATATAAAAACCAGACGGTAGCACTCTCAGAAAATTCTTTGTGACGATGGAGTTTAACTCAGAGAGCTGAACATTCGTTATGATGGAGCAGTTTCCAAACACACGTTTCGTAGAATCTGCAAGGGGATATTTGGACCTCTCTGAGGATTTCGTTGGAAACGGGATCAACTTCCCATAACTGAACGGAAGCAAACTCAGAACATTCTTTGTGATGTTTGTATTCAACTCACAGAGTTGAACCTTCCTTTCATAGTTCAGGTTTGCAACACCCTTGTAGTAGAATCTGCAAGTGTATATTTTGACCACTTTGTAGCCTTCGTTTGAAACGTCTATATCTTCACATCAAACCTAGACAGAAGCATTCTCAGAAAGTTTTCTGCGATGACTGCATTCAACTCACCAGAGTTGAACAATCCTTTTGATGGAGCAGTTTTGAAACCCTCTTTCTTTGGAATCTGCAAGGGGATATGTGGACCTCTTTGAAGATTTCACTGGAAACGGGATCATCTTCACATAAAAACTAAACAGAAGCATTCTCGGAAACTATTTTGTGATGTTTGTATTCAACTCCCAGAGTTGAACTTTCCTTTTGAAAGAGCAGCTATGAAACACTCTTTTTCGAGAATCTGCAAGTGGACGTTTGGAGGGCTTTGAGGCCTGTGGTGGAAAAGGAAATATCTTCACACAAAAACCAGATAGAAGCATTCTCAGAAACTACTTTGTGAGGATGGCATTCAACTCATGGAGTTGAACAATCCTATTGATAGAGCAGATTGGAATCACTCTTTTTGTAGAATCTGCAAATGGAGATTTGGACTGCTTTGAGGCCTACGGTGGTACAGGAAGGAAGTTCATATAAAAGGCAAACGGAAGCATTCTCAGAATATTCTTTGTGATGATGGAGTTTCACTCACAGAGCTGAACATGCCTTTTGATGGAGCAGTTTCCAAATACACTTTTGGTAGAATCTACAGGTGGATATTTGGAGCTCTCTGAGGATTTCGTTGGAAACGGGAATAATTTCCCATAACTAAACACAAACAATCTGAGAAAGTTCTTCATGATGAATGCATTTAACTCGCAGAGATGGACCTGCCTTTGAGAGATCAGGTTCGAAACACTCTTTCTGTAGAATCTGCAAGTGGATATTTGGACCACTGGGTGGCCTTCGTTCGAAACGGGTATATGTTCACGTAAAAACTAAAGAGAAGCATTCTCAGAAACTTCTGAGTGATGATTGCATTCAAGTCACACAGTTGAACCCTCCTTTTGATGGAGCAGTTTTGAAACTGTCTTTTTGTAGAATCTGTAAGTGGATACGTGGACCTCTTTGAAGATTTCTTTGGAAACGGGAATATTTTCACAGAAAAACTAAACTGAAGCATTCTCAGAAACCGCTTTGTGATGTTTGTGTTCGAGCCACAGAGTTTAACATTGCTTTTCATAGAGCAGTTTTGAAATATTCTTTTGGCAGAATCTGCAAGTGGACATTTGGAGCGCTTTCAGGCCTGTGGTGGAAAAGGCCTGAAAGCCTTTTCCTTTATCTTCACAGAAAGACGAGAGAGAAGCATTGTCAGAAACTTCTTTGTGATGATTGCATTCAACTCACAGAGTTGAAGATTCCTTTTGAAACAGCAGTTTCGAAACACTCTTTCTGTGGGATCCGCAAGGGGATATTTGGACCTCTTTGAAGCTTTCGTTGGAAACGGGATAATCTTCACCTAAAAGCTAAACGGAAGCACTCTCAGAAACTTCTTTGGGATGTTTGCATTCACCTCACAGAGTTGAACTTTCCCTTTGATAGCGCAGCTTTGACACACTTTTTTTCTACAATGTGCAAGTGGATATTTAGCGGGCGTGGAGGACTGTGTTGGAAAAGGAAATATCTTCTCCTAAAAACGACATAGAAGCATTCTCAGAAACTGCTCTGTGATGATTGCATTCAACTCCCAGAGTTGAACATTCCTTTTGATAGAGCAGTTTGCAAACACTCTTTTTGTAGAATCTGCAAGTGGAGATTTGGACCGCTTTGAGGCCTGTGGTAGTGAAGGAAAGAACTTCATATAAAAACCAGACGGTAGCACTCTCAGAAAATTCTTTGTGACGATGTAGTTTAACTCAGGGAGCTGAACATTCGTTATGATGGAGCAGTTTCCAAACACACGTTTTGTAGAATCTGCGAGGGGATATTTGGACCTCTCTGAGGATTTCGTTGGAAACGGGATCAACTTCCCATAACTGAACGGAAGCAAACTCAGAACATTCTTTGTGATGTTTGTATTCAACTCACAGAGTTGAACCTTCCTTTGATAGTTCAGGTTTGCAACACCCTTGTAGTAGAATCTGCAAGTGTATATTTTGACCACTTTGTAGCCTTCGTTTGAAACGTCTATACCTTCACATCAAACCTAGACAGAAGCATTCTCAGAAAGTTTTCTGCGATGACTGCATTCAACTCACAGAGTTGAACAATCCTTCTGATGGAGCAGTTTTGAAACCCTCTTTCTTTGGAATCTGCAAGGGGATATGTGGACCTCTTTGAAGATTTCACTGGAAACGGGATCATCTTCACATAAAAACTAAACAGAAGCATTCTCGGAAACTACTTTGTGATGTTTGTATTCAACTCCCAGAGTTGAACTTTCCTTTTGAAAGAGCAGCTATGAAACACTCTTTTTCGAGAATCTGCAAGTGGACGTTTGGAGGGCTTTGAGGCCTGTGGTGGAAAAGGAAATATCTTCACATAAAAACTAGATAGAAGCATTCTCAGAAACGACATTGTGAGGATGGCATTCAACACATGGAGTTGAACAATCCTATTGATAGAGCAGATTGGAATCACTCTTTTTGTAGAATCTGCAAATGGAGATTTGGACTGCTTTGAGGCCTACGGTAGTATAGGAAGGAACTTCATATAAAAGGCAAACGGAAGCATTCTCAGAATATTCTTTGTGATGATGGAGTTTCACTCACAGAGCTGAACATGCCTTTTGATGGAGCAGTTTCCAAATACACTTTTGGTAGAATCTGCAGGTGGATATTTGGAGCTCTCTGAGGATTTCGTTGGAAACGGGAATAATTTCCCATAACTAAACACAAACACTCTGAGAAAGTTCTTCATGATGAATGCATTTAACTCGCAGAGATGAACCTGCCTTTGAGAGTTCAGGTTCGAAACACTCTTTCTGTAGAATCTGCAAGTGGATATTTGGACCACTGGGTGGCCTTCGTTCGAAACGGATATATGTTCACGTAAAAACTAAAGAGAAGCATTCTCAGAAACTTCTGAGTGATGATTGCATTCAAGTCACACAGTTGAACCCTCCTTTTGATGGAGCAGTTTTGAAACTGTCTTTTTGTAGAATCTGTAAGTGGATACGTGGACCTCTTTGAAGATTTCTTTGGAAACGGGAATATTTCCACAGAAAAACTAAACTGAAACATTCTCAGAAACCGCTTTGTGATGTTTGTGTTCCAGCCACAGAGTTTAACATTGCTTTTCATAGAGCAGTTTTGAAATATTCTTTTCGCAGAATCTGCAAGTGGACATTTGGAGCGCTTTCAGGCCTGTGGTGGAAAAGGCCTGAAAGCCTTTTCCTTTATCTTCACAGAAAGACGAGAGAGAAGCATTGTCAGAAACTTCTTTGTGATGATTGCATTCAACTCACAGAGTTGAAGATTCCTTTTGAAACAGCAGTTTCGAAACACTCTTTCTGTGGGATCCGCAAGGGGATATTTGGACCTCTTTGAAGGTTTCGTTGGAAACGGGATAATCTTCACCTAAAAGCTAAACGGAAGCATTCTCAGAAACTTCTTTGGGATGTTTGCATTCACCTCACAGAGTTGAACTTTCCCTTTGATAGCGCAGCTTCGACACACTTTTTCTACAATGTGCAAGTGGCTATTTAGCGGGCTTGGAGGACTGTGTTGGAAAAGGAAATATCTTCTCCTAAAAACGACATAGAAGCATTCTCAGAAACTGCTCTGTGATGATTGCATTCAACTCCCAGAGTTGAACATTCCTTTTGATAGAGCAATTTGCAAACACTCTTTTTGTAGAATCTGCAAGTGGAGATTTGGACCGCTTTGAGGCCTGTGGTAGTAAAGGAAAGAACTTCATATAAAAAGTAGACGGTAGCACTCTCAGAAAATTCTTTGTGACGATGGAGTTTAACTCAGAGAGCTGAACATTCGTTATGATGGAGCAGTTTCCAAACACACGTTTTGTAGAATCTGCAAGGGGATATTTGGACCTCTCTGAGGATTTCGTTGGAAACGGGATCAACTTCCCATAACTGAACGGAAGCAAACTCAGAACATTCTTTGTGATGTTTGCATTCATCTCACAGAGTTGAACCTTCCTTTGATAGTTGAGGTTTGCAACACCCTTGTAGTAGAATCTGCAAGTGTATATTTTGACCACATTGTAGCCTTCGTTTGAAACGTCTATATCTTCACATCAAACCTAGACAGAAGCATCCTCAGAAAGTTTTCTGCGATGACTGCATTCAACTCACAGAGTTGAACAATCCTTTTGATGGAGCAGTTTTGAAACCCTCTTTCTTTGGAATCTGCAAGGGGATATGTGGACCTCTTTGAAGATTTCACTGGAAACGGGATCATCTTCACATAAGAACTAAACAGAAGCATTCTCGGAAACTACTTTGTGATGTTTGTATTCAACTCCCAGAGTTGAACTTTCCTTTTGAAAGAGCAGCTATGAAACACTCTTTTTCGAGAATCTGCAAGTGGACGTTTGGAGGGCTTTGAGGCCTGTGGTGGAAAAGGAAATATCTTCACATAAAAACTACATAGGAGCATTCTCAGAAACTACTTTGTGAGGATGGCATTCAACTCATGGAGTTGAACAATCCTATTGATAGAGCAGATTGGAATCACTCTTTTTGTAGAATCTGCAAATGGAGATTTGGACTGCTTTGAGGCCTACGGTCGTATAGGAAGGAACTTCATATAAAAGGCAAACGGAAGCATTCTCAGAATATTCTTTGTGATGATGGAGTTTCACTCACAGAGCTGAACATGCCTTTTGATGGAGCAGTTTCCAAATACACTTTTGGTAGAATCAGCAGGTGGATATTTGGAGCTCTCTGAGGATTTCGTTGGAAACGGGAATAATTTCCCATAACTAAACACAAACACTCTGAGAAAGTTCTTCATGATGAATGCATTTAACTTGCAGAGATGAACCTGCCTTTGAGAGTTCAGGTTCGAAACACTCTTTCTGTATAATCTGCAAGTGGATATTTGGACCACTGGGTGGCCTTCGTTCGAAACGGGTATATGTTCACGTAAAAACTAAAGAGAAGCATTCTCAGAAACTTCTGAGTGATGATTGCATTCAAGTCACACGGTTGAACCCTCCTTTTGATGGAGCAGTTTTGAAACTGTCTTTTTGTAGAATCTGTAAGTGGATACGTGGACCTCTTTGAAGATTTCTTTGGAAACGGGAATATTTCCACAGAAAAACTAAACTGAAGCATTCTCAGAAACTGCTTTGTGATGTTTGTGTTCGAGCCACAGAGTTTAACATTGCTTTTCATAGAGCAGTTTTGAAATATTCTTTTGGCAGAATCTGCAAGTGGACATTTGGAGCGCTTTCAGGCCTGTGGTGGAAAAGGCCTGAAAGCCTTTTCCTTTATCTTCACAGAAAGACGAGAGAGAAGCATTGTCAGAAACTTCTTTGTGATGATTGCATTCAACTCACAGAGTTGAAGATTCCTTTTGAAACAGCAGTTTCGAAACACTCTTTCTGTGGGATCCGCAAGGGGATATTTGGACCTCTTTGAAGGTTTCGTTGGAAACGGGATAATCTTCACCTAAAAGCTAAACGGAAGCATTCTCAGAAACTTCTTTGGGATGTTTGCATTCACCTGACAGAGTTGAACTTTCCCTTTGATAGCGCAGCTTTGACACACTTTTTCTACAATGTGCAAGTGGCTATTTAGCGGGCTTGGAGGACTGTGTTGGAAAAGGAAATATCTTCTCCTAAAAACGACATAGAAGCATTCTCAGAAACTGCTCTGTGATGATTGCATTCAACTCCCAGAAGTTGAACATTCCTTTTGATAGAGCAGTTTGCAAACACTCTTTTTGTAGAATCTGCAAGTGGAGATTTGGACCGCTTTGAGGCCTGTGGTAGTAAAGGAAAGAACTTCATATAAAAACTAGACGGTAGCACTCTCAGAAAATTCTTTGTGACGATGGAGTTTAACTCAGAGAGCTGAACATTCGTTATGATGGAGCAGTTTCCAAACACACGTTTTGCAGAATCTGCAAGGGGATATTTGGACCTCTCTGAGGATTTCGTTGGAAACGGGATCAACTTCCCATAACTGAACGGAAGCAAACTCAGAACATTCTTTGTGATGTTTGTATTCAACTCACAGAGTTGAACCTTCCTTTGATAGTTCAGGTTTGCAACACCCTTGTAGTAGAATCTGCAAGTGTATATTTTGACCACTTTGTAGCCTTCGTTTGAAACGTCTATATCTTCACCTCAAACCTAGACAGAAGCATTCTCAGAAAGTTTTCTGCGATGACTGCATTCAACTCACAGAGTTGAACAATCCTTTTGATGGAGCAGTTTTGAAACCCTCTTTCTTTGGAATCTGCAAGGGGATATGTGGACCTCTTTGAAGATTTCACTGGAAACGGGATCATCTTCACATAAGAACTAAACAGAAGCATTCTCGGAAACTACTTTGTGATGTTTGTATTCAACTCCCAGAGTTGAACTTTCCTTTTGAAAGAGCAGCTATGAAACACTCTTTTTCGAGAATCTGCAAGTGGACGTTTGGAGGGCTTTGAGGCCTGTGGTGGAAAAGGAAATATCTTCACATAAAAACTAGATAGAAGCATTCTCAGAAACGACTTTGTGAGGATGGCATTCAACTCATGGAGTTGAACAATCCTATTGATAGAGCAGATTGGAATCACTCTTTTTGTAGAATCTGCAAATGGAGATTTGGACTGCTTTGAGGCCTACGGTCGTATAGGAAGGAACTTCAGATAAAAGGCAAACGGAAGCATTCTCAGAATATTCTTTGTGATGATGGAGTTTCACTCACAGAGCTGAACATGCCTTTTGATGGAGCAGTTTCCAAATACACTTTTGGTAGAATCTGCAGGTGGATATTTGGAGCTCTCTGAGGATTTCTTTGGAAACGGGAATAATTTCCCATAACTAAACACAAACACTCTGAGAAAGTTCTTCATGATGAATGCATTTAACTCGCAGAGATGAACCTGCCTTTGAGAGTTCGGGTTCGAAACACTCTTTCTGTAGAATCTGCAAGTGGATATTTGGACCACTGGGTGGCCTTCGTTCGAAACGGGTATATGTTCACGTAAAAACTAAAGAGAAGCATTCTCAGAAACTTCTGAGTGATGATTGCATTCAAGTCACACAGTTGAACCCTCCTTTTGATGGAGCAGTTTTGAAACTGTCTTTTTGTAGAATCTGTAAGTGGATACGTGGACCTCTTTGAAGATTTCTTTGGAAACGGGAATATTTCCACAGAAAAACTAAACTGAAGCATTCTCAGAAACTGCTTTGTGATGTTTGTGTTCGAGCCACAGAGTTTAACATTGCTTTTCATAGAGCAGTTTTGAAATATTCTTTTCGCAGAATCTGCAAGTGGACATTTGGAGCGCTTTCAGGCCTGTGGTGGAAAAGGCCTGAAAGCCTTTTCCTTTATCTTCACAGAAAGACGAGAGAGAAGCATTGTCAGAAACTTCTTTGTGATGATTGCATTCAACTCACAGAGTTGAAGATTCCTTTTGAAACAGCAGTTTCGAAACACTCTTTCTGTGGGATCCGCAAGGGGATATTTGGACCTCTTTGAAGGTTTCGTTGGAAACGGGATAATCTTCACCTAAAAGCTAAACGGAAGCATTCTCAGAAACTTCTTTGGGATGTTTGCATTCACCTCACAGAGTTGAACTTTCCCTTTGATAGCGCAGCTTTGACACACTTTTTCTACAATGTGCAAGTGGCTATTTAGCGGGCTTGGAGGACAGTGTTGGAAAAGGAAATATCTTCTCCTAAAAACGACATAGAAGCATTCTCAGAAACTGCTCTGTGATGATTGCATTCAACTCCCAGAGTTGAACATTCCTTTTGATAGAGCAGTTTGCAAACACTCTTTTTGTAGAATCTGCAAGTGGAGATTTGGACCGCTTTGAGGCCTGTGGTAGTGAAGGAAAGAACTTCATATAAAAACCAGACGGTAGCACTCTCAGAAAATTCTTTGTGACGATGGAGTTTAACTCAGGGAGCTGAACATTCGTTATGATGGAGCAGTTTCCAAACACACGTTTTGTAGAATCTGCAAGGGGATATTTGGACCTCTCTGAGGATTTCGTTGGAAACGGGATCAACTTCCCATAACTGAACGGAAGCAAACTCAGAACATTCTTTGTGATGTTTGTATTCAACTCACAGAGTTGAACCTTCCTTTGATAGTTCAGGTTTGCAACACCCTTGTAGTAGAATCTGCAAGTGTATATTTTGACCACTTTGTAGCCTTCGTTTGAAACGTCTATATCTTCACATCAAACCTAGACAGAAGCATTCTCAGAAAGTTTTCTGCGATGACTGCATTCAACTCACAGAGTTGAACAATCCTTTTGATGGAGCAGTTTTGAAACCCTCTTTCTTTGGAATCTGCAAGGGGATATGTGGACCTCTTTGAAGATTTCACTGGAAACGGGATCATCTTCACATAAAAACTAAACAGAAGCATTCTCGGAAACTACTTTGTGATGTTTGTATTCAACTGCCAGAGTTGAACTTTCCTTTTGAAAGAGCAGCTATGAAACACTCTTTTTCGAGAATCTGCAAGTGGACGTTTGGAGGGCTTTGAGGCCTGTGGTGGAAAAGGAAATATCTTCACATAAAAACTAGATAGAAGCATTCTCAGAAACGACTTTGTGAGGATGGCATTCAACTCATGGAGTTGAACAATCCTATTGATAGAGCAGATTGGAATCACTCTTTTTGTAGAATCTGCAAATGGAGATTTGGACTGCTTTGAGGCCTACGGTCGTATAGGAAGGAACTTCAGATAAAAGGCAAACGGAAGCATTCTCAGAATATTCTTTGTGATGATGGAGTTTCACTCACAGAGCTGAACATGCCTTTTGATGGAGCAGTTTCCAAATACACTTTTGGTAGAATCTGCAGGTGGATATTTGGAGCTCTCTGAGGATTTCGTTGGAAACGGGAATAATTTCCCATAACTAAACACAAACACTCTGAGAAAGTTCTTCATGATGAATGCATTTAACTCGCAGAGATGAACCTGCCTTTGAGAGTTCAGGTTCGAAACACTCTTTCTGTATAATCTGCAAGTGGATATTTGGACCACTGGGTGGCCTTCGTTCGAAACGGGTATATGTTCACGTAAAAACTAAAGAGAAGCATTCTCAGAAACTTCTGAGTGATGATTGCATTCAAGTCACACAGTTGAACCCTCCTTTTGATGGAGCAGTTTTGAAACTGTCTTTTTGTAGAATCTGTAAGTGGATACGTGGACCTCTTTGAAGATTTCTTTGGAAACGGGAATATTTCCACAGAAAAACTAAACTGAAACATTCTCAGAAACCGCTTTGTGATGTTTGTGTTCCAGCCACAGAGTTTAACATTGCTTTTCATAGAGCAGTTTTGAAATATTCTTTTGGCAGAATCTGCAAGTGGACATTTGGAGCGCTTTCAGGCCTGTGGTGGAAAAGGCCTGAAAGCCTTTTCCTTTATCTTCACAGAAAGACGAGAGAGAAGCATTGTCAGAAACTTCTTTGTGATGATTGCATTCAACTCACAGAGTTGAAGATTCCTTTTGAAACAGCAGTTTCGAAACACTCTTTCTGTGGGATCCGCAAGGGGATATTTGGACCTCTTTGAAGGTTTCGTTGGAAACGGGATAATCTTCACCTAAAAGCTAAACGGAAGCATTCTCAGAAACTTCTTTGGGATGTTTGCATTCACCTCACAGAGTTGAACTTTCCCTTTGATAGCGCAGCTTTGACACACTTTTTCTACAATGTGCAAGTGGCTATTTAGCGGGCTTGGAGGATTGTGTTGGAAAAGGAAATATCTTCTCCTAAAAACGACATAGAAGCATTCTCAGAAACTGCTCTGTGATGATTGCATTCAACTCCCAGAGTTGAACATTCCTTTTGATAGAGCAGTTTGCAAACACTCTTTTTGTAGAATCTGCAAGTGGAGATTTGGACCGCTTTGAGGCCTGTGGTAGTGAAGGAAAGAACTTCATATAAAAACCAGACGGTAGCACTCTCAGAAAATTCTTTGTGACGATGGAGTTTAACTCAGGGAGCTGAACATTCGTTATGATGGAGCAGTTTCCAAACACACTTTTTGTAGAATCTGCAAGGGGATATTTGGACCTCTCTGAGGATTTCGTTGGAAACGGGATCAACTTCCCATAACTGAACGGAAGCAAACTCAGAACATTCTTTGTGATGTTTGTATTCAACTCACAGAGTTGAACCTTCCTTTGATAGTTCAGGTTTGCAACACCCTTGTAGTAGAATCTGCAAGTGTATATTTTGACCACTTTGTAGCCTTCGTTTGAAACGTCTATATCTTCACATCAAACCTAGACAGAAGCATTCTCAGAAAGTTTTCTGCGATGACTGCATTCAACTCACAGAGTTGAACAATCCTTCTGATGGAGCAGTTTTGAAACCCTCTTTCTTTGGAATCTGCAAGGGGATATGTGGACCTCTTTGAAGATTTCACTGGAAACGGGATCATCTTCACATAAAAACTAAACAGAAGCATTCTCGGAAACTACTTTGTGATGTTTGTATTCAACTCCCAGAGTTGAACTTTCCTTTTGAAAGAGCAGCTATGAAACACTCTTTTTCGAGAATCTGCAAGTGGACGTTTGGAGGGCTTTGAGGCCTGTGGTGGAAAAGGAAATATCTTCACATAAAAACTAGATAGAAGCATTCTCAGAAACTACTTTGTGAGGATGGCATTCAACTCATGGAGTTGAACAATCCTATTGATAGAGCAGATTGGAATCACTCTTTTTGTAGAATCTGCAAATGGAGATTTGGACTGCTTTGAGGCCTACGGTCGTATAGGAAGGAACTTCATATAAAAGGCAAACGGAAGCATTCTCAGAATATTCTTTGTGATGATGGAGTTTCACTCACAGAGCTGAACATGCCTTTTGATGGAGCAGTTTCCAAATACACTTTTGGTAGAATCTGCAGGTGGATATTTGGACCTCTCTGAGGATTTCGTTGGAAACGGCAATAATTTCCCATACCTAAACACAAACACTCTGAGAAAGTTCTTCATGATGAATGCATTGAACTCGCAGAGATGAACCTGCCTTTGAGAGTTCAGGTTCGAAACACTCTTTCTGTAGAATCTGCAAGTGGATATTTGGACCACTGGGTGGCCTTCGTTCAAAACGGGTATATGTTCACGTAAAAACTAAAGAGAAGCATTCTCAGAAACTTCTGCGTGATGATTGCATTCAAGTCATACGGTTGAACCCTCCTTTTGATTGAGCAGTTTTGAAACTGTCTTTTTGTAGAATCTGTAAGTGGATACGTGGACCTCTTTGAAGATTTCTTTGGAAACGGGAATATTTCCACAGAAAAACTAAACTGAAGCATTCTCAGAAACTGCTTTGTGATGTTTGTGTTCGAGCCGCAGAGTTTAACATTGCTTTTCATAGAGCAGTTTTGAAATATTCTTTTGGCAGAATCTGCAAGTGGACATTTGGAGCGCTTTCAGGCCTGTGGTGGAAAAGGCCTGAAAGCCTTTTCCTTTATCTTCACAGAAAGACGAGAGAGAAGCATTGTCAGAAACTTCTTTGTGATGATTGCATTCAACTCACAGAGTTGAAGATTCCTTTTGAAACAGCAGTTTCGAAACACTCTTTCTGTGGGATCCGCAAGGGGATATTTGGACCTCTTTGAAGGTTTCGTTGGAAACGGGATAATCTTCACCTAAAAGCTAAACGGAAGCATTCTCAGAAACTTCTTTGGGATGTTTGCATTCACCTCACAGAGTTGAACTTTCCCTTTGATAGCGCAGCTTTGACACACTTTTTCTACAATGTGCAAGTGGCTATTTAGCGGGCTTGGAGGACTGTGTTGGAAAAGGAAATATCTTCTCCTAAAAACGACATAGAAGCATTCTCAGAAACTGCTCTGTGATGATTGCATTCAACTCCCAGAGTTGAACATTCCTTTTGATAGAGCAGTTTGCAAACACTCTTTTTGTAGAATCTGGAAGTGGAGATTTGGACCGCTTTGAGGCCTGTGGTAGTGAAGGAAAGAACTTCATATAAAAACCAGACGGTAGCACTCTCAGAAAATTCTTTGTGACGATGGAGTTTAACTCAGGGAGCTGAACATTCGTTATGATGGAGCAGTTTCCAAACACACGTTTTGTAGAATCTGCAAGGGGATATTTGGACCTCTCTGAGGATTTCGTTGGAAACGGGATCAACTTCCCATAACTGAACGGAAGCAAACTCAGAACATTCTTTGTGATGTTTGTATTCAACTCACAGAGTTGAACCTTCCTTTGATAGTTCAGGTTTGCAACACCCTTGTAGTAGAATCTGCAAGTGTATATTTTGACCACTTTGTAGCCTTCATTTGAAACGTCTATATCTTCACATCAAACCTAGACAGAAGCATTCTCAGAAAGTTTTCTGCGATGACTGCATTCAACTCACAGAGTTGAACAATCCTTCTGATGGAGCAGTTTTTAAACACTCTTTCTTTGGAATCTGCAAGGGGATATGTGGACCTCTTTGAAGATTTCACTGGAAACGGGATCATCTTCACATAAAAACTAAACAGAAGCATTCTCGGAAACTATTTTGTGATGTTTGTATTCAACTCCCAGAGTTGAACTTTCCTTTTGAAAGAGCAGCTATGAAACACTCTTTTTCGAGAATCAGCAAGTGGACGTTTGGAGGGCTTTGAGGCCTGTGGTGGAAAAGGAAATATCTTCACACAAAAACCAGATAGAAGCATTCTCAGAAACGACTTTGTGAGGATGGCATTCAACTCATGGAGTTGAACAATCCTATTGATAGAGCAGATTGGAATCACTCTTTTTGTAGAATCTGCAAATGGAGATTTGGACTGCTTTGAGGCCTACGGTCGTATGGGAAGGAACTTCATATAAAAGGCAAACGGAAGCATTCTCAGAATATTCTTTGTGATGATGGAGTTTCACTCACAGAGCTGAACATGCCTGTTGTTGGAGCAGTTTCCAAATACACTTTTGGTAGAATCTGCAGGTGGACATTTGGACCTCTCTGAGGATTTCGTTGGGAAAAGGAGTAATTTCCCATAACTAAACACAAACACGCTGAGAAAGTTCTTCATGACGAATGCATTTAACTCGCAGAGATGAACCTGCCTTTGAGAGTTCAGGTTCGAAACACTCTTTCTGTAGAATCTGCAGGTGGATATTTGGACCACTGGGTGGCCTTCGTTCGAAACGGGTATATGTTCACGTAAAAACTAAAGAGAAGCATTCTCAGAGAGTTCTGAGTGATGATTGCTTTCAAGTCGCACAGTTGAACCCTCCTTTTGATTGAGCAGTTTTGAAACTGTCTTTTTGTAGGATCTGTAAGTGGATACGTGGACCTCTTTGAAGATTTCTTTGGAAACGGGAATATTTCCACAGAAAAACTAAACTGAAGCATTCTCAGAAACCGCTTTGTGATGTTTGTGTTCGAGCCACAGTAGTTTAACATTGCTTTTCATAGCAGCAGTTTTGAAATATTCTTTTCGCAGAATCTGCAAGTGGACATTTGGAGCGCTTTCAGGCCTGTGGTGGCAAAGGCCTGAAAGCCTTTTCCTTTATCTTCACAGAAAGACGAGAGAGAAGCATTGTCAGAAACTTCTTTGTGATGATTGCATTCAACTCACAGAGTTGAAGATTCCTTTTGAAACAGCAGTTTCGAAACACTCTTTCTGTGGGATCCGCAAGGGGATATTTGGACTTCTTTGAAGGTTTCGTTGGAAACGGGATAATCTTCACCTAAAAGCTAAACGGAAGCACTCTCAGAAACTTCTTTGGGATGTTTGCATTCACCTCTCAGAGTTGAACTTTCCCTTTGATAGCGCAGCTTTGACACACTTTTTCTACAATGTGCAAGTGGCTATTTAGCGGGCTTGGAGGACTGTGTTGGAAAAGGAAATATCTTCTCCTAAAAACGACATAGAAGCATTCTCAGAAACTGCTCTGTGATGATTGCATTCAACTCCCAGAGTTGAACATTCCTTTTGATAGAGCAGTTTGCAAACACTCTTTTTGTAGAATCTGCAAGTGGAGATTTGGACCGCTTTGAGGCCAGTGGTAGTGAAGGAAAGAACTTCATATAAAAACCAGACGGTAGCACTCTCAGAAAATTCTTTGTGACGATGGAGTTTAACTCAGGGAGCTGAACATTCGTTATGATGGAGCAGTTTCCAAACACACGTTTTGTAGAATCTGCAAGGGGATATTTGGACCTCTCTGAGGATTTCGTTGGAAACGGGATCAGCTTCCCATAACTGAACGGAAGCAAACTCAGAACATTCTTTGTGATGTTTGTATTCAACTCACAGAGTTGAACCTTCCTTTGATAGTTCAGGTTTGCAACACCCTTGTAGTAGAATCTGCAAGTGTATATTTTGACCACTTTGTAGCCTTCGTTTGAAACGTCTATATCTTCACATCAAACCTAGACAGAAGCATTCTCAGAAAGTTTTCTGCGATGACTGCATTCAACTCACAGAGTTGAACAATCCTTCTGATGGAGCAGTTTTGAAACCCTCTTTCTTTGGAATCTGCAAGGGGATATGTGGACCTCTTTGAAGATTTCACTGGAAACGGGATCATCTTCACATAAAAACTAAACAGAAGCATTCTCGGAAACTACTTTGTGATGTTTGTATTCAACTCCCAGAGTTGAACTTTCCTTTTGAAAGAGCAGCTATGAAACACTCTTTTTCGAGAATCTGCAAGTGGACGTTTGGAGGGCTTTGAGGCCTGTGGTGGAAAAGGAAATATCTTCACACAAAAACCAGATAGAAGCATTCTCAGAAACTACTTTGTGAGGATGGCATTCAACTCATGGAGTTGAACAATCCTATTGATAGAGCAGATTGGAATCACTCTTTTTATAGAATCTGCAAATGGAGATTTGGACTGCTTTGAGGCCTACGGTAGTACAGGAAGGAACTTCATATAAAAGGCAAACGGAAGCATTCTCAGAATATTCTTTGTGATGATGGAGTTTCACTCACAGAGCTGAACATGCCTTTTGATGGAGCAGTTTCCAAATACACTTTTGGTAGAATCTGCAGGTGGATATTTGGAGCTCTCTGAGGATTTCGTTGGAAACGGGAATAATTTCCCATAACTAAACACAAACACTCTGAGAAAGTTCTTCATGATGAATGCTTTTAACTCGCAGAGATGAACCTGCCTTTGAGAGTTCAGGTTCGAAACACTCTTTCTGTAGAATCTGCAAGTGGATATTTGGACCACTGGGTGGCCTTCGTTCGAAACGGGTATATGTTCACGTAAAAACTAAAGAGAAGCATTCTCAGAAACTTCTGAGTGATGATTGCATTCAAGTCACACAGTTGAACCCTCCTTTTGATGGAGCAGTTTTGAAACTGTCTTTTTGTAGAATCTGTAAGTGGATACGTGGACCTCTTTGAAGATTTCTTTGGAAACGGGAATATTTCCACAGAAAAACTAAACTGAAACATTCTCAAAAACCGCTTTGTGATGTTTGTGTTCGAGCCACAGAGTTTAACATTGCTTTTCATAGAGCAGTTTTGAAATATTCTTTTGGCAGAATCTGCAAGTGGACATTTGGAGCGCTTTCAGGCCTGTGGTGGCAAAGGCCTGAAAGCCTTTTCCTTTATCTTCACAGAAAGACGAGAGAGAAGCATTGTCAGAAACTTCTTTGTGATGATTGCATTCAACTCACAGAGTTGAAGATTCCTTTTGAAACAGCAGTTTCGAAACACTCTTTCTGTGGGATCCGCAAGGGGATATTTGGACCTCTTTGAAGGTTTCGTTGGAAACGGGATAATCTTCACCTAAAAGCTAAACGGAAGCATTCTCAGAAACTTCTTTGGGATGTTTGCATTCACCTCACAGAGTTGAACTTTCCCTTTGATAGCGCAGCTTTGACACACTTTTTCTACAATGTGCAAGTGGCTATTTAGCGGGCTTGGAGGACTGTGTTGGAAAAGGAAATATCTTCTCCTAAAAACGACATAGAAGCATTCTCAGAAACTGCTCTGTGATGATTGCATTCAACTCCCAGAGTTGAACATTCCTTTTGATAGAGCAGTTTGCAAACACTCTTTTTGTAGAATCTGCAAGTGGAGATTTGGACCGCTTTGAGGCCTGTGGTAGGGAAGGAAAGAACTTCATATAAAAACCAGACGGTAGCACTCTCAGAAAATTCTTTGTGACGATGGAGTTTAACTCAGGGAGCTGAACATTCCTTATGATGGAGCAGTTTCCAAACACACGTTTTGTAGAATCTGCGAGGGGATATTTGGACCTCTCTGAGGATTTCGTTGGAAACGGGATCAACTTCCCATAACTGAACGGAAGCAAACTCAGAACATTCTTTGTGATGTTTGTATTCAACTCACAGAGTTGAACCTTCCTTTGATAGTTCAGGTTTGCAACACCCTTGTAGTAGAATCTGCAAGTGTATATTTTGACCACTTTGTAGCCTTCGTTTGAAACGTCTATATCTTCACATCAAACCTAGAAAGAAGCATTCTCAGAAAGTTTTCTGCGATGACTGCATTCAACTCACAGAGTTGAACAATCCTTTTGATGGAGCAGTTTTGAAACCCTCTTTCTTTGGAATCTGCAAGGGGATATGTGGACCTCTTTGAAGATTTCACTGGAAACGGGATCATCTTCACATAAAAACTAAACAGAAGCATTCTCGGAAACTACTTTGTGATGTTTGTATTCAACTCCCAGAGTTGAACTTTCCTTTTGAAAGAGCAGCTATGAAACACTCTTTTTCGAGAATCTGCAAGTGGACGTTTGGAGGGCTTTGAGGCCTGTGGTGGAAAAGGAAATATCTTCACATAAAAACTAGATAGAAGCATTCTCAGAAACGACTTGGTGAGGATGGCATTCAACTCATGGAGTTGAACAATCCTATTGATAGAGCAGATTGGAATCACTCTTTTTGTAGAATCTGCAAATGGAGATTTGGACTGCTTTGAGGCCTACGGTCGTATAGGAAGGAACTTCATATAAAAGGCAAACGGAAGCATTCTCAGAATATTCTTTGTGATGATGGAGTTTCACTCACAGAGCGGAACATGCCTTTTGATGGAGCAGTTTCCAAATACACTTTTGGTAGAATCTGCAGGTGGATATTTGGAGCTCTCTGAGGATTTCGTTGGAAACGGGAATAATTTCCCATAACTAAACACAAACACTCTGAGAAAGTTCTTCATGATGAATGAATTTAACTCGCAGAGATGAACCTGCCTTTGAGAGTTCATGTTCGAAACACTCTTTCTGTAGAATCTGCAAGTGGATATTTGGACCACTGGGTGGCCTTCGTTCGAAACGGGTATATGTTCACGTAAAAACTAAAGAGAAGCATTCTCAGAAACTTCTGAGTGATGATTGCATTCAAGTCACACAGTTGAACCCTCCTTTTGATGGAGCAGTTTTGAAACTGTCTTTTTGTAGAATCTGTAAGTGGATACGTGGACCTCTTTGAAGATTTCTTTGGAAACGGGAATATTTCCACAGAAAAACTAAACTGAAGCATTCTCAGAAACTGCTTTGTGATGTTGGTGTTCGAGCCGCAGAGTTTAACATTGCTTTTCATAGAGCAGTTTTGAAATATTCTTTTGGCAGAATCTGCAAGTGGACATTTGGAGCGCTTTCAGGCCTGTGGTGGAAAAGGCCTGAAAGCCTTTTCCTTTATCTTCACAGAAAGACGAGAGAGAAGCATTGTCAGAAACTTCTTTGTGATGATTGCATTCAACTCACAGAGTTGAAGATTCCTTTTGAAACAGCAGTTTCGAAACACTCTTTCTGTGGGATCCGCAAGGGGATATTTGGACCTCTTTGAAGGTTTCGTTGGAAACGGGATAATCTTCACCTAAAAGCTAAACGGAAGCATTCTCAGAAACTTCTTTGGGATGTTTGCATTCACCTCACAGAGTTGAACTTTCCCTTTGATAGCGCAGCTTTGACACACTTTTTCTACAATGTGCAAGTGGCTATTTAGCGGGCTTGGAGGATTGTGTTGGAAAAGGAAATATCTTCTCCTAAAAACGACATAGAAGCATTCTCAGAAACTGCTCTGTGATGATTGCATTCAACTCCCAGAGTTGAACATTCCTTTTGATAGAGCAGTTTGCAAACACTCTTTTTGTAGAATCTGCAAGTGGAGATTTGGACCGCTTTGAGGCCTGTGGTAGTGAAGGAAAGAACTTCATATAAAAAACAGACGGTAGCACTCTCAGAAAATTCTTTGTGACGATGGAGTTTAACTCAGGGAGCTGAACATTCGTTATGATGGAGCAGTTTCCAAACACACGTTTTGTAGAATCTGCAAGGGGATATTTGGACCTCTCTGAGGATTTCGTTGGAAACGGGATCAACTTCCCATAACTGAACGGAAGCAAACTCAGAACATTCTTTGTGATGTTTGTATTCAATTCACAGAGTTGAACCTTCCTTTGATAGTTCAGGTTTGCAACACCCTTGTAGTAGAATCTGCAAGTGTATATTTTGACCACTTTGTAGCCTTCGTTTGAAACGTCTATATCTTCACATCAAACCTAGACAGAAGCATTCTCAGAAAGTTTTCTGCGATGACTGCATTCAACTCACAGAGTTGAACAATCCTTCTGATGGAGCAGTTTTGAAACCCTCTTTCTTTGGAATCTGCAAGGGGATATGTGGACCTCTTTGAAGATTTCACTGGAAACGGGATCATCTTCACATAAAAACTAAACAGAAGCATTCTCGGAAACTACTTTGTGATGTTTGTATTCAACTCCCAGAGTTGAACTTTCCTTTTGAAAGAGCAGCTATGAAACACTCTTTTTCGAGAATCTGCAAGTGGACGTTTGGAGGGCTTTGAGGCCTGTGGTGGAAAAGGAAATATCTTCACATAAAAACTAGATAGAAGCATTCTCAGAAACGACTTTGTGAGGATGGCATTCAACTCATGGAGTTGAACAATCCTATTGATAGAGCAGATTGGAATCACTCTTTTTGTAGAATCTGCAAATGGAGATTTGGACTGCTTTGAGGCCTACGGTCGTATAGGAAGGAACTTCATATAAAAGGCAAACGGAAGCATTCTCAGAATATTCTTTGTGATGATGGAGTTTCACTCACAGAGCGGAACATGCCTTTTGATGGAGCAGTTTCCAAATACACTTTTGGTAGAATCTGCAGGTGGATATTTGGAGCTCTCTGAGGATTTCGTTGGAAACGGGAATAATTTCCCATAACTAAACACAAACACTCTGAGAAAGTTCTTCATGATGAATGCATTTAACTCGCAGAGATGAACCTGCCTTTGAGAGTTCAGGTTCGAAACACTCTTTCTGTAGAATCTGCAAGTGGATATTTGGACCACTGGGTGGCCTTCGTTCGAAACGGGTATATGTTCACGTAAAAACTAAAGAGAAGCACTCTCAGAAACTTCTGAGTGATGATTGCATTCAAGTCACACAGTTGAACCCTCCTTTTGATGGAGCAGTTTTGAAACTGTCTTTTTGTAGAATCTGTAAGTGGATACGTGGACCTCTTTGAAGATTTCTTTGGAAACGGGAATATTTCCACAGAAAAACTAAACTGAAGCATTCTCAGAAACTGCTTTGTGATGTTTGTGTTCGAGCCACAGAGTTTAACATTGCTTTTCATAGAGCAGTTTTGAAATATTCTTTTCGCAGAATCTGCAAGTGGACATTTGGAGCGCTTTCAGGCCTGTGGTGGAAAAGGCCTGAAAGCCTTTTCCTTTATCTTCACAGAAAGACGAGAGAGAAGCATTGTCAGAAACTTCTTTGTGATGATTGCATTCAACTCACAGAGTTGAAGATTCCTTTTGAAACAGCAGTTTCGAAACACTCTTTCTGTGGGATCCGCAAGGGGATATTTGGACCTCTTTGAAGGTTTCGTTGGAAACGGGATAATCTTCACCTAAAAGCTAAACGGAAGCATTCTCAGAAACTTCTTTGGGATGTTTGCATTCACCTCACAGAGTTGAACTTTCCCTTTGATAGCGCAGCTTCGACACACTTTTTCTACAATGTGCAAGTGGATATTTAGCGGGCTTGGAGGACTGTGTTGGAAAAGGAAATATCTTCTCCTAAAAACGACATAGAAGCCTTCTCAGAAACTGCTCTGTGATGATTGCATTCAACTCCCAGAGTTGAACATTCCTTTTGATAGAGCAGTTTGCAGACACTCTTTTTGTAGAATCTGCAAGTGGAGATTTGGACCGCTTTGAGGCCTGTGGTAGTAAAGGAAAGAACTTCATATAAAAACTAGACGGTAGCACTCTCAGAAAATTCTTTGTGACGATGGAGTTTAACTCAGAGAGCTGAACATTCGTTATGATGGAGCAGTTTCCAAACACACGTTTTGTAGAATCTGCAAGGGGATATTTGGACCTCTCTGAGGATTTCGTTGGGAAGGGGATCAACTTCCCATAACTGAACGGAAGCAAACTCAGAACATTCTTTGTGATGTTTGTATTCAACTCACAGAGTTGAACCTTCCTTTGATAGTTCAGGTTTGCAACACCCTTGTAGTAGAATCTGCAAGTGTATATTTTGACCACTTTGTAGCCTTCGTTTGAAACGTCTATATCTTCACATCAAACCTAGACAGAAGCATTCTCAGAAAGTTTTCTGCGATGACTGCATTCAACTCACAGAGTTGAACAATCCTTTTGATGGAGCAGTTTTGAAACCCTCTTTCTTTGGAATCTGCAAGGGGATATGTGGACCTCTTTGAAGATTTCACTGGAAACGGGATCATCTTCACATAAGAACTAAACAGAAGCATTCTCGGAAACTACTTTGTGATGTTTGTATTCAACTCCCAGAGTTGAACTTTCCTTTTGAAAGAGCAGCTATGAAACACTCTTTTTCGAGAATCTGCAAGTGGACGTTTGGAGGGCTTTGAGGCCTGTGGTGGAAAAGGAAATATCTTCACATAAAAACTAGATAGAAGCATTCTCAGAAACGACTTTGTGAGGATGGCATTCAACTCATGGAGTTGAACAATCCTATTGATAGAGCAGATTGGAATCACTCTTTTTGTAGAATCTGCAAATGGAGATTTGGACTGCTTTGAGGCCTACGGTCATATAGGAAGGAACTTCAGATAAAAGGCAAACGGAAGCATTCTCAGAATATTCTTTGTGATGATGGAGTTTCACTCACAGAGCTGAACATGCCTTTTGATGGAGCAGTTTCCAAATACACTTTTGGTAGAATCTGCAGGTGGATATTTGGAGCTCTCTGAGGATTTCGTTGGAAACGGGAATAATTTCCCATAACTAAACACAAACACTCTGAGAAAGTTCTTCATGACGAATGCATTTAACTCGCAGAGATGAACCTGCCTTTGAGAGTTCAGGTTCGAAACACTCTTTCTGTAGAATCTGCAAGTGGATATTTGGACCACTGGGTGGCCTTCGTTCGAAACGGGTATATGTTCACGTAAAAACTAAAGAGAAGCATTCTCAGAAACTTCTGAGTGATGATTGCATTCAAGTCACACAGTTGAACCCTCCTTTTGATGGAGCAGTTTTGAAACTGTCTTTTTGTAGAATCTGTAAGTGGATACGTGGACCTCTTTGAAGATTTCTTTGGAAACGGGAATATTTCCACAGAAAAACTAAACTGAAACATTCTCAAAAACCGCTTTGTGATGTTTGTGTTCGAGCCACAGAGTTTAACATTGCTTTTCATAGAGCAGTTTTGAAATATTCTTTTCGCAGAATCTGCAAGTGGACATTTGGAGTGCTTTCAGGCCTGTGGTGGCAAAGGCCTGAAAGCCTTTTCCTTTATCTTCACAGAAAGACGAGAGAGAAGCATTGTCAGAAACTTCTTTGTGATGATTGCATTCAACTCACAGAGTTGAAGATTCCTTTTGAAACAGCAATTTCGAAACACTCTTTCTGTGGGATCCGCAAGGGGATATTTGGACCTCTTTGAAGGTTTCGTTGGAAACGGGATAATCTTCTCCTAAAAGCTAAACGGAAGCATTCTCAGAAACTTCTTTGGGATGTTTGCATTGACCTCACAGAGTTGAACTTTCCCTTTGATAGCGCAGCTTTGACACACTTTTTCTACAATGTGCAAGTGGCTATTTAGCGGGCTTGGAGGACTGTGTTGGAAAAGGAAATATCTTCTCCTAAAAACGACATAGAAGCATTCTCAGAAACTGCTCTGTAATGATTGCATTCAACTCCCAGAGTTGAACATTCCTTTTGATAGAGCAGTTTGCAAACACTCTTTTTGTAGAATCTGCAAGTGGAGATTTGGACCGCTTTGAGGCCTGTGGTAGTGAAGGAAAGAACTTCATATAAAAACCAGACGATAGCACTCTCACAAAATTCTTTGTGACGATGGAGTTTAACTCAGGGAGCTGAACATTCGTTATGATGGAGCAGTTTCCAAACACACGTTTTGTAGAATCTGCGAGGGGATATTTGGACCTCTCTGAGGATTTCGTTGGAAACGGGATCAACTTCCCATAACTGAACGGAAGCAAACTCAGAACATTCTTTGTGATGTTTGTATTCAACTCACAGAGTTGAACCTTCCTTTGATAGTTCAGGTTTGCAACACCCTTGTAGTAGAATCTGCAAGTGTATATTTTGACCACTTTGTAGCCTTCGTTTGAAACGTCTATATCTTCACATCAAACCTAGACAGAAGCATTCTCAGAAAGTTTTCTGCGATGACTGCATTCAACTCACAGAGTTGAACAATCCTCTGATGGAGCAGTTTTGAAACCCTCTTTCTTTGGAATCTGCAAGGGGATATGTGGACCTCTTTGAAGATTTCACTGGAAACGGGATCATCTTCACATAAAAACTAAACAGAAGCATTCTCGGAAACTATTTTGTGATGTTTGTATTCAACTCCCAGAGTTGAACTTTCCTTTTGAAAGAGCAGCTATGAAACACTCTTTTTCGAGAATCTGCAAGTGGACGTTTGGAGGGCTTTGAGGCCTGTGGTGGAAAAGGAAATATCTTCACACAAAAACCAGATAGAAGCATTCTCAGAAACTACTTTGTGAGGATGGCATTCAACTCATGGAGTTGAACAATCCTATTGATAGAGCAGATTGGAATCACTCTTTTTATAGAATCTGCAAATGGAGATTTGGACTGCTTTGAGGCCTACGGTAGTACAGGAAGGAACTTCATATAAAAGGCAAACGGAAGCATTCTCAGAATATTCTTTGTGATGATGGAGTTTCACTGACAGAGCTGAACATGCCTTTTGATGGAGCAGTTTCCAAATACACTTTTGGTAGAATCTGCAGGTGGATATTTGGAGCTCTCTGAGGATTTCGTTGGAAACGGGAATAATTTCCCATAACTAAACACAAACACTCTGAGAAAGTTCTTCATGATGAATGCATTTAACTCGCAGAGATGAACCTGCCTTTGAGAGTTCAGGTTCGAAACACTCTTTCTGTATAATCTGCAAGTGGATATTTGGACCACTGGGTGGCCTTCGTTCGAAACGGGTATATGTTCACGTAAAAACTAAAGAGAAGCATTCTCAGAAACTTCTGAGTGATGAATGCATTCAAGTCACACAGTTGAACCCTCCTTTTGATTGAGCAGTTTTGAAACTGTCTTTTTGTAGAATCTGTAAGTGGATGCGTGGACCTCTTTGAAGATTTCTTTGGAAACGGGAATATTTCCACAGAAAAACTAAACTGAAGCATTCTCAGAAACTGCTTTGTGATGTTTGTGTTCGAGCCACAGAGTTTAACACTGCTTTTCATAGAGCAGTTTTGAAATATTCTTTTGGCAGAATCTGCAAGTGGACATTTGGAGCGCTTTCAGGCCTGTGGTGGAAAAGGCCTGAAAGCCTTTTCCTTTATCTTCACAGAAAGACGAGAGAGAAGCATTCTCAGAAACTGCGCTGTGATGATTGCATTCAACTCCCAGAGTTGAACATTCCTTTTGATAGAGCAGTTTGCAAACACTCTTTTTGTAGAATCTGCAAGTGGAGATTTGGACCGCTTTGAGGCCTGCGGTAGTAAAGGAAAGAACTTCATATAAAAACCAGACGGTAGCACTCTCAGAAAATTCTTTGTGACGATGGAGTTTAACTCAGAGAGCTGAACATTCGTTATGATGGAGCAGTTTCCAAACACACGTTTTGTAGAATCTGCAAGGGGATATTTGGACCTCTCTGAGGATTTCGTTGGAAACGGTATCAATTTCCCATAACTAAACGGAAGCAAACTCAGAACATTTTTTGTGATGGTTGCATTCATCTCACAGAGTTGAACCTTCCTTTGATAGTTGAGGTTTGCATCACCCTTGTAGTAGAATCTGCAAGTGTATATTTTGACCACTTTGTAGCCTTCGTTTGAAACGTCTATATCTTCACATCAAACCTAGACAGAAGCATTCTCAGAAAGTTTTCTGCGATGACTGCATTCAACTCACAGAGTTGAACAATCCTTTTGATGGAGCAGTTTTGAAACCCTCTTTCTTTGGAATCTGCAAGGGGATATGTGGGACCTCTTTGAAGATTTCACTGGAAACGGGATCATCTTCACATAAAAACTAAACAGAAGCATTCTCGGAAACTACTTTGTGATGTTTGTATTCAACTCCCAGAGTTGAACTTTCCTTTTGAAAGAGCAGCTATGAAACACTCTTTTTCGAGAATCTGCAAGTGGACGTTTGGAGGGCTTTGAGGCCTGTGGTGGAAAAGGAAATATCTTCACATAAAAACTAGATAGAAGCATTCTCAGAAACTACTTTGTGAGGATGGCATTCAACTCATGGAGTTGAACAATCCTATTGATAGAGCAGATTGGAATCACTCTTTTTGTAGAATCTGCAAATGGAGATTTGGACTGCTTTGAGGCCTACGGTCGTATAGGAAGGAACTTCATATAAAAGGCAAACGGAAGCATTCTCAGAATATTCTTTGTGATGATGGAGTTTCACTCACAGAGCTGAACATGCCTTTTGATGGAGCAGTTTCCAAATACACTTTTGGTAGAATCTGCAGGTGGATATTTGGAGCTCTCTGAGGATTTCGTTGGAAACGGGAATAATTTCCCATAACTAAACACAAACACTCTGAGAAAGTTCTTCATGATGAATGCATTTAACTCGCAGAGATGAACCTGCCTTTGAGAGTTCAGGTTCGAAACACTCTTTCTGTAGAATCTGCAAGTGGATATTTGGACCACTGGGTGGCCTTCGTTCGAAACGGGTATATGTTCACGTAAAAACTAAAGAGAAGCATTCTCAGAAACTTCTGAGTGATGATTGCATTCAAGTCACACAGTTGAACCCTCCTTTTGATGGAGCAGTTTTGAAACTGTCTTTTTGTAGAATCTGTAAGTGGATACGTGGACCTCTTTGAAGATTTCTTTGGAAACGGGAATATTTCCACAGAAAAACTAAACTGAAGCATTCTCAGAAACTGCTTTGTGATGTTTGTGTTCGAGCCACAGAGTTTAACATTGCTTTTCATAGAGCAGTTTTGAAATATTCTTTTCGCAGAATCTACAAGTGGACATTTGGAGCGCTTTCAGGCCTGTGGTGGAAAAGGCCTGAAAGCCTTTTCCTTTATCTTCACAGAAAGACGAGAGAGAAGCATTGTCAGAAACTTCTTTGTGATGATTGCATTCAACTCACAGAGTTGAAGATTCCTTTTGAAACAGCAGTTTCGAAACACTCTTTCTGTGGGATCCGCAAGGGGATATTTGGACCTCTTTGAAGGTTTCGTTGGAAACGGGATAATCTTCACCTAAAAGCTAAACGGAAGCATTCTCAGAAACTTCTTTGGGATGTTTGCATTCACCTCACAGAGTTGAACTTTCCCTTTGATAGCGCAGCTTCGACACCCTTTTTCTACAATGTGCAAGTGGATATTTAGCGGGCTTGGAGGACTGTGTTGGAAAAGGAAATATCTTCTCCTAAAAACGACATAGAAGCATTCTCAGAAACTGCTCTGTGATGATTGCATTCAACTCCCAGAGTTGAACATTCCTTTTGATAGAGCAGTTTGCAAACACTCTTTTTGTAGAATCTGCAAGTGGAGATTTGGACCGCTTTGAGGCCTGTGGTAGTGAAGGAAAGAACTTCATATAAAAACCAGACGGTAGCACTCTCAGAAAATTCTTTGTGACGATGGAGTTTAACTCAGAGAGCTGAACATTCGTTATGATGGAGCAGTTTCCAAACACACGTTTTGTAGAATCTGCAAGGGGATATTTGGACCTCTCTGAGGATTTCGTTGGAAATGGGATCAACTTCCCATAACTGAACGGAAGCAAACTCAGAACATTCTTTGTGATGTTTGTATTCAATTCACAGAGTTGAACCTTCCTTTGATAGTTCAGGTTTGCAACACCCTTGTAGTAGAATCTGCAAGTGTATATTTTGACCACTTTGTAGCCTTCGTTTGAAACGTCTATATCTTCACATCAAACCTAGACAGAAGCATTCTCAGAAAGTTTTCTGCGATGACTGCATTCAACTCACAGAGTTGAACAATCCTTTTGATGGAGCAGTTTTGAAACCCTCTTTCTTTGGAATCTGCAAGGGGATATGTGGACCTCTTTGAAGATTTCACTGGAAACGGGATCATCTTCACATAAGAACTAAACAGAAGCATTCTCGGAAACTACTTTGTGATGTTTGTATTCAACTCCCAGAGTTGAACTTTCCTTTTGAAAGAGCAGCTATGAAACACTCTTTTTCGGGAATCTGCAAGTGGACGTTTGGAGGGCTTTGAGGCCTGTGGTGGAAAAGGAAATATCTTCACTTAAAAACTACATAGAAGCATTCTCAGAAACTACTTTGTGAGGATGGCATTCAACTCATGGAGTTGAACAATCCTATTGATAGAGCAGATTGGAATCACTCTTTTTGTAGAATCTGCAAATGGAGATTTGGACTGCTTTGAGGCCTACGGTAGTATAGGAAGGAACTTCATATAAAAGGCAAACGGAAGCATTCTCAGAATATTCTTTGTGATGATGGAGTTTCACTCACAGAGCTGAACATGCCTTTTGATGGAGCAGTTTCCAAATACACTTTTGGTAGAATCTGCAGGTGGATATTTGGAGCTCTCTGAGGATTTCGTTGGAAACGGGGAATAATTTCCCATAACTAAACACAAACACTCTGAGAAAGTTCTTCATGATGAATGCATTTAACTCGCAGAGATGAACCTGCCTTTGAGAGTTCAGGTTCGAAACACTCTTTCTGTAGAATCTGCAAGTGGATATTTGGACCACTGGCTGGCCTTCGTTCGAAACGGGTATATGTTCACGTAAAAACTAAAGAGAAGCATTCTCAGAAACTTCTGAGTGATGATTGCATTCAAGTCACATAGTTGAACCCTCCTTTTGATGGAGTAGTTCTGAAACTGTCTTTTTGTAGAATCTGTAAGTGGATACGTGGACCTCTTTGAAGATTTCTTTGGAAACGGGAATATTTCCACAGAAAAACTAAACTGAAGCATTCTCAGAAACTGCTTTGTGATGTTTGTGTTCGAGCCACAGAGTTTAACATTGCTTTTCATAGAGCAGTTTTGAAATATTCTTTTCGCAGAATCTGCAAGTGGACATTTGGAGCGCTTTCAGGCCTGTGGTGGAAAAGGCCTGAAAGCCTTTTCCTTTATCTTCACAGAAAGACGAGAGAGAAGCATTGTCAGAAACTTCTTTGTGATGATTGCATTCAACTCACAGAGTTGAAGATTCCTTTTGAAACAGCAGTTTCGAAACACTCTTTCTGTGGGATCCGCAAGGGGATATTTGGACCTCTTTGAAGGTTTCGTTGGAAACGGGATAATCTTCACCTAAAAGCTAAACGGAAGCATTCTCAGAAACTTCTTTGGGATGTTTGCATTCACCTCACAGAGTTGAACTTTCCCTTTGATAGCGCAGCTTTGACACACTTTTTCTACAATGTGCAAGTGGCTATTTAGCGGGCTTGGAGGACTGTGTTGGAAAAGGAAATATCTTCTCCTAAAAACGACATAGAAGCATTCTCAGAAACTGCTCTGTGATGATTGCATTCAACTCCCAGAGTTGAACATTCCTTTTGATAGAGCAGTTTGCAAACACTCTTTTTGTAGAATCTGCAAGTGGAGATTTGGACCGCTTTGAGGCCTGTGGTAGTGAAAGAAAGAACTTCATATAAAAACCAGACGGTAGCACTCTCAGAAAATTCTTTGTGACGATGGAGTTTAACTCAGGGAGCTGAACATTCGTTATGATGGAGCAGTTTCCAAACACACGTTTTGTAGAATCTGCAAGGGGATATTTAGACCTCTCTGAGGATTTCGTTGGAAACGGGATCAACTTCCCATAACTGAACGGAAGCAAACTCAGAACATTCTTTGTGATGTTTGTATTCAACTCACAGAGTTGAACCTTCCTTTGATAGTTCAGGTTTGCAACACCCTTGTAGTAGAATCTGCAAGTGTATATTTTGACCACTTTGTAGCCTTCGTTTGAAACGTCTATATCTTCACATCAAACCTAGACAGAAGCATTCTCAGAAAGTTTTCTGCGATGACTGCATTCAACTCACAGAGTTGAACAATCCTTCTGATGGAGCAGTTTTGAAACCCTCTTTCTTTGGAATCTGCAAGGGGATATGTGGACCTCTTTGAAGATTTCACTGGAAACGGGATCATCTTCACATAAAAACTAAACAGAAGCATTCTCGGAAACTACTTTGTGATGTTTGTATTCAACTCCCAGAGTTGAACTTTCCTTTTGAAAGAGCAGCTATGAAACACTCTTTTTCGAGAATCTGCAAGTGGACGTTTGGAGGGCTTTGAGGCCTGTGGTGGAAAAGGAAATATCTTCACATAAAAACTAGATAGAAGCATTCTCAGAAACGACTTGGTGAGGATGGCATTCAACTCATGGAGTTGAACAATCCTATTGATAGAGCAGATTGGAATCACTCTTTTTGTAGAATCTGCAAATGGAGATTTGGACTGCTTTGAGGCCTACGGTCGTATAGGAAGGAACTTCATATAAAAGGCAAACGGAAGCATTCTCAGAATATTCTTTGTGATGATGGAGTTTCACTCACAGAGCTGAACATGCCTTTTGATGGAGCAGTTTCCAAATACACTTTTGGTAGAATCTGCAGGTGGATATTTGGACCTCTCTGAGGATTTCGTTGGAAACGGGAATAATTTCCCATAACTAAACACAAACACTCTGAGAAAGTTCTTCATGATGAATGCATTTAACTCGCAGAGATGAACCTGCCTTTGAGAGTTCAGGTTCGAAACACTCTTTCTGTAGAATCTGCAAGTGGATATTTGGACCACTGGCTGGCCTTCGTTCGAAACGGGTATATGTTCACGTAAAAACTAAAGAGAAGCATTCTCAGAAACTTCTGAGTGATGATTGCATTCAAGTCACACAGTTGAACCTTCCTTTTGATGGAGCAGTTTTGAAACTGTCTTTTTGTAGAATCTGTAAGTGGATAAGTGGACCTCTTTGAAGATTTCTTTGGAAACGGGAATATTTCCACAGAAAAACTAAACTGAAGCATTCTCAGAAACCGCTTTGTGATGTTTGTGTTCGAGCCACAGAGTTTAACATTGCTTTTCATAGAGCAGTTTTGAAATATTCTTTTGGCAGAATCTGCAAGTGGACATTTGGAGCGCTTTCAGGCCTGTGGTGGAAAAGGCCTGAAAGCCTTTTCCTTTATCTTCACAGAAAGACGAGAGAGAAGCATTGTCAGAAACTTCTTTGTGATGATTGCATTCAACTCACAGAGTTGAAGATTCCTTTTGAAACAGCAGTTTCGAAACACTCTTTCTGTGGGATCCACAAAGGGATATTTGGACCTCTTTGAAGGTTTCGTTGGAAACGGGATAATCTTCACCTAAAAGCTAAACGGAAGCATTCTCAGAAACTTCTTTGGGATGTTTGCATTCACCTCACAGAGTTGAACTTTCCCTTTGATAGCGCAGCTTTGACACACTTTTTCTACAATGTGCAAGTAGCTATTTAGCGGGCTTGGAGGACTGTGTTGGAAAAGGAATTATCTTCTCCTAAAAACGACATAGAAGCATTCTCAGAAACTGCTCTGTGATGATTGCATTCAACTCCCAGAGTTGAACATTCCTTTTGATAGAGCAGTTTGCAAACACTCTTTTTGTAGAATCTGCAAGTGGAGATTTGGACCGCTTTGAGGCCTGTGGTAGTGAAGGAAAGAACTTCATATAAAAACCAGACGGAAGCACTCTCAGAAAATTCTTTGTGACGATGGAGTTTAACTCAGGGAGCTGAACATTCGTTATGATGGAGCAGTTTCCAAACACACGTTTTGTAGAATCTGCAAGGGGATATTTGGACCTCTCTGAGGATTTCGTTGGAAACGGGATCAACTTCCCATAACTGAACGGAAGCAAACTCAGAACATTCTTTGTGATGTTTGTATTCAACTCACAGAGTTGAACCTTCCTTTGATAGTTCAGGTTTGCAACACCCTTGTAGTAGAATCTGCAAGTGTATATTTTGACCACTTTGTAGCCTTCGTTTGAAACGTCTATATCTTCACATCAAACCTAGACAGAAGCATTCTCAGAAAGTTTTCTGCGATGACTGCATTCAACTCACAGAGTTGAACAATCCTTCTGATGGAGCAGTTTTGAAACCCTCTTTCTTTGGAATCTGCAAGGGGATATGTGGACCTCTTTGAAGATTTCACTGGAAACCGGATCATCTTCACATAAAAACTAAACAGAAGCATTCTCGGAAACTACTTTGTGATGTTTGTATTCAACTGCCAGAGGTGAACTTTCCTTTTGAAAGAGCAGCTATGAAACACTCTTTTTCGAGAATCTGCAAGTGGACGTTTGGAGGGCTTTGAGGCCTGTGGTGGAAAAGGAAATATCTTCACATAAAAACTAGATAGAAGCATTCTCAGAAACTACTTTGTGAGGATGGCATTCAACTCATGGAGTTGAACAATCCTATTGATAGAGCAGATTGGAATCACTCTTTTTGTAGAATCTGCAAATGGAGATTTGGACTGCTTTGAGGCCTACGGTCGTATAGGAAGGAACTTCATATAAAAGGCAAACGGAAGCATTCTCAGAATATTCTTTGTGATGATGGAGTTTCACTCACAGTGCTGAACATGCCTTTTGATGGAGCAGTTTCCAAATACACTTTTGGTAGAATCTGCAGGTGGATATTTGGAGCTCTCTGAGGATTTCGTTGGAAACGGGAATAATTTCCCATAACTAAACACAAACACTCTGAGAAAGTTCTTCATGATGAATGCATTTAACTCGCAGAGATGAACCTGCCTTTGAGAGTTCAGGTTCGAAACACTCTTTCTGTAGAATCTGCAAGTGGATATTTGGACCACTGGCTGGCCTTCGTTCGAAACGGGTATATGTTCACGTAAAAACTAAAGAGAAGCATTCTCAGAAACTTGTGAGTGATGATTGCATTCAAGTCACACAGTTGAACCCTCCTTTTGATGGAGCAGTTTTGAAACTGTCTTTTTGTAGAATCTGTAAGTGGATACGTGGACCTCTTTGAAGATTTCTTTGGAAACGGGAATATTTCCACAGAAAAACTAAACTGAAGCATTCTCAGAAACCGCTTTGTGATGTTTGTGTTCGAGCCACAGAGTTTAACATTGCTTTTCATAGAGCAGTTTTGAAATATTCTTTTGGCAGAATCTGCAAGTGGACATTTGGAGCGCTTTCAGGCCTGTGGTGGAAAAGGCCTGAAAGCCTTTTCCTTTATCTTCACAGAAAGACGAGAGAGAAGAAGCATTGTCAGAAACTTCTTTGGGATGATTGCATTCAACTCACAGAGTTGAAGATTCCTTTTGAAACAGCAGTTTCGAAACACTCTTTCTGTGGGATCCGCAAGGGGATATTTGGACCTCTTTGAAGGTTTCGTTGGAAACGGGATAATCTTCACCTAAAAGCTAAACGGAAGCATTCTCAGAAACTTCTTTGGGATGTTTGCATTCACCTCACAGAGTTGAACTTTCCCTTTGATAGCGCAGCTTCGACACACTTTTTCTACAATGTGCAAGTGGCTATTTAGCGGGCTTGGAGGACTGTGTTGGAAAAGGAAATATCTTCTCCTAAAAACGACATAGAAGCATTCTCAGAAACTGCTCTGTGATGATTGCATTAAACTCCCAGAGTTGAACATTCCTTTTGATAGAGCAGTTTGCAAACACTCTTTTTGTAGAATCTGCCAGTGGAGATTTGGACCGCTTTGAGGCCTGTGGTAGTAAAGGAAAGAACTTCATATAAAAACCAGACGGTAGCACTCTCAGAAAATTCTTTGTGACGATGGAGTTTAACTCAGAGAGCTGAACATTCGTTATGATGGAGCAGTTTCCAAACACACGTTTTGTAGAATCTGCAAGGGGATATTTGGACCTCTCTGAGGATTTCGTTGGAAACGGGATCAACTTCCCATAACTGAACGGAAGCAAACTCAGAGCATTCTTTGCGATGTTTGTATTCAACTCACAGAGTTGAACCTTCCTTTGATAGTTCAGGTTTGCAACACCCTTGTAGTAGAATCTGCAAGTGTATATTTTGACCACTTTGTAGCCTTCGTTTGAAACGTCTATATCTTCACATCAAACCTAGACAGAAGCATTCTCAGAAAGTTTTCTGCGATGACTGCATTCAACTCACAGAGTTGAACAATCCTTCTGATGGAGCAGTTTTGAAACCCTCTTTCTTTGGAATCTGCAAGGGGATATGTGGACCTCTTTGAAGATTTCACTGGAAACGGGATCATCTTCACATAAAAACTAAACAGAAGCATTCTCGGAAACTACTTTGTGATGTTTGTATTCAACTCCCAGAGTTGAACTTTCCTTTTGAAAGAGCAGCTATGAAACACTCTTTTTCGAGAATCTGCAAGTGGACGTTTGGAGGGCTTTGAGGCCTGTGGTGGAAAAGGAAATATCTTCACATAAAGACTAGATAGAAGCATTCTCAGAAACGACTTTGTGAGGATGGCATTCAACTCATGGAGTTGAACAATCCTATTGATAGAGCAGATTGGAATCACTCTTTTTGTAGAATCTGCAAATGGAGATTTGGACTGCTTTGAGGCCTACGGTCGTATAGGAAGGAACTTCATATAAAAGGCAAACGGAAGCATTCTCAGAATATTCTTTGTGATGATGGAGTTTCACTCACAGAGCTGAACATGCCTTTTGATGGAGCAGTTTCCAAATACACTTTTGGTAGAATCTGCAGGTGGATATTTGGAGCTCTCTGAGGATTTCGTTGGAAACGGGAATAATTTCCCATAACTAAACACAAACACGCTGAGAAAGTTCTTCATGATGAATGCATTTAACTCGCAGAGATGAACCTGCCTTTGAGAGTTCAGGTTCGAAACACTCTTTCTGTAGAATCTGCAAGTGGATATTTGGACCACTGGCTGGCCTTCGTTCGAAACGGGTATATGTTCACGTAAAAACTAAAGAGAAGCGTTCTCAGAAACTTCTGAGTGATGATTGCATTCAAGTCACACAGTTGAACCCTCCTTTTGATTGAGCAGTTTTGAAACTGTCTTTTTGTAGAATCTGTAAGTGGATGCGTGGACCTCTTTGAAGATTTCTTTGGAAACGGGAATATTTCCACAGAAAAACTAAACTGAAGCATTCTCAGAAACTGCTTTGGATGTTTGTGTTCGAGCCACCGAGTTTAACATTGCTTTTCATAGAGCAGTTTTGAAATATTCTTTTGGCAGAATCTGCAAGTGGACATTTGGAGCGCTTTCAGGCCTGTGGTGGAAAAGGCCTGAAAGCCTTTTCCTTTATCTTCACAGAAAGACGAGAGAGAAGCATTGTCAGAAACTTCTTTGTGATGATTGCATTCAACTCACAGAGTTGAAGATTCCTTTTGAAACAGCAGTTTCGAAACACTCTTTCTGTGGGATCCGCAAGGGGATATTTGGACCTCTTTGAAGGTTTCGTTGGAAACGGGATAATCTTCACCTAAAAGCTAAACGGAAGCATTCTCAGAAACTTCTTTGGGATGTTTGCATTCACCTCACAGAGTTGAACTTTCCCTTTGATAGCGCAGCTTTGACACACTTTTTCTACAATGTGCAAGTGGCTATTTAGCGGGCTTGGAGGACTGTGTTGGAAAACGAAATATCTTCTCCTAAAAACGACATAGAAGCATTCTCAGAAACTGCTCTGTGATGATTGCATTCAACTCCCAGAGTTGAACATTCCTTTTGATAGAGCAGTTTGCAAACACTCTTTTTGTAGAATCTGCAAGTGGAGATTTGGACCGCTTTGAGGCCTGTGGTAGGGAAGGAAAGAACTTCATATAAAAACCAGACGGTAGCACTCTCAGAAAATTCTTTGTGACGATGGAGTTTAACTCAGGGAGCTGAACATTCCTTATGATGGAGCAGTTTCCAAACACACGTTTTGTAGAATCTGCGAGGGGATATTTGGACCTCTCTGAGGATTTCGTTGGAAACGGGATCAACTTCCCATAACTGAACGGAAGCAAACTCAGAACATTCTTTGTGATGTTTGTATTCAACTCACAGAGTTGAACCTTCCTTTGATAGTTCAGGTTTGCAACACCCTTGTAGTAGAATCTGCAAGTGTATATTTTGACCACTTTGTAGCCTTCGTTTGAAACGTCTATATCTTCACATCAAACCTAGAAAGAAGCATTCTCAGAAAGTTTTCTGCGATGACTGCATTCAACTCACAGAGTTGAACAATCCTTTTGATGGAGCAGTTTTGAAACCCTCTTTCTTTGGAATCTGCAAGGGGATATGTGGACCTCTTTGAAGATTTCACTGGAAACGGGATCATCTTCACATAAAAACTAAACAGAAGCATTCTCGGAAACTACTTTGTGATGTTTGTATTCAACTCCCAGAGTTGAACTTTCCTTTTGAAAGAGCAGCTATGAAACACTCTTTTTCGAGAATCTGCAAGTGGACGTTTGGAGGGCTTTGAGGCCTGTGGTGGAAAAGGAAATATCTTCACATAAAAACTAGATAGAAGCATTCTCAGAAACGACTTTGTGAGGATGGCATTCAACTCATGGAGTTGAACAATCCTATTGATAGAGCAGATTGGAATCACTCTTTTTGTAGAATCTGCAAATGGAGATTTGGACTGCTTTGAGGCCTACGGTAGTATAGGAAGGAAGTTCATATAAAAGGCAAACGGAAGCATTCTCAGAATATTCTTTGTGATGATGGAGTTTCACTCACAGAGCTGAACATGCCTTTTGATGGAGCAGTTTCCAAATACACTTTTGGTAGAATCTGCAGGTGGATATTTGGAGCTCTCTGAGGATTTCGTTGGAAACGGGAATAATTTCCCATAACTAAACACAAACACTCTGAGAAAGTTCTTCATGATGAATGCATTTAACTCGCAGAGATGAACCTGCCTTTGAGAGTTCAGGTTCGAAACACTCTTTCTGTAGAATCTGCAAGTGGATATTTGGACCACTGGCTGGCCTTCGTTCGAAACGGGTATATGTTCACGTAAAAACTAAAGAGAAGCATTCTCAGAAACTTCTGAGTGATGATTGCATTCAAGTCACACAGTTGAACCCTCCTTTTGATGGAGCAGTTTTGAAACTGTCTTTTTGTAGAATCTGTAAGTGGATACGTGGACCTCTTTGAAGATTTCTTTGGAAACGGGAATATTTCCACAGAAAAACTAAACTGAAGCATTCTCAGAAACCGCTTTGTGATGTTTGTGTTCGAGCCACAGAGTTTAACATTGCTTTTCATAGAGCAGTTTTGAAATATTCTTTTGGCAGAATCTGCAAGTGGACATTTGGAGCGCTTTCAGGCCTGTGGTGGAAAAGGCCTGAAAGCCTTTTCCTTTATCTTCACAGAAAGACGAGAGAGAAGCATTGTCAGAAACTTCTTTGGGATGATTGCATTCAACTCACAGAGTTGAAGATTCCTTTTGAAACAGCAGTTTCGAAACACTCTTTCTGTGGGATCCGCAAGGGGATATTTGGACCTCTTTGAAGGTTTCGTTGGAAACGGGATAATCTTCACCTAAAAGCTAAACGGAAGCATTCTCAGAAACTTCTTTGGGATGTTTGCATTCACCTCACAGAGTTGAACTTTCCCTTTGATAGCGCAGCTTTGACACACTTTTTCTACAATGTGCAAGTGGCTATTTAGCGGGCTTGGAGGACTGTGTTGGAAAAGGAAATATCTTCTCCTAAAAACGACATAGAAGCATTCTCAGAAACTGCTCTGTGATGATTGCATTCAACTCCCAGAGTTGAACATTCCTTTTGATAGAGCAGTTTGCAAACACTCTTTTTGTAGAATCTGCAAGTGGAGATTTGGACCGCTTTGAGGCCTGTGGTAGTGAAGGAAAGAGCATCATATAAAAACCAGACGGTAGCACTCTCAGAAAATTCTTTGTGACGATGGAGTTTAACTCAGGGAGCTGAACATTCGTTATGATGGAGCAGTTTCCAAACACACGTTTTGTAGAATCTGCAAGGGGATATTTGGACCTCTCTGAGGATTTCGTTGGAAACGGGATCAACTTCCCATAACTGAACGGAAGCAAACTCAGAACATTCTTTGTGATGTTTGTATTCAACTCACAGAGTTGAACCTTCCTTTGATAGTTCAGGTTTGCAACACCCTTGTAGTAGAATCTGCAAGTGTATATTTTGACCACTTTGTAGCCTTCGTTTGAAACGTCTATATCTTCACATCAAACCTAGACAGAAGCATTCTCAGAAAGTTTTCTGCGATGACTGCATTCAACTCACAGAGTTGAACAATCCTTCTGATGGAGCAGTTTTGAAACCCTCTTTCTTTGGAATCTGCAAGGGGATATGTGGACCTCTTTGAAGATTTCACTGGAAACGGGATCATCTTCACATAAAAACTAAACAGAAGCATTCTCGGAAACTACTTTGTGATGTTTGTATTCAACTCCCAGAGTTGAACTTTCCTTTTGAAAGAGCAGCTATGAAACACTCTTTTTCGAGAATCTGCAAGTGGACGTTTGGAGGGCTTTGAGGCCTGTGGTGGAAAAGGAAATATCTTCACATAAAAACTAGATAGAAGCATTCTCAGAAACTACTTTGTGAGGATGGCATTCAACTCATGGAGTTGAACAATCCTATTGATAGAGCAGATTGGAATCACTCTTTTTGTAGAATCTGCAAATGGAGATTTGGACTGCTTTGAGGCCTACGGTCGTATAGGAAGGAACTTCATATAAAAGGCAAACGGAAGCATTCTCAGAATATTCTTTGTGATGATGGAGTTTCACTCACAGAGCTGAACATGCCTTTTGATGGAGCAGTTTCCAAATACACTTTTGGTAGAATCTGCAGGTGGATATTTGGAGCTCTCTGAGGATTTCGTTGGAAACGGGAATAATTTCCCATAACTAAACACAAACACTCTGAGAAAGTTCTTCATGATGAATGCATTTAACTCGCAGAGATGAACCTGCCTTTGAGAGTTAATGTTCGAAACTCTCTTTCTGTAGAATCTGCAAGTGGATATTTGGACCACTGGCTGGCCTTCGTTCGAAACGGGTATATGTTCACGTAAAAACTAAAGAGAAGCATTCTCAGAAACTTCTGAGTGATGATTGCATTCAAGTCACACAGTTGAACCCTCCTTTTGATGGAGCAGTTTTGAAACTGTCTTTTTGTAGAATCTGTAAGTGGATACGTGGACCTCTTTGAAGATTTCTTTGGAAACGGGAATATTTCCACAGAAAAACTAAACTGAAGCATTCTCAGAAACTGCTTTGTGATGTTTGTGTTCGAGCCACAGAGTTTAACATTGCTTTTCATAGAGCAGTTTTGAAATATTCTTTTGGCAGAATCTGCAAGTGGACATTTGGAGCGATTTCAGGCCTGTGGTGGAAAAGGCCTGAAAGCCTTTTCCTTTATCTTCACAGAAAGACGAGAGAGAAGCATTGTCAGAAACTTCTTTGTGATGATTGCATTCAACTCACAGAGTTGAAGATTCCTTTTGAAACAGCAGTTTCGAAACACTCTTTCTGTGGGATCCGCAAGGGGATATTTGGACCTCTTTGAAGGTTTCGTTGGAAACGGGATAATCTTCACCTAAAAGCTAAACGGAAGCATTCTCAGAAACTTCTTTGGGATGTTTGCATTCACCTCACAGAGTTGAACTTTCCCTTTGATAGCGCAGCTTCAACACACTTTTTCTACAATGTGCAAGTGGATATTTAGCGGGCTTGGAGGACTGTGTTGGAAAAGGAAATATCTTCTCCTAAAAACGACATAGAAGCATTCTCAGAAACTGCTCTGTGATGATTGCATTCAACTCCTAGAGTTGAACATTCCTTTTGATAGAGCAGTTTGCAAACACTCTTTTTGTAGAATCTGCAAGTGGAGATTTGGACCGCTTTGAGGCCTGTCGTAGTGAAGGAAAGAACTTCATATAAAAACCAGACGGTAGCACTCTCAGAAAATTCTTTGTGACGATGGAGTTTAACTCAGGGAGCTGAACATTCTTTATGATGGAGCAGTTTCCAAACACACGTTTTGTAGAATCTGCGAGGGGATATTTGGACCTCTCTGAGGATTTCGTTGGAAACGGGATCAACTTCCCATAACTGAACGGAAGCAAACTCAGAACATTCTTTGTGATGTTTGTATTCAACTCACAGAGTTGAACCTTCCTTTGATAGTTCAGGTTTGCAACACCCTTGTAGTAGAATCTGCAAGTGTATATTTTGACCACTTTGTAGCCTTCGTTTGAAACGTCTATATCTTCACATCAAACCTAGACAGAAGCATTCTCAGAAAGTTTTCTGCGATGACTGCATTCAACTCACAGAGTTGAACAATCCTTCTGATTGGAGCAGTTTTGAAACCCTCTTTCTTTGGAATCTGCAAGGGGATATGTGGACCTCTTTGAAGATTTCACTGGAAACGGGATCATCTTCACATAAAAACTAAACAGAAGCATTCTCGGAAACTACTTTGTGATGTTTGTATTCAACTCCCAGAGTTGAACTTTCCTTTTGAAAGAGCAGCTATAAAACACTCTTTTTCGAGAATCTGCAAGTGGACGTTTGGAGGGCTTTGAGGCCTGTGGTGGAAAAGGAAATATCTTCACATAAAAACTAGATAGAAGCATTCTCAGAAACGACTTTGTGAGGATGGCATTCAACTCATGGAGTTGAACAATCCTATTGATAGAGCAGATTGGAATCACTCTTTTTGTAGAATCTGCAAATGGAGATTTGGACTGCTTTGAGGCCTACGGTAGTACAGGAAGGAACTTCATATAAAAGGCAAACGGAAGCATTCTCAGAATATTCTTTGTGATGATGGAGTTTCACTCACAGAGCTGAACATGCCTTTTGATGGAGCAGTTTCCAAATACACTTTTGGTAGAATCTGCAGGTGGATATTTGGAGCTCTCTGAGGATTTCGTTGGAAACGGGAATAATTTCCCATAACTAAACACAAATACTCTGAGAAAGTTCTTCATGATGAATGCATTTAACTCGCAGAGATGAACCTGCCTTTGAGAGTTCAGGTTCGAAACACTCTTTCTGTAGAATCTGCAAGTGGATATTTGGACCACTGGGTGGCCTTCGTTCGAAACGGGTATATGTTCACGTAAAAACTAAAGAGAAGCATTCTCAGAAACTTCTGAGTGATGATTGCATTCAAGTCACACAGTTGAACCCTCCTTTTGATGGAGCAGTTTTGAAACTGTCTTTTTGTAGAATCTGTAAGTGGATACGTGGACCTCTTTGAAGATTTCTTTGGAAACGGGAATATTTCCACAGAAAAACTAAACTGAAGCATTCTCAGAAACTGCTTTGTGATGTTTGTGTTCGAGCCACAGAGTTTAACATTGCTTTTCATAGAGCAGTTTTGAAATATTCTTTTCGCAGAATCTGCAAGTGGACATTTGGAGCGCTTTCAGGCCTGTGGTGGAAAAGGCCTGAAAGCCTTTTCCTTTATCTTCACAGAAAGACGAGAGAGAAGCATTGTCAGAAACTTCTTTGTGATGATTGCATTCAACTCACAGAGTTGAAGATTCCTTTTGAAACAGCAGTTTCGAAACACTCTTTCTGTGGGATCCGCAAGGGGATATTTGGACCTCTTTGAAGCTTTCGTTGGAAACGGGATAATCTTCACCTAAAAGCTAAACGGAAGCATTCTCAGAAACTTCTTTGGGATGTTTGCATTCACCTGACAGAGTTGAACTTTCCCTTTGATAGCGCAGCTTTGACACACTTTTTCTACAATGTGCAAGTGGCTATTTAGCGGGCTTGGAGGACTGTGTTGGAAAAGGAAATATCTTCTCCTAAAAACGACATAGAAGCATTCTCAGAAACTGCTCTGTGATGATTGCATTCAACTCCCAGAGTTGAACATTCCTTTTGATAGAGCAGTTTGCAAACACTCTTTTTGTAGAATCTGCAAGTGGAGATTTGGACCGCTTTGAGGCCTGTGGTAGTGAAGGAAAGAACTTCATATAAAAACCAGACGGTAGCACTCTCAGAAAATTCTTTGTGACGATGGAGTTTAACTCAGGGAGCTGAACATTCGTTATGATGGAGCAGTTTCCAAACACACGTTTTGTAGAATCTGCAAGGGGATATTTGGACCTCTCTGAGGATTTCGTTGGAAACGGGATCAACTTCCCATAACTGAACGGAAGCAAACTCAGAACATTCTTTGTGATGTTTGTATTCAACTCACAGAGTTGAACCTTCCTTTGATAGTTCAGGTTTGCAACACCCTTGTAGTAGAATCTGCAAGTGTATATTTTGACCACTTTGTAGCCTTCGTTTGAAACGTCTATATCTTCACATCAAACCTAGACAGAAGCTTTCTCAGAAAGTTTTCTGCGATGACTGCATTCAACTCACAGAGTTGAACAATCCTTCTGATGGAGCAGTTTTGAAACCCTCTTTCTTTGGAATCTGCAAGGGGATATGTGGACCTCTTTGAAGATTTCACTGGAAACGGGATCATCTTCACATAAAAACTAAACAGAAGCATTCTCGGAAACTACTTTGTGATGTTTGTATTCAACTCCCAGGAGTTGAACTTTCCTTTTGAAAGAGCAGCTATGAAACACTCTTTTTCGAGAATCTACAAGTGGACGTTTGGAGGGCTTTGAGGCCTGTGGTGGAAAAGGAAATATCTTCACATAAAAACTAGATAGAAGCATTCTCAGAAGCGACTTTGTGAGGATGGCATTCAACTCATGGAGTTGAACAATCCTATTGATACAGCAGATTGGAATCACTCTTTTTGTAGAATGTGCAAATGGAGATTTGGACTGCTTTGAGGCCTACGGTAGTACAGGAAGGAACTTCATATAAAAGGCAAACGGAAGCATTCTCAGAATATTCTTTGTGATGATGGAGTTTCACTCACAGAGCTGAACATGCCTTTTGATGGAGCAGTTTCCAAATACACTTTTGGTAGAATCTGCAGGTGGATATTTGGAGCTCTCTGAGGATTTCGTTGGAAACGGGAATAATTTCCCATAACTAAACACAAACACTCTGAGAAAGTTCTTCATGATGAATGCATTTAACTCGCAGAGATGAACCTGCCTTTGAGAGTTCAGGTTCGAAACACTCTTTCTGTAGAATCTGCAAGTGGATATTTGGACCACTGGGTGGCCTTCGTTCGAAACGGGTATATGTTCACGTAAAAACTAAAGAGAAGCATTCTCAGAAACTTCTGAGTGATGATTGCATTCAAGTCACACGGTTGAACCCTCCTTTTGATTGAGCAGTTTTGAAACTGTCTTTTTGTAGAATCTGTAAGTGGATACGTGGACCTCTTTGAAGATTTCTTTCGAAACGGGAATATTTCCACAGAAAAACTAAACTGAAGCATTCTCAGAAACTGCTTTGTGATGTTTGTGTTCGAGCCGCAGAGTTTAACATTGCTTTTCATAAAGCAGTTTTGAAATATTCTTTTGGCAGAATCTGCAAGTGGACATTTGGAGCGCTTTCAGGCCTGTGGTGGAAAAGGCCTGAAAGCCTTTTCCTTTATCTTCACAGAAAGACGAGAGAGAAGCATTGTCAGAAACTTCTTTGTGATGATTGCATTCAACTCACAGAGTTGAAGATTCCTTTTGAAACAGCAGTTTCGAAACACTCTTTCTGTGGGATCCGCAAGGGGATATTTGGACCTCTTTGAAGATTTCGTTGGAAACGGGATAATCTTCACCTAAAAGCTAAACGGAAGCATTCTCAGAAACTTCTTTGGGATGTTTGCATTCACCTCACAGAGTTGAACTTTCCCTTTGATAGCGCAGCTTCGACACACTTTTTCTACAATGTGCAAGTGGATATTTAGCGGGCTTGGAGGACTGTGTTGGAAAAGGAAATATCTTCTCCTAAAAACGACATAGAAGCATTCTCAGAAACTCCTCTGTGATGATTGCTTTCAACTCCCAGAGTTGAACATTCCTTTTGATAGAGCAGTTTGCAAACACTCTTTTTGTAGAATCTGCAAGTGGAGATTTGGACCGCTTTGAGGCCTGTGGTAGTAAAGGAAAGAACTTCATATAAAAACTAGACGGTACACTCTCAGAAAATTCTTTGTGACGATGGAGTTTAACTCAGAGAGCTGAACATTCGTTATGATGGAGCAGTTTCCAAACACACGTTTTGTAGAATCTGCAAGGGGATATTTGGACCTCTCTGAGGATTTCGTTGGAAACGGTATCAACTTCCCATAACTGAACAGAAGCAAACTCAGAACATTCTTTGTGATGTTTGTATTCAACTCACAGAGTTGAACTTTCCTTTGATAGTTGAGGTTTGCATCACCCTTGTAGTAGAATCTGCAAGTGTATATTTTGAACACTTTGTAGCCTTCGTTTGAAACGTCTATATCTTCACATCAAACCTAGACAGAAGCATTCTCAGAAAGTTTTCTGCGATGACTGCATTCAACTCACAGAGTTGAACAATCCTTTTGATGGAGCAGTTTTGAAACCCTCTTTCTTTGGAATCTGCAAGGGGATATGTGGACCTCTTTGGAGATTTCACTGGAAACGGGATCATCTTCACATAAGAACTAAACAGAAGCATTCTCGGAAACTACTTTGTGATGTTTGTATTCAACTCCCACAGTTGAAATTTCCTTTTGAAAGAGCAGCTATGAAACACTCTTTTTCGAGAATCTGCAAGTGGACGTTTGGAGGGCTTTGAGGCCTGTGGTGGAAAAGGAAATATCTTCACATAAAAACTACATAGAAGCATTCTCAGAAACTACTTTGTGAGGATGGCATTCAACTCATGGAGTTGAACAATCATATTGATAGAGCAGATTGGAATCACTCTTTTTGTAGAATCTGCAAATGGAGATTTGGACTGCTTTGAGGCCTACGGTAGTATAGGAAGGAACTTCATATAAAAGGCAAACGGAAGCATTCTCAGAATATTCTTTGTGATGATGGAGTTTCACTCACAGAGCTGAACATGCCTTTTGAGATGGGAGCAGTTTCCAAATACACTTTTGGTAGAATCTGCAGGTGGATATTTGGAGCTCTCTGAGGATTTCGTTGGAAACGGGAATAATTTCCCATAACTAAACACAAACACGCTGAGAAAGTTCTTCATGATGAATGCATTTAACTCGCAGAGATGAACCTGCCTTTGAGAGTTCAGGTTCAAAACACTCTTTCTGTAGAATCTGCAAGTGGATATTTGGACCACTGGCTGGCCTTCATTCGAAACGGGTATATGTTCACGTAAAAACTAAAGAGAAGCGTTCTCAGAAACTTCTGAGTGATGAATGCATTCAAGTCACACAGTTGAACCCTCCTTTTGATTGAGCAGTTTTGAAACTGTCTTTTTGTAGAATCTGTAAGTGGATGCGTGGACCTCTTTGAAGATTTCTTTGGAAACGGGAATATTTCCACAGAAAAACTAAACTGAAGCATTCTCAGAAACTGCTTTGTGATGTTTGTGTTCGAGCCGCAGAGTTTAACATTGCTTTTCATAGAGCAGTTTTGAAATATTCTTTTGGCAGAATCTGCAAGTGGACATTTGGAGCGCTTTCAGGCCTGTGGTGGAAATGGCCTGAAAGCCTTTTCCTTTATCTTCACAGAAAGACGAGAGAGAAGCATTGTCAGAAACTTCTTTGTGATGATTGCATTCAACTCACAGAGTTGAAGATTCCTTTTGAAACAGCAGTTTCGAAACACTCTTTCTGTGGGATCCGCAAGGGGATATTTGGACCTCTTTGAAGATTTCGTTGGAAACGGGATAATCTTCACTTAAAGCTAAACGGAAGCATTCTCAGAAACTTCTTTGGGATGTTTGCATTCACCTCACAGAGTTGAACTTTCCCTTTGATAGCGCAGCTTCGACACACTTTTTCTACAATGTGCAAGTGGATATTTAGCGGGCTTGGAGGACTGTGTTGGAAAAGGAAATATCTTCTCCTAAAAACGACATAGAAGCATTCTCAGAAACTGCTCTGTGATGATTGCATTCAACTCCCATAGTTGAACATTCCTTTTGATAGAGCAGTTTGCAAACACTCTTTTTGTAGAATCTGCAAGTGGAGATTTGGACCGCTTTGAGGCCTGTGGTAGTAAAGGAAAGAACTTCATATAAAAACTAGACGGTAGCACTCTCAGAAAATTCTTTGTGACGATGGAGTTTAACTCAGGGAGCTGAACATTCGTTATGATGGAGCAGTTTCCAAACACACGTTTTGTAGAATCTGCAAGGGGATATTTGGACCTCTCTGAGGATTTCGTTGGAAACGGGATCAACTTCCCATAACTGAACGGAAGCAAACTCAGAACATTCTTTGTGATGTTTGTATTCAACTCACAGAGTTGAACCTTCCTTTGATAGTTCAGGTTTGCAACACCCTTGTAGTAGAATCTGCAAGTGTATATTTTGACCACTTTGTAGCCTTCGTTTGAAACGTCTATATCTTCACATCAAACCTAGACAGAAGCATTCTCAGAAAGTTTTCTGCGATGACTGCATTCAACTCACAGAGTTGAACAATCCTTCTGATGGAGCAGTTTTGAAACCCTCTTTCTTTGGAATCTGCAAGGGGATATGTGGACCTCTTTGAAGATTTCACTGGAAACGGGATCATCTTCACATAAAAACTAAACAGAAGCATTCTCGGAAACTACTTTGTGATGTTTGTATTCAACTCCCAGAGTTGAACTTTCCTTTTGAAAGAGCAGCTATGAAACACTCTTTTTCGAGAATCTGCAAGTGGACGTTTGGAGGGCTTTGAGGCCTGTGGTGGAAAAGGAAATATCTTCACATAAAAACTAGATAGAAGCATTCTCAGAAACGACTTTGTGAGGATGGCATTCAACTCATGGAGTTGAACAATCCTATTGATAGAGCAGATTGGAATCACTCTTTTTGTAGAATCTGCAAATGGAGATTTGGACTGCTTTGAGGCCTACGGTCGTATAGGAAGGAACTTCATATAAAAGGCAAACGGAAGCATTCTCAGAATATTCTTTGTGATGATGGAGTTTCACTCACAGAGCTGAACATGCCTTTTGATGGAGCAGTTTCCAAATACACTTTTGGTAGAATCAGCAGGTGGATATTTGGAGCTCTCTGAGGATTTCGTTGGAAACGGGAATAATTTCCCATAACTAAACACAAACACTCTGAGAAAGTTCTTCATGATGAATGCATTTAACTCGCAGAGATGAACCTGCCTTTGAGAGTTCAGGTTCGAAACACTCTTTCTGTAGAATCTGCAAGTGGATATTTGGACCACTGGGTGGCCTTCGTTCGAAACGGGTATATGTTCACGTAAAAACTAAAGAGAAGCATTCTCAGAAACTTCTGAGTGATGATTGCATTCAAGTCACACAGTTGAACCCTCCTTTTGATGGAGCAGTTTTGAAACTGTCTTTTTGTAGAATCTGTAAGTGGATACGTGGACCTCTTTGAAGATTTCTTTGGAAACGGGAATATTTCCACAGAAAAACTAAACTGAATCATTCTCAGAAACTGCTTTGTGATGTTTGTGTTCGAGCCACAGAGTTTAACATTGCTTTTCATAGAGCAGTTTTGAAATATTCTTTTCGCAGAATCTGCAAGTGGACATTTGGAGCGCTTTCAGGCCTGTGGTGGAAAAGGCCTGAAAGCCTTTTCCTTTATCTTCACAGAAAGACGAGAGAGAAGCATTGTCAGAAACTTCTTTTTGATGATTGCATTCAACTCACAGAGTTGAAGATTCCTTTTGAAACAGCAGTTTCGAAACACTCTTTCTGTGGGATCCGCAAGGGGATATTTGGACCTCTTTGAAGGTTTCGTTGGAAACGGGATAATCTTCACCTAAAAGCTAAACGGAAGCATTCTCAGAAACTTCTTTGGGATGTTTGCATTCACCTCACAGAGTTGAACTTTCCCTTTGATAGCGCAGCTTTGACACACTTTTTCTACAATGTGCAAGTGGATATTTAGCGGGCTTGGAGGACTGTGTTGGAAAAGGAAATATCTTCTAAAAACGACATAGAAGCATTCTCAGAAACTGCTCTGTGATGATTGCATTCAACTCCCAGAGTTGAACATTCCTTTTGATAGAGCAGTTTGCAAACACTCTTTTTGTAGAATCTGCAAGTGGAGATTTGGACCGCTTTGAGGCCTGTGGTAGTGAAGGAAAGAACTTCATATAAAAACCAGACGGTAGCACTCTCAGAAAATTCTTTGTGACGATGGAGTTTAACTCAGGGAGCTGAACATTCGTTATGATGGAGCAGTTTCCAAACACACGTTTTGTAGAATCTGCAAGGGGATATTTGGACCTCTCTGAGGATTTCGTTGGAAACGGGATCAACTTCCCATAACTGAACGGAAGCAAACTCAGAACATTCTTTGTGATGTTTGTATTCAACTCACAGAGTTGAACCTTCCTTTGATAGTTCAGGTTTGCAACACCCTTGTAGTAGAATCTGCAAGTATATATTTTGACCACTTTGTAGCCTTCGTTTGAAACTTCTATATCTTCACATCAAACCTAGACAGAAGCATTCTCAGAAAGTTTTCTGCGATGACTGCATTCAACTCACAGAGTTGAACAATCCTTCTGATGGAGCAGTTTTGAAACCCTCTTTCTTTGGAATCTGCAAGGGGATATGTGGACCTCTTTGAAGATTTCACTGGAAACGGGATCATCTTCACATAAAAACTAAACTGAAGCATTCTCGGAAACTATTTTGTGATGTTTGTATTCAACTCCCAGAGTTGAACTTTCCTTTTGAAAGAGCAGCTATGAAACACTCTTTTTCGAGAATCTGCAAGTGGACGTTTGGAGGGCTTTGAGGCCTGTGGTGGAAAAGGAAATATCTTCACACAAAAACCAGATAGAAGCATTCTCAGAAACTACTTTGTGAGGATGGCATTCAACTCATGGAGTTGAACAATCCTATTGATAGAGCAGATTGGAATCACTCTTTTTGTAGAATCTGCAAATGGAGATTTGGACTGCTTTGAGGCCTACGGTAGTACAGGAAGGAAGTTCATATAAAAGGCAAACGGAAGCATTCTCAGAATATTCTTTGTGATGATGGAGTTTCACTCACAGAGCTGAACATGCCTTTTGATGGAGCAGTTTCCAAATACACTTTTGGTAGAATCTGCAGGTGGATATTTGGAGCTCTCTGAGGATTTCGTTGGAAACGGGAATAATTTCCCATAACTAAACACAAACACGCTGAGAAAGTTCTTCATGATGAATGCATTTAACTCGCAGAGATGAACCTGCCTTTGAGAGTTCAGGTTCGAAACACTCTTTCTGTAGAATCTGCAAGTGGATATTTGGACCACTGGCTGGCCTTCGTTCGAAACGGGTATACGTTCACGTAAAAACTAAAGAGAAGCGTTCTCAGAAACTTCTGAGTGATGATTGCATTCAAGTCACACAGTTGAACCCTCCTTTTGATTGAGCAGTTTTGAAACTGTCTTTTTGTAGAATCTGTAAGTGGATGCATGGACCTCTTTGAAGATTTCTTTGGAAACGGGAATATTTCCACAGAAAAACTAAACTGAAGCATTCTCAGAAACCGCTTTGTGATGTTTGTGTTCGAGCCACAGAGTTTAACATTGCTTTTCATAGAGCAGTTTTGAAATATTCTTTTCGCAGAATCTGCAAGTGGACATTTGGAGCGCTTTCAGGCCTGTGGTGGAAAAGGCCTGAAAGCCTTTTCCTTTATCTTCACAGAAAGACGAGAGAGAAGCATTGTCAGAAACTTCTTTGTGATGATTGCATTCAACTCACAGAGTTGAAGATTCCTTTTGAAACAGCAGTTTCGAAACACTCTTTCTGTGGGATCCGCAAGGGGATATTTGGACCTCTTTGAAGGTTTCGTTGGAAACGGGATAATCCTCACCTAAAAGCTAAACGGGAAGCATTCTCAGAAACTTCTTTGGGATGTTTGCATTCACCTCACAGAGTTGAACTTTCCCTTTGATAGCGCAGCTTTGACACACTTTTTCTACAATGTGCAAGTGGCTATTTAGCGGGCTTGGAGGACTGTGTTGGAAAAGGAAATATCTTCTCCTAAAAACGACATAGAAGCATTCTCAGAAACTGCTCTGTGATGATTGCATTCAACTCCCAGAGTTGAACATTCCTTTTGATAGAGCAGTTTGCAAACACTCTTTTTGTAGAATCTGCAAGTGGAGATTTGGACCGCTTTGAGGCCTGTGGTAGTGAAGGAAAGAACTTCATATAAAAACCAGACGGTAGCACTCTCAGAAAATTCTTTGTGACGATGGAGTTTAACTCAGGGAGCTGAACATTCGTTATGATGGAGCAGTTTCCAAACACACGTTTTGTAGAATCTGCGAGGGGATATTTGGACCTCTCTGAGGATTTCTTTGGAAACGGGATCAACTTCCCATAACTGAACGGAAGCAAACTCAGAACATTCTTTGTGATGTTTGTATTCAACTCACAGAGTTGAACCTTCCTTTGATAGTTCAGGTTTGCAACACCCTTGTAGTAGAATCTGCAAGTGTATATTTTGACCACTTTGTAGCCTTCGTTTGAAACGTCTATATCTTCACATCAAACCTAGACAGAAGCATTCTCAGAAAGTTTTCTGCGATGACTGCATTCAACTCACAGAGTTGAACAATCCTTCTGATGGAGCAGTTTTGAAACCCTCTTTCTTTGGAATCTGCAAGGGGATATGTGGACCTCTTTGAAGATTTCACTGGAAACGGGATCATCTTCACATAAAAACTAAACAGAAGCATTCTCGGAAACTACTTTGTGATGTTTGTATTCAACTCCCAGAGTTGAACTTTCCTTTTGAAAGAGCAGCTATGAAACACTCCTTTTCGAGAATCTGCAAGTGGACGTTTGGAGGGCTTTGAGGCCTGTGGTGGAAAAGGAAATATCTTCACATAAAAACTAGATAGAAGCATTCTCAGAAACGACTTTGTGAGGATGGCATTCAACTCATGGAGTTGAACAATCCTATTGATAGAGCAGATTGGAATCACTCTTTTTGTAGAATCTGCAAATGGAGATTTGGACTGCTTTGAGGCCTACGGTCGTATAGGAAGGAACTTCATATAAAAGGCAAACGGAAGCATTCTCAGAATATTCTTTGTGATGATGGAGTTTCACTCACAGAGCTGAACATGCCTGTTGATGGAGCAGTTTCCAAATACACTTTTGGTAGAATCTGCAGGTGGATATTTGGAGCTCTCTGAGGATTTCGTTGGAAACGGGAATAATTTCCCATAACTAAACACAAACACTCTGAGAAAGTTCTTCATGATGAATGCATTTAACTCGCAGAGATGAACCTGCCTTTGAGAGATTCAGGTTCGAAACACTCTTTCTGTAGAATCTGCAAGTGGATATTTGGACCACTGGGTGGCCTTCGTTCGAAACGGGTATATGTTCACCTAAAAACTAAAGAGAAGCATTCTCAGAAACTTCTGAGTGATGATTGCATTCAAGTCACACAGTTGAACCCTCCTTTTGATGGAGCAGTTTTGAAACTGTCTTTTTGTAGAATCTGTAAGTGGATACGTGGACCTCTTTGAAGATTTCTTTGGAAACGGGAATATTTCCACAGAAAAACTAAACTGAAGCATTCTCAGAAACTGCTTTGTGATGTTTGTGTTCGAGCCACAGAGTTTAACATTGCTTTTCATAGAGCAGTTTTGCAATATTCTTTTCACAGAATCTGCAAGTGGACATTTGGAGCGCTTTCAGGCCTGTGGTGGGAAAAGGCCTGAAAGCCTTTTCCTTTATCTTCACAGAAAGACGAGAGAGAAGCATTGTCAGAAACTTCTTTGTGATGATTGCATTCAACTCACAGAGTTGAAGATTCCTTTTGAAACAGCAGTTTCGAAACACTCTTTCTGTGGGATCCGCAAGGGGATATTTGGACCTCTTTGAAGGTTTCGTTGGAAACGGGATAATCTTCACCTAAAAGCTAAACGGAAGCATTCTCAGAAACTTCTTTGGGATGTTTGCATTCACCTCACAGAGTTGAACTTTCCCTTTGATAGCGCAGCTTTGACACACTTTTTCTACAATGTGCAAGTGGCTATTTAGCGGGCTTGGAGGACTGTGTTGGAAAAGGAAATATCTTCTCCTAAAAACGACATAGAAGCATTCTCAGAAACTGCTCTGTGATGATTGCATTCAACTCCCAGGGTTGAACATTCCTTTTGATAGAGCAGTTTGCAAACACTCTTTTTGTAGAATCTGCAAGTGGAGATTTGGACCGCTTTGAGGCCTGTGGTAGTGAAGGAAAGAGCTTCATATAAAAACCAGACGGTAGCACTCTCAGAAAATTCTTTGTGACGATGGAGTTTAACTCAGGGAGCTGAACATTCGTTATGATGGAGCAGTTTCCAAACACACGTTTTGTAGAATCTGCGAGGGGATATTTGGACCTCTCTGAGGATTTCGTTGGAAACGGGATCAACTTCCCATAACTGAACGGAAGCAAACTCAGAACATTCTCTGTGATGTTTGTATTCAACTCACAGAGTTGAACCTTCCTTTGATAGTTCAGGTTTGCAACACCCTTGTAGTAGAATCTGCAAGTGTATATTTTGACCACTTTGTAGCCTTCGTTTGAAACGTCTATATCTTCACATCAAACCTAGACAGAAGCATTCTCAGAAAGTTTTCTGCGATGACTGCATTCAACTCACAGAGTTGAACAATCCTTCTGATGGAGCAGTTTTGAAACCCTCTTTCTTTGGAATCTGCAAGGGGATATGTGGACCTCTTTGAAGATTTCACTGGAAACGGGATCGATCATCTTCACATAAAAACTAAACAGAAGCATTCTCGGAAACTGTTTTGTGATGTTTGTATTCAACTCCCAGAGTTGAACTTTCCTTTTGAAAGAGCAGCTATGAAACACTCTTTTTCGAGAATCTGCAAGTGGACGTTTGGAGGGCTTTGAGGCCTGTGGTGGAAAAGGAAATATCTTCACATAAAAACTAGATAGAAGCATTCTCAGAAACTACTTTGTGAGGATGGCATTCAACTCATGGAGTTGAACAATCCTATTGATAGAGCAGATTGGAATCACTCTTTTTGTAGAATCTGCAAATGGAGATTTGGACTGCTTTGAGGCCTACGGTCGTATAGGAAGGAACTTCAGATAAAAGGCAAACGGAAGCATTCTCAGAATATTCTTTGTGATGATGGAGTTTCACTCACAGAGCTGAACATGCCTTTTGATGGAGCAGTTTCCAAATACACTTTTGGTAGAATCTGCAGGTGGATATTTGGAGCTCTCTGAGGATTTCGTTGGAAACGGGAATAATTTCCCATAACTAAACACAAACACTCTGAGAAAGTTCTTCATGATGAATGCATTTAACTCGCAGAGATGAACCTGCCTTTGAGAGTTCAGGTTCGAAACACACTTTCTGTAGAATCTGCAAGTGGATATTTGGACCACTGGGTGGCCTTCTTTCGAAACGGGTATATGTTCACGTAAAAACTAAAGAGAAGCATTCTCAGAAACTTCTGAGTGATGATTGCATTCAAGTCACACAGTTGAACCCTCCTTTTGATGGAGCAGTTTTGAAACTGTCTTTTTGTAGAATCTGTAAGTGGATACGTGGACCTCTTTGAAGATTTCTTTGGAAACGGGAATATTTCCACAGAAAAACTAAACTGAAGCATTCTCAGAAACCGCTTTGTGATGTTTGTGTTCGAGCCACAGAGTTTAACATTGCTTTTCATAGAGCAGTTTTGAAATATTCTTTTCGCAGAATCTGCAAGTGGACATTTGGAGCGCTTTCAGGCCTGTGGTGGAAAAGGCCTGAAAGCCTTTTCCTTTATCTTCACAGAAAGACGAGAGAGAAGCATTGTCAGAAACTTCTTTGTGATGATTGCATTCAACTCACAGAGTTGAAGATTCCTTTTGAAACAGCAGTTTCGAAACACTCTTTCTGTGGGATCCGCAAGGGGATATTTGGACCTCTTTGAAGGTTTCGTTGGAAACGGGATAATCTTCACCTAAAAGCTAAACGGAAGCATTCTCAGAAACTTCTTTGGGATGTTTGCATTCACCTCACAGAGTTGAACTTTCCCTTTGATAGCGCAGCTTTGACACACTTTTTCTACAATGTGCAAGTGGCTATTTAGCGGGCTTGGAGGACTGTGTTGGAAAAGGAAATATCTTCTCCTAAAAACGACATAGAAGCATTCTCAGAAACTGCTCTGTGATGATTGCATTCAACTCCCAGAGTTGAACATTCCTTTTGATAGAGCAGTTTGCAAACACTCTTTTTGTAGAATCTGCAAGTGGAGATTTGGACCGCTTTGAGGCCTGTGGTAGTGAAGGAAAGAACTTCATATAAAAACCAGACGGTAGCACTCTCAGAAAATTCTTTGTGACGATGGAGTTTAACTCAGGGAGCTGAACATTCGTTATGATGGAGCAGTTTCCAAACACACGTTTTGTAGAATCTGCGAGGGGATATTTGGACCTCTCTGAGGATTTCGTTGGAAACGGGATCAACTTCCCATAACTGAACGGAAGCAAACTCAGAACATTCTTTGTGATGTTTGTATTCAATTCACAGATTTGAACCTTCCTTTGATAGTTCAGGTTTGCAACACCCTTGTAGTAGAATCTGCAAGTGTATATTTTGACCACTTTGTAGCCTTCGTTTGAAACGTCTATATCTTCACATCAAACCTAGACAGAAGCATTCTCAGAAAGTTTTCTGCGATGACTGCATTCAACTCACAGAGTTGAACAATCCTTCTGATGGAGCAGTTTTGAAACCCTCTTTCTTTGGAATCTGCAAGGGGATATGTGGACCTCTTTGAAGATTTCACTGGAAACGGGATCATCTTCACATAAAAACTAAACAGAAGCATTCTCGGAAACTACTTTGTGATGTTTGTATTCAACTCCCAGAGTTGAACTTTCCTTTTGAAAGAGCAGCTATGAAACACTCTTTTTCGAGAATCTGCAAGTGGACGTTTGGAGGGCTTTGAGGCCTGTGGTGGAAAAGGAAATATCTTCACATAAAAACTAGATAGAAGCATTCTCAGAAACGACTTTGTGAGGATGGCATTCAACTCATGGAGTTGAACAATCCTATTGATAGAGCAGATTGGAATCACTCTTTTTGTAGAATCTGCAAATGGAGATTTGGACTGCTTTGAGGCCTACGGTCGTATAGGAAGGAACTTCAGATAAAAGGCAAACGGAAGCATTCTCAGAATATTCTTTGTGATGATGGAGTTTCACTCACAGAGCTGAACATGCCTTTTGATGGAGCAGTTTCCAAATACACTTTTGGTAGAATCTGCAGGTGGATATTTGGAGCTCTCTGAGGATTTCGTTGGAAACGGGAATAATTTCCCATAACTAAACACAAACACTCTGAGAAAGTTCTTCATGATGAATGCATTTAACTCGCAGAGATGAACCTGCCTTTGAGAGTTCAGGTTCGAAACACTCTTTCTGTAGAATCTGCAAGTGGATATTTGGACCACTGGGTGGCCTTCGTTCGAAACGGGTATATGTTCACGTAAAAACTAAAGAGAAGCATTCTCAGAAACTTCTGAGTGATGATTGCATTCAAGTCACACAGTTGAACCCTCCTTTTGATGGAGCAGTTTTGAAACTGTCTTTTTGTAGAATCTGTAAGTGGATACGTGGACCTCTTTGAAGATTTCTTTGGAAACGGGAGTATTTCCACAGAAAATCTAAACTGAAGCATTCTCAGAAACTGCTTTGTGATGTTTGTGTTCGAGCCACAGAGTTTAACATTGCTTTTCATAGAGCAGTTTTGAAATATTCTTTTGGCAGAATCTGCAAGTGGACATTTGGAGCGCTTTCAGGCCTGTGGTGGAAAAGGCCTGAAAGCCTTTTCCTTTATCTTCACAGAAAGACGAGAGAGAAGCATTGTCAGAAACTTCTTTGTGATGATTGCATTCAACTCACAGAGTTGAAGATTCCTTTTGAAACAGCAGTTTCGAAACACTCTTTCTGTGGGATCCACAAGGGGATATTTGGACCTCTTTGAAGGTTTCGTTGGAAACGGGATAATCTTCACCTAAAAGCTAAACGGAAGCATTCTCAGAAACTTCTTTGGGATGTTTGCATTCACCTCACAGAGTTGAACTTTCCCTTTGATAGCGCAGCTTTGACACACTTTTTCTACAATGTGCAAGTGGCTATTTAGCGGGCTTGGAGGACTGTGTTGGAAAAGGAAATATCTTCTCCTAAAAACGACATAGAAGCATTCTCAGAAACTGCTCTGTGATGATTGCATTCAACTCCCAGAGTTGAACATTCCTTTTGATAGAGCAGTTTGCAAACACTCTTTTTGTAGAATCTGCAAGTGGAGATTTGGACCGCTTTGAGGCCTGTGGTAGTGAAGGAAAGAACTTCATATAAAAACCAGACGGTAGCACTCTCAGAAAATTCTTTGTGACGATGGAGTTTAACTCAGGGAGCTGAACATTCGTTATGATGGAGCAGTTTCCAAACACACGTTTTGTAGAATCTGCAAGGGGATATTTTGACCTCTCTGAGGATTTCGTTGGAAACGGGATCAACTTCCCATAACTGAACGGAAGCAAACTCAGAACATTCTTTGTGATGTTTGTATTCAACTCACAGAGTTGAACCTTCCTTTGATAGTTCAGGTTTGCAACACCCTTGTAGTAGAATCTGCAAGTGTATATTTTGACCACTTTGTAGCCTTCATTTGAAACGTCTATATCTTCACATCAAACCTAGACAGAAGCATTCTCAGAAAGTTTTCTGCGATGACTGCATTCAACTCACAGAGTTGAACAATCCTCTGATGGAGCAGTTTTGAAACCCTCTTTCTTTGGAATCTGCAAGGGGATATGTGGACCTCTTTGAAGATTTCACTGGAAACGGGATCATCTTCACATAAAAACTAAACAGAAGCATTCTCGGAAACTACTTTGTGATGTTTGTATTCAACTCCCAGAGTTGAACTTTCCTTTTGAAAGAGCAGCTATGAAACACTCTTTTTCGAGAATCTGCAAGTGGACGTTTGGAGGGCTTTGAGGCCTGTGGTGGAAAAGGAAATATCTTCACACAAAAACCAGATAGAAGCATTCTCAGAAACTACTTTGTGAGGATGGCATTCAACTCATGGAGTTGAACAATCCTATTGATAGAGCAGATTGGAATCACTCTTTTTATAGAATCTGCAAATGGAGATTTGGACTGCTTTGAGGCCTACGGTAGTACAGGAAGGAACTTCATATAAAAGGCAAACGGAAGCATTCTCAGAATATTCTTTGTGATGATGGAGTTTCACTCACAGAGCTGAACATGCCTTTTGATGGAGCAGTTTCCAAATACACTTTTGGTAGAATCTGCAGGTGGATATTTGGAGCTCTCTGAGGATTTCGTTGGAAACGGGAATAATTTCCCATAACTAAACACAAACACTCTGAGAAAGTTCTTCATGATGAATGCATTTAACTCGCAGAGATGAACCTGCCTTTGAGAGTTCAGGTTCGAAACACTCTTTCTGTATAATCTGCAAGTGGATATTTGGACCACTGGGTGGCCTTCGTTCGAAACGGGTATATGTTCACGTAAAAACTAAAGAGAAGCATTCTCAGAAACTTCTGAGTGATGATTGCATTCAAGTCACACAGTTGAACCCTCCTTTTGATGGAGCAGTTTTGAAACTGTCTTTTTGTAGAATCTGTAAGTGGATACGTGGACCTCTTTGAAGATTTCTTTGGAAACGGGAATATTTCCACAGAAAAACTAAACTGAAACATTCTCAGAAACCGCTTTGTGATGTTTGTGTTCCAGCCACAGAGTTTAACATTGCTTTTCATAGAGCAGTTTTGAAATATTCTTTTCGCAGAATCTGCAAGTGGACATTTGGAGCGCTTTCAGGCCTGTGGTGGAAAAGGCCTGAAAGCCTTTTCCTTTATCTTCACAGAAAGACGAGAGAGAAGCATTGTCAGAAACTTCTTTGTGATGATTGCATTCAACTCACAGAGTTGAAGATTCCTTTTGAAACAGCAGTTTTGAAACACTCTTTCTGTGGGATCCGCAAGGGGATATTTGGACCTCTTTGAAGGTTTCGTTGGAAACGGGATAATCTTCACCTAAAAGCTAAACGGAAGCATTCTCAGAAACTTCTTTGGGATGTTTGCATTCACCTCACAGAGTTGAACTTTCCCTTTGATAGCGCAGCTTTGACACACTTTTTCTACAATGTGCAAGTGGCTATTTAGCGGGCTTGGAGGACTGTGTTGGAAAAGGAAATATCTTCTCCTAAAAACGACATAGAAGCATTCTCAGAAACTGCTCTGTGATGATTGCATTCAACTCCCAGAGTTGAACATTCCTTTTGATAGAGCAGTTGGCAAACACTCTTTTTGTAGAATCTGCAAGTGGAGATTTGGACCGCTTTGAGGTCTGTGGTAGTGAAGGAAAGAGCTTCATATAAAAACCAGACGGTAGCACTCTCAGAAAATTCTTTGTGACGATGGAGTTTAACTCAGGGAGCTGAACATTCGTTATGATGGAGCAGTTTCCAAACACACGTTTTGTAGAATCTGCAAGGGGATATTTGGACCTCTCTGAGGATTTCGTTGGAAACGGGATCAACTTCCCATAACTGAACGGAAGCAAACTCAGAACATTCTTTGTGATGTTTGTATTCAACTCACAGAGTTGAACCTTCCTTTGATAGTTCAGGTTTGCAACACCCTTGTAGTAGAATCTGCAAGTGTATATTTTGACCACTTTGTAGCCTTCGTTTGAAACGTCTATATCTTCACATCAAACCTAGACAGAAGCATTCTCAGAAAGTTTTCTGCGATGACTGCATTCAACTCACAGAGTTGAACAATCCTTCTGATGGAGCAGTTTTGAAACCCTCTTTCTTTGGAATCTGCAAGGGGATATGTGGACCTCTTTGAAGATTTCACTGGAAACGGGATCATCTTCACATAAAAACTAAACAGAAGCATTCTCGGAAACTACTTTGTGATGTTTGTATTCAACTGCCAGAGTTGAACTTTCCTTTTGAAAGAGCAGCTATGAAACACTCTTTTTCGAGAATCTGCAAGTGGACGTTTGGAGGGCTTTGAGGCCTGTGGTGGAAAAGGAAATATCTTCACACAAAAACCAGATAGAAGCATTCTCAGAAACTGCTTTGTGAGGATGGCATTCAACTCATGGAGTTGAACAATCCTATTGATAGAGCAGATTGGAATCACTCTTTTTGTAGAATCTGCAAATGGAGATTTGGACTGCTTTGAGGCCTACGGTCGTACAGGAAGGAACTTCATATAAAAGGCAAACGGAAGCATTCTCAGAATATTCTTTGTGATGATGGAGTTTCACTCACAGAGCTGAACATGCCTTTTCATGGAGCAGTTTCCAAATACACTTTTGGTAGAATCTGCAGGTGGATATTTGGAGCTCTCTGAGGATTTCGTTGGAAAAGGGAATAATTTCCCATAACTAAACACAAACACGCTGAGAAAGTTCTTCATGATGAATGCATTGAACTCGCAGAGATGAACCTGCCTTTGAGAGTTCAGGTTCGAAACACTCTTTCTGTAGAATCTGCAAGTGGATATTTGGACCACTGGGTGGCCTTCGTTCGAAACGGCTATATGTTCACGTAAAAACTAAACAGAAGCGTTCTCAGAAACTTCTGAGTGATGATTGCATTCAAGTCACACGGTTGAACCCTCCTTTTGATTGAGCAGTTTTGAAACTGTCTTTTTGTAGAATCTGTAAGTGGATACGTGGACCTCTTTGAAGATTTCTTTCGAAACGGGAATATTTCCACAGAAAAACTAAACTGAAGCATTCTCAGAAACTGCTTTGTGATGTTTGTGTTCGAGCCGCAGAGTTTAACATTGCTTTTCATAGAGCAGTTTTGAAATATTCTTTTGGCAGAATCTGCAAGTGGACATTTGGAGCGCTTTCAGGCCTGTGGTGGAAAAGGCCTGAAAGCCTTTTCCTTTATCTTCACAGAAAGACGAGAGAGAAGCATTGTCAGAAACTTCTTTGTGATGATTGCATTCAACCCACAGAGTTGAAGATTCCTTTTGAAACAGCATTTTCGAAACACTCTTTCTGTGGGATCCGCAATGGGATATTTGGACCTCTTTGAAGATTTCGTTGGAAACGGGATAATCTGCACCTAAAAGCTAAACGGAAGCATTCTCAGAAACTTCTTTGGGATGTTTGCATTCACCTCACAGAGTTGAACTTTCCCTTTGATAGCGCAGCTTCGACACACTGTTTCTACAATGTGCAAGTGGATATTTAGCGGGCTTGGAGGACTGTGTTGGAAAAGGAAATATCTTCTCCTAAAAACGACATAGAAGCATTCTCAGGAACTGCTCTGTGATGATTGCATTCAACTCCCAGAGTTGAACATTCCTTTTGATAGAGCAGTTTGCAAACACTCTTTTTGTAGAATCTGCAAGTGGAGATTTGGACCGCTTTGAGGCCTGTGGTAGTAAAGGAAAGAACTTCATATAAAAACCAGACGGTAGCACTCTCAGAAAATTCTTTGTGACGATGGAGTTTAACTCAGAGAGCTGAACATTCGTTATGATGGAGCAGTTTCCAAACACACGTTTTGTAGAATCTGCAAGGGGATATTTGGACCTCTCTGAGGATTTCGTTGGAAACGGGATCAACTTCCCATAACTGAACGGAAGCAAACTCAGAACATTCTTTGTGATGTTTGCATTCAACTCACAGAGTTGAACCTTCCTTTGATAGTTGAGGTTTGCAACACCCTTGTAGTAGAATCTGCAAGTGTATATTTTGACCACATTGTAGCCTTCGTTTGAAAAGTCTATATCTTCACATCAAACCTAGACAGAAGCATTCTCAGAAAGTTTTCTGCGATGACTGCATTCAACTCACAGAGTTGAACAATCCTTTTGATGGAGCAGTTTTGAAACCCTCTTTCTTTGGAATCTGCAAGGGGATATGTGGACCTCTTTGAAGATTTCACTGGAAACGGGATCATCTTCACATAAGAACTAAACAGAAGCATTCTCGGAAACTACTTTGTGATGTTTGTATTCAACTCCCAGAGTTGAACTTCCCTTTTGAAAGAGCAGCTATGAAACACTCTTTTTCGAGAATCTGCAAGTGGACGTTTGGAGGGCTTTGAGGCCTGTGGTGGAAAAGGAAATATCTTCACATAAAAACTAGATAGAAGCATTCTCAGAAACGACTTTGTGAGGATGGCATTCAACTCATGGAGTTGAACAATCCTATTGATAGAGCAGATTGGAATCACTCTTTTTGTAGAATCTGCAAATGGAGATTTCGACTGCTTTGAGGCCTACGGTCGTATAGGAAGGAACTTCATATAAAAGGCAAACGGAAGCATTCTCAGAATATTCTTTGTGATGATGGAGTTTCACTCACAGAGCTGAACATGCCTGTTGATGGAGCAGTTTCCAAATACACTTTTGGTAGAATCTGCAGGTGGATATTTGGACCTCTCAGAGGATTTCGTTGGAAACGGGAGTAATTTCCCATAACTAAACACAAACACGCTGAGAAAGTTCTTCATGACGAATACATTTAACTTTCAGAGATGATCCTGCCTTTGAGAGTTCATGTTCGAAACACTCTTTCTCTAGAATCTGCAAGTGGATATTTGGACCACTGGGTGGCCTTCGTTCGAAACGGGTATATGTTCACGTAAAAACTAAAGAGAAGCATTCTCAGAAACTTCTGAGTGATGATTGCTTTCAAGTCACACAGTTGAACCCTCCTTTTGATGGAGCAGTTTTGAAACTGTCTTTTTGTAGGATCTGTAAGTGGATACGTGGACCTCTTTGAGGATTTCTTTGGAAACGGGAATATTTCCACAGAAAAACTAAACTGAAGCATTCTCAGAAACTGCTTTGTGATGTTTGTGTTCGAGCCGCAGAGTTTAACATTGCTTTTCATAGAGCAGTTTTGAAATATTCTTTTGGCAGAATCTGCAAGTGGACATTTGGAGCGCTTTCAGGCCTGTGGTGGAAAAGGCCTGAAAGCCTTTTCCTTTATCTTCACAGAAAGATGAGGGAGAAGCATTGTCAGAAACTTCGTGGTGATGATTGCATTCAACTCACAGAGTTGAAGATTCCTTTTGAAACAGCAGTTTCGAAACACTCTTTCTGTGGGATCCGCAAGGGGATATTTGGACCTCTTTGAAGATTTCGTTGGAAACGGGATAATCTTCACCTAAAAGCTGAAAGGAAGCATTCTCAGAAACTTCTTTGGGATGTTTTCACTCTCCTCACAGAGTTGAACTTTCCCTTTGATAGCGCAGCTTTGACACACTTTTTCTACAATGTGCAAGTGGATATTTAGCGGGCTTGGAGGACTGTGTTGGAAAAGGAAATATCTTCTCCTAAAAACGACATAGAAGCATTCTCAGAAACTGCTCTGTGATGATTGCATTCAACTCCCAGAGTTGAACATTCCTTTTGATAGAGCAGTTTGCAAACACTCTTTTTGTAGAATCTGCAAGTGGAGATTTGGACCGCTTTGAGGCCTGTGGTAGTGAAGGAAAGAACTTCATATAAAAACCAGACGGTAGCACTCTCAGAAAATTCTTTGTGACGATGGAGTTTAACTCAGGGAGCTGAACATTCGTTATGATGGAGCAGTTTCCAAACACACGTTTTGTAGAATCTGCGAGGGGATATTTGGACCTCTCTGAGGATTTCGTTGGAAACGGGATCAACATCCCATAACTGAACGGAAGCAAACTCAGAACATTCTCTGTGATGTTTGTATTCAACTCACAGAGTTGAACCTTCCTTTGATAGTTCAGGTTTGCAACACCCTTGTAGTAGAATCTGCAAGTGTATATTTTGACCACTTTGTAGCCTTCGTTTGAAACGTCTATATCTTCACATCAAACCTAGACAGAAGCATTCTCAGAAAGTTTTCTGCGATGACTGCATTCAACTCACAGAGTTGAACAATCCTTCTGATGGAGCAGTTTTGAAACCCTCTTTCTTTGGAATCTGCAAGGGGATATGTGGACCTCTTTGAAGATTTCACTGGAAACGGGATCGATCATCTTCACATAAAAACTAAACAGAAGCATTCTCGGAAACTACTTTGTGATGTTTGTATTCAACTCCCAGAGTTGAACTTTCCTTTTGAAAGAGCAGCTATGAAACACTCTTTTTCGAGAATCTGCAAGTGGACGTTTGGAGGGCTTTGAGGCCTGTGGTGGAAAAGGAAATATCTTCACATAAAAACTAGATAGAAGCATACTCAGAAACGACTTTGTGAGGATGGCATTCAACTCATGGAGTTGAACAATCCTATTGATAGAGCAGATTGGAATCACTCTTTTTGTAGAATCTGCAAATGGAGATTTGGACTGCTTTGAGGCCTACGGTAGTATAGGAAGGAACTTCATATAAAAGGCAAACGGAAGCATTCTCAGAATATTCTTTGTGATGATGGAGTTTCACTCACAGAGCTGAACATGCCTTTTGATGGAGCAGTTTCCAAATACACTTTTGGTAGAATCTGCAGGTGGATATTTGGACCTCTCTGAGGATTTCGTTGGAAACGGCAATAATTTCCCATAACTAAACACAAACACGCTGAGAAAGTTCTTCATGTTGAATGCATTGAACTCGCAGAGATGAACCTGCCTTTGAGAGTTCAGGTTCGAAACACTCTTTCTGTAGAATCTGCAAGTGGATATTTGGACCACTGGGTGGCCTTCGTTCGAAACGGGTATATGTTCACGTAAAAACTAAAGAGAAGCATTCTCAGAAACTTCTGACTGATGATTGCATTCAAGTCACACGGTTGAACCCTCCTTTTGATTGAGCAGTTTTGAAACTGTCTTTTTGTAGAATCTGTAAATGGATACGTGGACCTCTTTGAAGATTTCTTTGGAAACGGGAATATTTCCACAGAAAAACTAAACTGAAGCATTCTCAGAAACTGCTTTGTGATGTTTGTGTTCGAGCCACAGAGTTTAACATTGCTTTTCATAGAGCAGTTTTGCAATATTCTTTTCACAGAATCTGCAAGTGGACATTTGGAGCGCTTTCAGGCCTGTGGTGGAAAAGGCCTGAAAGCCTTTTCCTTTATCTTCACAGAAAGACGAGAGAGAAGCATTGTCAGAAACTTCTTTGTGATGATTGCATTCAACTCACAGAGTTGAAGATTCCTTTTGAAACAGCAGTTTCGAAACACTCTTTCTGTGGGATCCGCAAGGGGATATTTGGACCTCTTTGAAGCTTTCGTTGGAAACGGGATAATCTTCACCTAAAAGCTAAACGGAAGCATTCTCAGAAACTTCTTTGGGATGTTTGCATTCACCTCACAGAGTTGAACTTTCCCTTTGATAGCGCAGCTTTGACACACTTTTTCTACAATGTGCAAGTGGCTATTTAGCGGGCTTGGAGGACTGTGTTGGAAAAGGAAATATCTTCTCCTAAAAACGACATAGAAGCATTCTCAGAAACTGCTCTGTGATGATTGCATTCAACTCCCAGAGTTGAACATTCCTTTTGATAGAGCAGTTTGCAAACACTCTTTTTGTAGAATCTGCAAGTGGAGATTTGGACCGCTTTGAGGCCTGTGGTAGTGAAGGAAAGAACTTCATATAAAAACCAGACGGTAGCACTCTCAGAAAATTCTTTGTGACGATGGAGTTTAACTCAGGGAGCTGAACATTCGTTATGATGGAGCAGTTTCCAAACACACGTTTTGTAGAATCTGCGAGGGGATATTTGGACCTCTCTGAGGATTTCGTTGGAAACGGGATCAACTTCCCATAACTGAACGGAAGCAAACTCAGAACATTCTTTGTGATGTTTGTATTCAACTCACAGAGTTGAACCTTCCTTTGATAGTTCAGGTTTGCAACACCCTTGTAGTAGAATCTGCAATTGTATATTTTGACCACTTTGTAGCCTTCGTTTGAAACGTCTATATCTTCACATCAAACCTAGACAGAAGCATTCTCAGAAAGTTTTCTGCGATGACTGCATTCAACTCACAGAGTTGAACAATCCTTCTGATGGAGCAGTTTTGAAACCCTCTTTCTTTGGAATCTGCAAGGGGATATGTGGACCTCTTTGAAGATTTCACTGGAAACGGGATCATCTTCACATAAAAACTAAACAGAAGCATTCTCGGAAACTATTTTGTGATGTTTGTATTCAACTCCCAGAGTTGAACTTTCCTTTTGAAAGAGCAGCTATGAAACACTCTTTTTCGAGAATCTGCAAGTGGACGTTTGGAGGGCTTTGAGGCCTGTGGTGGAAAAGGAAATATCTTCACACAAAAACCAGATAGAAGCATTCTCAGAAACGACTTTGTGAGGATGGCATTCAACTCATGGAGTTGAACAATCCTATTGATAGAGCAGATTGGAATCACTCTTTTTGTAGAATCTGCAAATGGAGATTTGGACTGCTTTGAGGCCTACGGTAGTACAGGAAGGAACTTCATATAAAAGGCAAACGGAAGCATTCTCAGAATATTCTTTGTGATGATGGAGCTTCACTGACAGAGCTGAACATGCCTTTTGATGGAGCAGTTTCCAAATACACTTTTGGTAGAATCTGCAGGTGGATATTTGGAGCTCTCTGAGGATTTCGTTGGAAACGGGAATAATTTCCCATAACTAAACACAAACACTCTGAGAAAGTTCTTCATGATGAATGCATTTAACTCGCAGAGATGAACCTGCCTTTGAGAGTTCAGGTTCGAAACACTCTTTCTGTATAATCTGCAAGTGGATATTTGGACCACTGGGTGGCCTTCGTTCGAAACGGGTATATGTTCACGTAAAAACTAAAGAGAAGCATTCTCAGAAACTTCTGAGTGATGATTGCATTCAAGTCACACAGTTGAACCCTCCTTTTGATGGAGCAGTTTTGAAACTGTCTTTTTGTAGAATCTGTAAGTGGATACGTGGACCTCTTTGAAGATTTCTTTGGAAACGGGAATATTTCCACAGAAAAACTAAACTGAAACATTCTCAGAAACCGCTTTGTGATGTTTGTGTTCCAGCCACAGAGTTTAACATTGCTTTTCATAGAGCAGTTTTGAAATATTCTTTTCGCAGAATCTGCAAGTGGACATTTGGAGCGCTTTCAGGCCTGTGGTGGAAAAGGCCTGAAAGCCTTTTCCTTTATCTTCACAGAAAGACGAGAGAGAAGCATTGTCAGAAACTTCTTTGTGATGATTGCATTCAACTCACAGAGTTGAAGATTCCTTTTGAAACAGCAGTTTCGAAACACTCTTTCTGTGGGATCCGCAAGGGGATATTTGGACCTCTTTGAAGGTTTCGTTGGAAACGGGATAATCTTCACCTAAAAGCTAAACGGAAGCATTCTCAGAAACTTCTTTGGGATGTTTGCATTCACCTCACAGAGTTGAAATTTCCCTTTGATAGCGCAGCTTTGACACACTTTTTCTACAATGTGCAAGTGGCTATTTAGCGGGCTTGGAGGACTGTGTTGGAAAAGGAAATATCTTCTCCTAAAAACGACATAGAAGCATTCTCAGAAACTGCTCTGTGATGATTGCATTCAACTCCCAGAGTTGAACATTCCTTTTGATAGAGCAGTTTGCAAACACTCTTTTTGTAGAATCTGCAAGTGGAGATTTGGACCGCTTTGAGGCCTGTGGTAGTGAAGGAAAAAACTTCATATAAAAACCAGACGGTAGCACTCTCAGAAAATTCTTTGTGACGATGGAGTTTAACTCAGGGAGCTGAACATTCGTTATGATGGAGCAGTTTCCAAACACACGTTTTGTAGAATCTGCAAGGGGATATTTGGACCTCTCTGAGGATTTCGTTGGAAACGGGATCAACTTCCCATAACTGAACGGAAGCAAACTCAGAACATTCTTTGTGATGTTTGTATTCAACTCACAGAGTTGAACCTTCCTTTGATAGTTCAGGTTTGCAACACCCTTGTAGTAGAATCTGCAAGTGTATATTTTGACCACTTTGTAGCCTTCGTTTGAAACCTCTATATCTTCACATCAAACCTAGACAGAAGCATTCTCAGAAAGTTTTCTGCGATGACTGCATTCAACTCACAGAGTTGAACAATCCTTTTGATGGAGCAGTTTTGAAACCCTCTTTCTTTGGAATCTGCAAGGGGATATCTGGACCTCTTTGAAGATTTCACTGGAAACGGGATCATCTTCACATAAGAACTAAACAGAAGCATTCTCGGAAACTAGTTTGTGATGTTTGTATTCAACTCCCAGAGTTGAACTTTCCTTTTGAAAGAGCAGCTATGAAACACTCTTTTTCGAGAATCTGCAAGTGGACGTTTGGAGGGCTTTGAGGTCTGTGGTGGAAAAGGAAATATCTTCACACAAAAACCAGATAGAAGCATTCTCAGAAACTACTTTGTGAGGATGGCATTCAACTCATGGAGTTGAACAATCCTATTGATAGAGCAGATTGGAATCACTCTTTTTATAGAATCTGCAAATGGAGATTTGGACTGCTTTGAGGCCTACGGTAGTACAGGAAGGAACTTCATATAAAAGGCAAACGGAAGCATTCTCAGAATATTCTTTGTGATGATGGAGTTTCACTCACAGAGCTGAACATGCCTTTTGATGGAGCAGTTTCCAAATACACTTTTGGTAGAATCTGCAGGTGGATATTTGGAGCTCTCTGAGGATTTCGTTGGAAACGGGAATAATTTCCCATAACTAAACACAAACACTCTGAGAAAGTTCTTCATGATGAATGCATTTAACTCGCAGAGATGAACCTGCCTTTGAGAGTTCAGGTTCGAAACACTCTTTCTGTATAATCTGCAAGTGGATATTTGGACCACTGGGTGGCCTTCGTTCGAAACGGGTATATGTTCACGTAAAAACTAAAGAGAAGCATTCTCAGAAACTTCTGAGTGATGATTGCATTCAAGTCACACAGTTGAACCCTCCTTTTGATGGAGCAGTTTTGAAACTGTCTTTTTGTAGAATCTGTAAGTGGATACGTGGACCTCTTTGAAGATTTCTTTGGAAACGGGAATATTTCCACAGAAAAACTAAACTGAAACATTCTCAGAAACCGCTTTGTGATGTTTGTGTTCCAGCCACAGAGTTTAACATTGCTTTTCATAGAGCAGTTTTGAAATATTCTTTTGGCAGAATCTGCAAGTGGACATTTGGAGCGCTTTCAGGCCTGTGGTGGAAAAGGCCTGAAAGCCTTTTCCTTTATCTTCACAGAAAGACGAGAGAGAAGCATTGTCAGAAACTTCTTTGTGATGATTGCATTCAACTCACAGAGTTGAAGATTCCTTTTGAAACAGCAGTTTCGAAACACTCTTTCTGTGGGATCCGCAAGGGGATATTTGGACCTCTTTGAAGGTTTCGTTGGAAACGGGATAATCTTCACCTAAAAGCTAAACGGAAGCATTCTCAGAAACTTCTTTGGGATGTTTGCATTCACCTCACAGAGTTGAACTTTCCCTTTGATAGCGCAGCTTTGACACACTTTTTCTACAATGTGCAAGAGGCTATTTAGCGGGCTTGGAGGACTGTGTTGGAAAAGGAAATATCTTCTCCTAAAAACGACATAGAAGCATTCTCAGAAACTGCTCTGTGATGATTGCATTCAACTCCCAGAGTTGAACATTCCTTTTGATAGAGCAGTTTGCAAACACTCTTTTTGTAGAATCTGCAAGTGGAGATTTGGACCGCTTTGAGGCCTGTGGTAGTAAAGGAAAGAACTTCATATAAAAACTAGACGGTAGCACTCTCAGAAAATTCTTTGTGACGATGGAGTTTAACTCAGAGAGCTGAACATTCGTTATGATGGAGCAGTTTCCAAACACACGTTTTGTAGAATCTGCAAGGGGATATTTGGACCTCTCTGAGGATTTCGTTGGAAACGGGATCAACTTCCCATAACTGAACGGTAGCAAACTCAGAACATTCTTTGTGATGTTTGTATTCAACTCACAGAGTTGAACCTTCCTTTGATAGTTCAGGTTTGCATCACCCTTGTAGTAGAATCTGCAAGTGTATATTTTGACCACTTTGTAGCCTTCGTTTGAAACGTCTATATCTTCACATCAAACCTAGACAGAAGCATTCTCAGAAAGTTTTCTGCGATGACTGCATTCAACTCACAGAGTTGAACAATCCTTTTGATGGAGCAGTTTTGAAACCCTCTTTCTTTGGAATCTGCAAGGGGATATGTGGACCTCTTTGAAGATTTCACTGGAAACGGGATAATCTTCACATAAGAACTAAACAGAAGCATTCTCGGAAACTACTTTGTGATGTTTGTATTCAACTCCCAGAGTTGAACTTTCCTTTTGAAAGAGCAGCTATGAAACACTCTTTTTCGAGAATCTGCAAGTGGACGTTTGGAGGGCTTTGAGGCCTGTGGTGGAAAAGGAAATATCTTCACATAAAAACTAGATAGAAGCATTCTCAGAAACTACTTTGTGAGGATGGCATTCAACTCATGGAGTTGAACAATCCTATTGATAGAGCAGATTGGAATCACTCTTTTTGTAGAATCTGCAAATGGAGATTTGGACTGCTTTGAGGCCTACGGTAGTATAGGAAGGAACTTCATATAAAAGGCAAACGGAAGCATTCTCAGAATATTCTTTGTGATGATGGAGTTTCACTCACAGAGCTGAACATGCCTTTTGATGGAGCAGTTTCCAAATACACTTTTGGTAGAATCTGCAGGTGGATATTTGGAGCTCTCTGAGGATTTCGTTGGAAACGGGAATAATTTCCCATAACTAAACACAAACACTCTGAGAAAGTTCTTCATGATGAATGCATTTAACTCGCAGAGATGAACCTGCCTTTGAGAGATTCAGGTTCGAAACACTCTTTCTGTAGAATCTGCAAGTGGATATTTGGACCACTGGGTGGCCTTCGTTCGAAACGGGTATATGTTCACCTAAAAACTAAAGAGAAGCATTCTCAGAAACTTCTGAGTGATGATTGCATTCAAGTCACACAGTTGAACCTTCCTTTTGATGGAGCAGTTTTGAAACTGTCTTTTTGTAGAATCTGTAAGTGGATACTTGGACCTCTTTGAAGATTTCTTTGGAAACGGGAATATTTCCACAGAAAAACTAAACTGAAGCATTCTCAGAAACTGCTTTGTGATGTTTGTGTTCGAGCCACAGAGTTTAACATTGCTTTTCATAGAGCAGTTTTGAAATATTCTTTTCACAGAATCTGCAAGTGGACATTTGGAGCGCTTTCAGGCCTGTGGTGGAAAAGGCCTGAAAGCCTTTTCCTTTATCTTCACAGAAAGACGAGAGAGAAGTATTGTCAGAAACTTCTTTGTGATGATTGCATTCAACTCACAGAGTTGAAGATTCCTTTTGAAACAGCAGTTTCGAAACACTCTTTCTGTGGGATCCGCAAGGGGATATTTGGACCTCTTTGAAGGTTTCGTTGGAAACGGGATAATCTTCACCTAAAAGCTAAACGGAAGCATTCTCAGAAACTTCTTTGGGATGTTTGCATTCACCTCACAGAGTTGAACTTTCCCTTTGATAGCGCAGCTTTGACACACTTTTTCTACAATGTGCAAGTGGCTATTTAGCGGGCTTGGAGGACTGTGTTGGAAAAGGAAATATCTTCTCCTAAAAACGACATAGAAGCATTCTCAGAAACTGCTCTGTGACGATTGCATTCAACTCCCAGAGTTGAACATTCCTTTTGATAGAGCAGTTTGCAAACACTCTTTTTGTAGAATCTGCAAGTGGAGATTTGGACCGCTTTGAGGCCTGTGGTAGTGAAGGAAAGAACTTCATATAAAAACCAGACGGTAGCACTCTCAGAAAATTCTTTGTGACGATGGAGTTTAACTCAGGGAGCTGAACATTCGTTATGATGGAGCAGTTTCCAAACACACGTTTTGTAGAATCTGCAAGGGGATATTTGGACCTCTCTGAGGATTTCGTTGGAAACGGGATCAACTTCCCATAACTGAACGGAAGCAAACTCAGAACATTCTTTGTGATGTTTGTATTCAACTCACAGAGTTGAACCTTCCTTTGATAGTTCAGGTTTGCAACACCCTTGTAGTAGAATCTGCAAGTGTATATTTTGACCACTTTGTAGCCTTCGTTTGAAACGTCTATATCTTCACATCAAACCTAGAAAGAAGCATTCTCAGAAAGTTTTCTGCGATGACTGCATTCAACTCACAGAGTTGAACAATCCTTTTGATGGAGCAGTTTTGAAACCCTCTTTCTTTGGAATCTGCAAGGGGATATGTGGACCTCTTTGAAGATTTCACTGGAAACGGGATCATCTTCACATAAAAACTAAACAGAAGCAATCTCGGAAGCTATTTTGTGATGTTTGTATTCAACTCCCAGAGTTGAACTTTCCTTTTGAAAGAGCAGCTATGAAACACTCTTTTTCGAGAATCTGCAAGTGGACGTTTGGAGGGCTTTGAGGCCTGTGGTGGAAAAGGAAATATCTTCACACAAAAACCAGATAGAAGCATTCTCAGAAACTACTTTGTGAGGATGGCATTCAACACATGGAGTTGAACAATCATATTGATAGAGCAGATTGGAATCACTCTTTTTGTAGAATCTGCAAATGGAGATTTGGACTGCTTTGAGGCCTACGGTAGTATAGGAAGGAACTTCATATAAAAGGCAAACGGAAGCATTCTCAGAATATTCTTTGTGATGATGGAGTTTCACTCACAGAGCTGAACATGCCTTTTGATGGAGCAGTTTCCAAATAGACTTTTGGTAGAATCTGCAGGTGGATATTTGGAGCTCTCTGAGGATTTCGTTGGAAACGGGAATAATTTCCCATAACTAAACACAAACACGCTGAGAAAGTTCTTCATGATGAATGCATTTAACTCGCAGAGATGAACCTGCCTTTGAGAGTTCAGGTTCGAAACACTCTTTCTGTGGAATCTGCAAGTGGATATTTGGACCACTGGCTGGCCTTCATTCGAAACGGGTATATGTTCACGTAAAAACTAAAGAGAAGCGTTCTCAGAAACTTCTGAGTGATGATTGCATTCAAGTCACACAGTTGAACCCTCCTTTTGATTGAGCAGTTTTGAAACTGTCTTTTTGTAGAATCTGTAAGTGGATGCGTGGACCTCTTTGAAGATTTCTTTGGAAACGGGAATATTTCCACAGAAAAACTAAACTGAAGCATTCTCAGAAACTGCTTTGTGATGTTTGTGTTCGAGCCACAGAGTTTAACCTTGCTTTTCATAGAGCAGTTTTGAAATATTCTTTTGGCAGAATCTGCAAGTGGACAATTGGAGCGCTTTCAGGCCTGTGGTGGAAAAGGCCTGAAAGCCTTTTCCTTTATCTTCACAGAAAGACGAGAGAGAAGCATTGTCAGAAACTTCTTTGTGATGATTGCATTCAACTCACAGAGTTGAAGATTCCTTTTGAAACAGCAGTTTCGAAACACTCTTTCTGTGGGATCCGCAAGGGGATATTTGGACCTCTTTGAAGATTTCGTTGGAAACGGGATAATCTTCACCTAAAAGCTAAACGGAAGCATTCTCAGAAACTTCTTTGGGATGTTTGCATTCACCTCACAGAGTTGAACTTTCCCTTTGATAGCACAGCTTCGACACACTTTTTCTACAATGTGCAAGTGGATATTTAGCGGGCTTGGAGGACTGTGTTGGAAAAGGAAATATCTTCTCCTAAAAACGACATAGAAGCATTCTCAGAAACTGCTCTGTGATGATTGCATTCAACTCCCAGAGTTGAACATTCCTTTTGATAGAGCAGTTTGCAAACACTCTTTTTGTAGAATCTGCAAGTGGAGATTTGGACAGCTTTGAGGCCTGTGGTAGTAAAGGAAAGAACTTCATATAAAAACTAGACGGTAGCACTATCAGAAAATTCTTTGTGACGATGGAGTTTAACTCAGGGAGCTGAACATTCGTTATGATGGAGCAGTTTCCAAACACACGTTTTGTAGAATCTGCGAGGGGATATTTGGACCTCTCTGAGGATTTCGTTGGAAACGGGATCAACTTCCCATAACTGAACGGAAGCAAACTCAGAACATTCTTTGTGATGTTTGTATTCAACTCACAGAGTTGAACCATCCTTTGATAGTTCAGGTTTGTAACACCCTTGTAGTAGAATCTGCAAGTGTATATTTTGACCACTTTGTAGCCTTCGTTTGAAACGTCTATATCTTCACATCAAACCTAGACAGAAGCATTCTCAGAAAGTTTTCTGCGATGACTGCATTCAACTCACAGAGTTGAACAATCCTTCTGATGGAGCAGTTTTGAAACCCTCTTTCTTTGGAATCTGCAAGGGGATATGTGGACCTCTTTGAAGATTTCACTGGAAACGGGATCATCTTCACATAAAAACTAAACAGAAGCATTCTCGGAAACTACTTTGTGATGTTTGTATTCAACTCCCAGAGTTGAACTTTCCTTTTGAAAGAGCAGCTATGAAACACTCTTTTTCGAGAATCTGCAAGTGGACGTTTGGAGGGCTTTGAGGCCTGTGGTGGAAAAGGAAATATCTTCACACAAAAACCAGATAGAAGCATTCTCAGAAACGACTTTGTGAGGATGGCATTCAACTCATGGAGTTGAACAATCCTATTGATAGAGCAGATTGGAATCACTCTTTTTGTAGAATCTGCAAATGGAGATTTGGACTGCTTTGAGGCCTACGGTCGTATAGGAAGGAACTTCAGATAAAAGGCAAACGGAAGCATTCTCAGAATATTCTTTGTGATGATGGAGTTTCACTCACAGAGCTGAACATGCCTCTTGATGGAGCAGTTTCCAAATACACTTTTGGTAGAATCTGCAGGTGGATATTTGGAGCTCTCTGAGGATTTCGTTGGAAACGGGAATAATTTCCCATAACTAAACACAAACACTCTGAGAAAGTTCTTCATGATGAATGCATTTAACTCGCAGAGATGAACCTGTCTTTGAGAGTTCAGGTTCGAAACACTCTTTCTGTAGAATCTGCAAGTGGATATTTGGACCACTGGCTGGCCTTCGTTCGAAACGGGTATATGTTCACGTAAAAACTAAAGAGAAGCATTCTCAGAAACTTCTGAGTGATGATTGCATTCAAGTCACACAGTTGAACCCTCCTTTTGATGGAGCAGTTTTGAAACTGTCTTTTTGCAGAATCTGTAAGTGGATACGTGGACCTCTTTGAAGATTTCTTTGGAAACGGGAATATTTCCACAGAAAAACTAAACTGAAGCATTCTCAGAAACTGCTTTGTGATGTTTGTGTTCGAGCCACAGAGTTTAACATTGCTTTTCATAGAGCAGTTTTGAAATATTCTTTTGGCAGAATCTGCAAGTGGACATTTGGAGCGCTTTCAGGCCTGTGGTGGAAAAGGCCTGAAAGCCTTTTCCTTTATCTTCACAGAAAGACGAGAGAGAAGCATTGTCAGAAACTTCTTTGTGATGATTGCATTCAACTCACAGAGTTGAAGATTCCTTTTGAAACAGCAGTTTCGAAACACTCTTTCTGTGGGATCCGCAAGGGGATATTTGGACCTCTTTGAAGGTTTCGTTGGAAACGGGATAATCTTCACCTAAAAGCTAAACGGAAGCATTCTCAGAAACTTCTTTGGGATGTTTGCATTCACCTCACAGAGTTGAACTTTCCCTTTGATAGCGCAGCTTTGACACACTTTTTCTACAATGTGCAAGTGGCTATTTAGCGGGCTTGGAGGACTGTGTTGGAAAAGGAAATATCTTCTCCTAAAAACGACATAGAAGCATTCTCAGAAACTGCTCTGTGATGATTGCATTCAACTCCCAGAGTTGAACATTCCTTTTGATAGAGCAGTTTGCAAACACTCTTTTTGTAGAATCTGCAAGTGGAGATTTGGACCGCTTTGAGGCCTGTGGTAGTGAAGGAAAGAACTTCATATAAAAACCAGACGGTAGCACTCTCAGAAAATTCTTTGTGACGATGGAGTTTAACTCAGGGAGCTGAACATTCGTTATGATGGAGCAGTTTCCAAACACACGTTTTGTAGAATCTGCAAGGGGATATTTGGACCTCTCTGAGGATTTCGTTGGAAACGGGATCAACTTCCCATAACTGAACGGAAGCAAACTCAGAACATTCTTTGTGATGTTTGTATTCAACTCACAGAGTTGAACCTTCCTTTGATAGTTCAGGTTTGCAACACCCTTGTAGTAGAATCTGCAAGTGTATATTTTGACCACTTTGTAGCCTTCGTTTGAAACGTCTATATCTTCACATCAAACCTAGACAGAAGCATTCTCAGAAAGATTTCTGCGATGACTGCATTCAACTCACAGAGTTGAACAATCCTTTTGATGGAGCAGTTTTGAAACCCTCTTTCTTTGGAATCTGCAAGGGGATATGTGGACCTCTTTGAAGATTTCACTGGAAACGGGATCATCTTCACATAAGAACTAAACAGAAGCATTCTCGGAAACTACTTTGTGATGTTTGTATTCAACTCCCAGAGTTGAACTTTCCTTTTGAAAGAGCAGCTATGAAACACTCTTTTTCGAGAATCTGCAAGTGGACGTTTGGAGGGCTTTGAGGCCTGTGGTGGAAAAGGAAATATCTTCACATAAAAACTAGATAGAAGCATTCTCAGAAACGACTTTGTGAGGATGGCATTCAACTCATGGAGTTGAACAATCCTAATGATAGAGCACATTGGAATCACTCTTTTTGTAGAATCTGCAAATGGAGATTTGGACTGCTTTGAGGCCTACGGTAGTATAGGAAGGAACTTCATATAAAAGGCAAACGGAAGCATTCTCAGAATATTCTTTGTGATGATGGAGTTTCACTCACAGAGCTGAACATGCCTTTTGATGGAGCAGTTTCCAAATACACTTTTGGTAGAATCTGCAGGTGGATATTTGGACCTCTCTGAGGATTTCGTTGGAAACGGGAATAATTTCCCATAACTAAACACAAACACTCTGAGAAAGTTCTTCATGATGAATGCATTGAACTCGCAGAGATGAACCTGCCTTTGAGAGTTCAGGTTCGAAACACTCTTTCTGTAGAATCTGCAAGTGGATATTTGGACCACTGGCTGGCCTTCGTTCGAAACGGGTATATGTTCACGTAAAAACTAAAGAGAAGCATTCTCAGAAACTTCTGAGTGATGATTGCATTCAAGTCACACGGTTGAACCCTCCTTTTGATTGAGCAGTTTTGAAACTGTCTTTTTGTAGAATCTGTAAGTGGATACGTGGACCTCTTTGAAGATTTCTTTGGAAATGGGAATATTTCCACAGAAAAACTAAACTGAAGCATTCTCAGAAACTGCTTTGTGATGTTTGTGTTCGAGCCGCAGAGTTTAACATTGCTTTTCATAGAGCAGTTTTGAAATATTCTTTTGGCAGAATCTGCAAGTGGACATTTGGAGCGCTTTCAGGCCTGTGGTGGAAAAGGCCTGAAAGCCTTTTCCTTTATCTTCACAGAAAGACGAGAGAGAAGCATTGTCAGAAACTTCTTTGGGATGATTGCATTCAACTCACAGAGTTGAAGATTCCTTTTGAAACAGCAGTTTCGAAACACTCTTTCTGTGGGATCCGCAAGGGGATATTTGGACCTCTTTGAAGCTTTCGTTGGAAACGGGATAATCTTCACCTAAAAGCTAAACGGAAGCATTCTCAGAAACTTCTTTGGGATGTTTGCATTCACCTCACAGAGTTGAACTTTCCCTTTGATAGCGCAGCTTCGACACACTTTTTCTACAATGTGCAAGTGGCTATTTAGCGGGCGTGGAGGACTGTGTTGGAAAAGGAAATATCTTCTCCTAAAAACGACATAGAAGCCTTCTCAGAAACTGCTCTGTGATGATTGCATTCAACTCCCAGAGTTGAACATTCCTTTTGATAGAGCAGTTTGCAGACACTCTTTTTGTAGAATCTGCAAGTGGAGATTTGGACCGCTTTGAGGCCTGTGGTAGTAAAGGAAAGAACTTCATATAAAAACTAGACGGTAGCACTCTCAGAAAATTCTTTGTGACGATGGAGTTTAACTCAGAGAGCTGAACATTCGTTATGATGGAGCAGTTTCCAAACACACGTTTTGTAGAATCTGCAAGGGGATATTTGGACCTCTCTGAGGATTTCGTTGGGAAGGGGATCAACTTCCCATAACTGAACGGAAGCAAACTCAGAACATTCTTTGTGATGTTTGTATTCAACCCACAGAGTTGAACCTTCCTTTGATAGTTCAGGTTTGCAACACCCTTGTAGTAGAATCTGCAAGTGTATATTTTGACCACTTTGTAGCCTTCGTTTGAAACGTCTATATCTTCACATCAAACCTAGACAGAAGCATTCTCAGAAAGTTTTCTGCGATGACTGCATTCAACTCACAGAGTTGAACAATCCTTTTGATGGAGCAGTTTTGAAACCCTCTTTCTTTGGAATCTGCAAGGGGATATGTGGACCTCTTTGAAGATTTCACTGGAAACGGGATCATCTTCACATAAGAACTAAACAGAAGCATTCTCGGAAACTACTTTGTGATGTTTGTATTCAACTCCCAGAGTTGAACTTTCCTTTTGAAAGAGCGGCTATGAAACACTCTTTTTCGAGAATCTGCAAGTGGACGTTTGGAGGGCTTTGAGGCCTGTGGTGGAAAAGGAAATATCTTCACATAAAAACTAGATAGAAGCATTCTCAGAGACTACTTTGTGAGGATGGCATTCAACTCATGGAGTTGAACAATCCTATTGATAGAGCAGATTGGAATCACTCTTTTTGTAGAATCTGCAAATGGAGATTTGGACTGCTTTGAGGCCTACGGTAGTATAGGAAGGAACTTCATATAAAAGGCAAACGGAAGCATTCTCAGAATATTCTTTGTGATGATGGAGTTTCACTCACAGAGCTGAACATGCCTTTTGATGGAGCAGTTTCCAAATACACTTTTGGTAGAATCTGCAGGTGGATATTTGGACCTCTCTGAGGATTTCGTTGGAAACGGCAATAATTTCCCATACCTAAACACAAACACTCTGAGAAAGTTCTTCATGATGAATGCATTGAACTCGCAGAGATGAACCTGCCTTTGAGAGTTCAGGTTCGAAACACTCTTTCTGTAGAATCTGCAAGTGGATATTTGGACCACTGGGTGGCCTTCGTTCGAAACGGGTATATGTTCACGTAAAAACTAAAGAGAAGCATTCTCAGAAACTTCTGAGTGATGATTGCATTCAAGTCACACGGTTGAACCCTCCTTTTGATTGAGCAGTTTTGAAACTGTCTTTTTGTAGAATCTGTAAGTGGATACGTGGACCTCTTTGAAGATTTCTTTCGAAACGGGAATATTTCCACAGAAAAACTAAACTGAAGCATTCTCAGAAACTGCTTTGTGATGTTTGTGTTCGAGCCACAGAGTTTAACATTGCTTTTCATAGAGCAGTTTTGAAATATTCTTTTGGCAGAATCTGCAAGTGGACATTTGGAGCGCTTTCAGGCCTGTGGTGGAAAAGGCCTGAAAGCCTTTTCCTTTATCTTCACAGAAAGACGAGAGAGAAGCATTGTCAGAAACTTCTTTGTGATGATTGCATTCAACTCACAGAGTTGAAGATTCCTTTTGAAACAGCAGTTTCGAAACACTCTTTCTGTGGGATCCGCAAGGGGATATTTGGACCTCTTTGAAGGTTTCGTTGGAAACGGGATAATCTTCACCTAAAAGCTAAACGGAAGCATTCTCAGAAACTTCTTTGGGATGTTTGCATTCACCTCACAGAGTTGAACTTTCCCTTTGATAGCGCAGCTTTGACACACTTTTTCTACAATGTGCAAGTGGCTATTTAGCGGGCTTGGAGGACTGTGTTGGAAAAGGAAATATCTTCTCCTAAAAACGACATAGAAGCATTCTCAGAAACTGCTCTGTGATGATTGCATTCAACTCCCAGAGTTGAACATTCCTTTTGATAGAGCAGTTTGCAAACACTCTTTTTGTAGAATCTGCAAGTGGAGATTTGGACCGCTTTGAGGCCTGGGGGTAGTGAAGGAAAGAGCTTCATATAAAAACCAGACGGTAGCACTCTCAGAAAATTCTTTGTGACGATGGAGTTTAACTCAGGGAGCTGAACATTCGTTATGATGGAGCAGTTTCCCAACACACGTTTTGTAGAATCTGCAAGGGGATATTTGGACCTCTCTGAGGATTTTGTTGGAAAAGGGATCAACTTCCCATAACTGAACGGAAGCAAACTCAGAACATTCTTTGTGATGTTTGTATTCAACTCACAGAGTTGAACCTTCCTTTGATAGTTCAGGTTTGCAACACCCTTGTAGTAGAATCTGCAAGTGTATATTTTGACCACTTTGTAGCCTTCGTTTGAAACGTCTATATCTTCACATCAAACCTAGAAAGAAGCATTCTCAGAAAGTTTTCTGCGATGACTGCATTCAACTCACAGAGTTGAACAATCCTTTTGATGGAGCAGTTTTGAAACCCTCTTTCTTTGGAATCTGCAAGGGGATATGTGGACCTCTTTGAAGATTTCACTGGAAACGGGATCATCTTCACATAAGAACTAAACAGAAGCATTCTCGGAAACTACTTTGTGATGTTTGTATTCAGCTCCCAGAGTTGAACTTCCCTTTTGAAAGAGCAGCTATGAAGCACTCTTTTTCGAGAATCTGCAAGTGGACGTTTGGAGGGCTTTGAGGCCTGTGGTGGAAAAGGAAATATCTTCACATAAAAACTAGATAGAAGCATTCTCAGAAACTACTTTGTGAGGATGGCATTCAACTCATGGAGTTGAACAGTCCTATTGATAGAGCAGATTGGAATCACTCTTTTTGTAGAATCTGCAAATGGAGATTTGGACTGCTTTGAGGCCTACGGTAGTATAGGAAGGAACTTCATATAAAAGGCAAACGGAAGCATTCTCAGAATATTCTTTGTGATGATGGAGTTTCACTCACAGAGCTGAACATGCCTTTTGATGGAGCAGTTTCCAAATACACTTTTGGTAGAATCTGCAGGTGGATATTTGGAGCTCTCTGAGGATTTCGTTGGAAACGGGAATAATTTCCCATAACTAAACACAAACACTCTGAGAAAGTTCTTCATGATGAATGCATTTAACTCGCAGAGATGAACCTGCCTTTGAGAGTTCAGGTTCGAAACACCCTTTCTGTAGAATCTGCAAGTGGATATTTGGACCACTGGGTGGCCTTCGTTCGAAACGGGTATATGTTCACGTAAAAACTAAAGAGAAGCATTCTCAGAAACTTCTGAGTGATGATTGCATTCAAGTCACACAGTTGAACCCTCCTTTTGATGGAGCAGTTTTGAAACTGTCTTTTTGTAGAATCTGTAAGTGGATACGTGGACCTCTTTGAAGATTTCTTTGGAAACGGGAATATTTCCACAGAAAAACTAAACTGAAGCATTCTCAGAAACTGCTTTGTGATGTTTGTGTTCGAGCCACAGAGTTTAACATTGCTTTTCATAGAGCAGTTTTGAAATATTCTTTTGGCAGAATCTGCAAGTGGACATTTGGAGCGCTTTCAGGCCTGTGGTGGAAAAGGCCTGAAAGCCTTTTCCTTTATCTTCACAGAAAGACGAGAGAGAAGCATTGTCAGAAACTTCTTTGTGATGATTGCATTCAACTCACAGAGTTGAAGATTCCTTTTGAAACAGCAGTTTCGAAACACTCTTTCTGTGGGATCCACAAGGGGATATTTGGACCTCTTTGAAGGTTTCGTTGGAAACGGGATAATCTTCACCTAAAAGCTAAACGGAATCATTCTCAGAAACTTCTTTGGGATGTTTGCATTCACCTCACAGAGTTGAACTTTCCCTTTGATAGCGCAGCTTTGACACACTTTTTCTACAATGTGCAAGTGGCTATTTAGCGGGCTTGGAGGACTGTGTTGGAAAAGGAAATATCTTCTCCTAAAAACGACATAGAAGCATTCTCAGAAACTGCTCTGTGATGATTGCATTCAACTCCCAGAGTTGAACATTCCTTTTGATAGAGCAGTTTGCAAACACTCTTTTTGTAGAATCTGCAAGTGGAGATTTGGACCGCTTTGAGGCCTGTGGTAGTGAAGGAAAGAACTTCATATAAAAACCAGACGGTAGCACTCTCAGAAAATTCTTTGTGACGATGGAGTTTAACTCAGGGAGCTGAACATTCGTTATGATGGAGCAGTTTCCAAACACACGTTTTGTAGAATCTGCAAGGGGATATTTGGACCTCTCTGAGGATTTCGTTGGAAACGGGATCAACTTCCCATAACTGAACGGAAGCAAACTCAGAACATTCTTTGTGATGTTTGTATTCAACTCACAGAGTTGAACCTTCCTTTGATAGTTCAGGTTTGCAACACCCTTGTAGTAGAATCTGCAAGTGTATATTTTGACCACTTTGTAGCCTTCGTTTGAAACGTCTATATCTTCACATCAAACCTAGACAGAAGCATTCTCAGAAAGTTTTCTGCGATGACTGCATTCAACTCACAGAGTTGAACAATCCTTCTGATGGAGCAGTTTTGAAACCCTCTTTCTTTGGAATCTGCAAGGGGATATGTGGACCTCTTTGAAGATTTCACTGGAAACGGGATCATCTTCACATAAAAACTAAACAGAAGCATTCTCGGAAACTACTTTGTGATGTTTGTATTCAACTCCCAGAGTTGAACTTTCCTTTTGAAAGAGCAGCTATGAAACACTCTTTTTCGAGAATCTGCAAGTGGACGTTTGGAGGGCTTTGAGGCCTGTGGTGGAAAAGGAAATATCTTCACATAAAAACTAGAATAGAAGCATTCTCAGAAACTACTTTGTGAGGATGGCATTCAACTCATGGAGTTGAACAATCCTATTGATAGAGCAGATTGGAATCACTCTTTTTATAGAATCTGCAAATGGAGATTTGGACTGCTTTGAGGCCTACGGTAGTACAGGAAGGAACTTCATATAAAAGGCAAACGGAAGCATTCTCAGAATATTCTTTGTGATGATGGAGTTTCACTCACAGAGCTGAACATGCCTTTTGATGGAGCAGTTTCCGAATACACTTTTGGTAGAATCTGCAGGTGGATATTTGGAGCTCTCTGAGGATTTCGTTGGAAACGGGAATAATTTCCCATAACTAAACACAAACACTCTGAGAAAGTTCTTCATGATGAATGCATTTAACTTGCAGAGATGAACCTGCCTTTGAGAGTTCAGGTTCGAAACACTCTTTCTGTAGAATCTGCAAGTGGATATTTGGACCACTGGGTGGCCTTCGTTCGAAACGGGTATATGTTCACGTAAAAACTAAAGAGAAGCATTCTCAGAAACTTCTGAGTGATGATTGCATTCAAGTCACACAGTTGAACCCTCCTTTTGATGGAGCAGTTTTGAAACTGTCTTTTTGTAGAATCTGTAAGTGGATACGTGGACCTCTTTGAAGATTTCTTTGGAAACGGGAATATTTCCACAGAAAAACTAAACTGAAGCATTCTCAGAAACCGCTTTGTGATGTTTGTGTTCGAGCCACAGAGTTTAACATTGCTTTTCATAGAGCAGTTTTGAAATATTCTTTTCGCAGAATCTGCAAGTGGACATTTGGAGCGCTTTCAGGCCTGTGGTGGAAAAGGCCTGAAAGCCTTTTCCTTTATCTTCACAGAAAGACGAGAGAGAAGCATTGTCAGAAACTTCTTTGTGATGATTGCATTCAACTCACAGAGTTGAAGATTCCTTTTGAAACAGCAGTTTCGAAACACTCTTTCTGTGGGATCCGCAAGGGGATATTTGGACCTCTTTGAAGGTTTCGTTGGAAACGGGATAATCTTCACCTAAAAGCTAAACGGAAGCATTCTCAGAAACTTCTTTGGGATGTTTGCATTCACCTCACAGAGTTGAACTTTCCCTTTGATAGCGCAGCTTTGACACACTTTTTCTACAATGTGCAAGTGGCTATTTAGCGGGCTTGGAGGACTGTGTTGGAAAAGGAAATATCTTCTCCTAAAAACGACATAGAAGCATTCTCAGAAACTGCTCTGTGATGATTGCATTCAACTCCCAGAGTTGAACATTCCTTTTGATAGAGCAGTTTGCAAACACTCTTTTTGTAGAATCTGCAAGTGGAGATTTGGACCGCTTTGAGGCCTGTGGTAGTGAAGGAAAGAACTTCATATAAAAACCAGACGGTAGCACTCTCAGAAAATTCTTTGTGACGATGGAGTTTAACTCAGGGAGCTGAACATTCGTTATGATGGAGCAGTTTCCAAACACACGTTTTGTAGAATCTGCGAGGGGATATTTGGACCTCTCTGAGGATTTCGTTGGAAACGGGATCAACTTCCCATAACTGAACGGAAGCAAACTCAGAACATTCTTTGTGATGTTTGTATTCAATTCACAGAGTTGAACCTTCCTTTGATAGTTCAGGTTTGCAACACCCTTGTAGTAGAATCTGCAAGTGTATATTTTGACCACTTTGTAGCCTTCGTTTGAAACGTCTATATCTTCACATCAAACCTAGACAGAAGCATTCTCAGAAAGTTTTCTGCGATGACTGCATTCAACTCACAGAGTTGAACAATCCTTCTGATGGAGCAGTTTTGAAACCCTCTTTCTTTGGAATCTGCAAGGGGATATGTGGACCTCTTTGAAGATTTCACTGGAAACGGGATCATCTTCACATAATAACTAAACAGAAGCATTCTCGGAAACTATTTTGTGATGTTTGCATTCAACTCCCAGAGTTGAACTTTCCTTTTGAAAGAGCAGCTATGAAACACTCTTTTTCGAGAATCTGCAAGTGGACGTTTGGAGGGCTTTGAGGCCTGTGGTGGAAAAGGAAATATCTTCACACAAAAACCAGATAGAAGCATTCTCAGAAACTACTTTGTGAGGATGGCATTCAACTCATGGAGTTGAACAATCCTATTGATAGAGCAGATTGGAATCACTCTTTTTGTAGAATCTGCAAATGGAGATTTGGACTGCTTTGAGGCCTACGGTAGTACAGGAAGGAACTTCATATAAAAGGCAAACGGAAGCATTCTCAGAATATTCTTTGTGATGATGGAGTTTCACTCACAGAGCTGAACATGCCTTTTGATGGAGCAGTTTCCAAATACACTTTTGGTAGAATCTGCAGGTGGATATTTGGAGCTCTCTGAGGATTTCGTTGGAAACGGGAATAATTTCCCATAACTAAACACAAACACGCTGAGAAAGTTCTTCATGTTGAATGCATTGAACTCGCAGAGATGAACCTGCCTTTGAGAGTTCAGGTTCGAAACACTCTTTCTGTAGAATCTGCAAGTGGATATTTGGACCACTGGGTGGCCTTCGTTCGAAACGGGTATATGTTCACGTAAAAACTAAAGAGAAGCGTTCTCAGAAACTTCTGAGTGATGATTGCATTCAAGTCACACGGTTGAACCCTCCTTTTGATTGAGCAGTTTTGAAACTGTCTTTTTGTAGAATCTGTAAGTGGATGCGTGGACCTCTTTGAAGATTTCTTTCGAAACGGGAATATTTCCACAGAAAAACTAAACTGAAGCATTCTCAGAAACTGCTTTGTGATGTTTGTGTTCGAGCCACAGAGTTTAACATTGCTTTTCATAGAGCAGTTTTGAAATATTCTTTTGGCAGAATCTGCAAGTGGACATTTGGAGCGCTTTCAGGCCTGTGGTGGAAAAGGCCTGAAAGCCTTTTCCTTTATCTTCACAGGAAGACGAGAGAGAAGCATTGTCAGAAACTTCTTTGTGATGATTGCATTCAACTCACAGAGTTGAAGATTCCTTTTGAAACAGCAGTTTCGAAACACTCTTTCTGTGGGATCCGCAAGGGGATATTTGGACCTCTTTGAAGCTTTCGTTGGAAACGGGATAATCTTCACCTAAAAGCTAAACGGAAGCACTCTCAGAAACTTCTTTGGGATGTTTGCATTCACCTCACAGAGTTGAACTTTCCCTTTGATAGCGCAGCTTTGACACACTTTTTCTACAATGTGCAAGTGGATATTTAGCGGGCGTGGAGGACTGTGTTGGAAAAGGAAATATCTTCTCCTAAAAACGACATAGAAGCATTCTCAGAAACTGCTCTGTGATGATTGCATTCAACTCCCAGAGTTGAACATTCCTTTTGATAGAGCAGTTTGCAAACACTCTTTTTGTAGAATCTGCAAGTGGAGATTTGGACCGCTTTGAGGCCTGTGGTAGTGAAGGAAAGAACTTCATATAAAAACCAGACGGTAGCACTCTCAGAAAATTCTTTGTGACGATGGAGTTTAACTCAGGGAGCTGAACATTCGTTATGATGGAGCAGTTTCCAAACACACGTTTTGTAGAATCTGCGAGGGGATATTTGGACCTCTCTGAGGATTTCGTTGGAAACGGGATCAACTTCCCATAACTGAACGGAAGCAAACTCAGAACATTCTTTGTGATGTTTGTATTCAACTCACAGAGTTGAACCTTCCTTTGATAGTTCAGGTTTGCAACACCCTTGTAGTAGATTCTGCAAGTGTATATTTTGACCACTTTGTAGCCTTCGTTTGAAACGTCTATATCTTCACCTGAAACCTAGACAGAAGCATTCTCAGAAAGTTTTCTGCGATGACTGCATTCAACTCACAGGAGTTGAACAATCCTTCTGATGGAGCAGTTTTGAAACCCTCTTTCTTTGGAATCTGCAAGGGGATATGTGGACCTCTTTGAAGATTTCACTGGAAACGGGATCATCTTCACATAAAAACTAAACAGAAGCATTCTCGGAAACTACTTTGTGATGTTTGTATTCAACTCCCAGAGTTGAACTTTCCTTTTGAAAGAGCAGCTATGAAACACTCTTTTTCGAGAATCTGCAAGTGGACGTTTGGAGGGCTTTGAGGCCTGTGGTGGAAAAGGAAATATCTTCACATAAAAACTAGATAGAAAGCATTCTCAGAAACGACTTTGTGAGGATGGCATTCAACTCATGGAGTTGAACAATCCTATTGATAGAGCAGATTGGAATCACTCTTTTTGTAGAATCTGCAAATGGAGATTTGGACTGCTTTGAGGCCTACGGTCGTATAGGAAGGAACTTCAGATAAAAGGCAAACGGAAGCATTCTCAGAATATTCTTTGTGATGACGGAGTTTCACTCACAGAGCTGAACATGCCTTTTCATGGAGCAGTTTCCAAATACACTTTTGGTAGAATCTGCAGGTGGATATTTGGAGCTCTCTGAGGATTTCGTTGGAAACGGGAATAATTTCCCATAACTAAACACAAACACGCTGAGAAAGTTCTTCATGATGAATGCATTTAACTCGCAGAGATGAACCTGCCTTTGAGAGTTCAGGTTCAAAACACTCTTTCTGTAGAATCTGCAAGTGGATATTTGGACCACTGGCTGGCCTTCGTTCGAAACGGGTATATGTTCACGTAAAAACTAAAGAGAAGCGTTCTCAGAAACTTCTGAGTGATGAATGCATTCAAGTCACACAGTTGAACCCTCCTTTTGATTGAGCAGTTTTGAAACTGTCTTTTTGTAGAATCTGTAAGTGGATGTGTGGACCTCTTTGAAGATTTCTTTGGAAACGGGAATATTTCCACAGAAAAACTAAACTGAAGCATTCTCAGAAACTGCTTTGTGATGTTTGTGTTCGAGCCGCAGAGTTTAACATTGCTTTTCATAGAGCAGTTTTGAAATATTCTTTTGGCAGAATCTGCAAGTGGACATTTGGAGCGCTTTCAGGCCTGTGGTGGAAATGGCCTGAAAGCCTTTTCCTTTATCTTCACAGAAAGACGAGAGAGAAGCATTGTCAGAAACTTCTTTGTGATGATTGCATTCAACTCACAGAGTTGAAGATTCCTTTTGAAACAGCAGTTTCGAAACACTCTTTCTGTGGGATCCGCAAGGGGATATTTGGACCTCTTTGAAGATTTCGTTGGAAACGGGATAATCTTCACTTAAAGCTAAACGGAAGCATTCTCAGAAACTTCTTTGGGATGTTTGCATTCACCTCACAGAGTTGAACTTTCCCTTTGATAGCGCAGCTTCGACACACTTTTTCTACAATGTGCAAGTGGCTATTTAGCGGGCTTGGAGGACTGTGTTGGAAAAGGAAATATCTTCTCCTAAAAACGACATAGAAGCATTCTCAGAAACTGCTCTGTGATGATTGCATTCAACTCCCAGAGTTGAACATTCCTTTTGATAGAGCAGTTTGCAAACACTCTTTTTGTAGAATCTGCAAGTGGAGATTTGGACCGCTTTGAGGCCTGTGGTAGTGAAGGAAAGAACTTCATATAAAAACCAGACGGTAGCACTCTCAGAAAATTCTTTGTGACGATGGAGTTTAACTCAGGGAGCTGAACATTCGTTATGATGGAGCAGTTTCCAAACACACGTTTTGTAGAATCTGCAAGGGGATATTTTGACCTCTCTGAGGATTTCGTTGGAAACGGGATCAACTTCCCATAACTGAACGGAAGCAAACTCAGAACATTCTTTGTGATGTTTGTATTCAACTCACAGAGTTGAACCTTCCTTTGATAGTTCAGGTTTGCAACACCCTTGTAGTAGAATCTGCAAGTGTATATTTTGACCACTTTGTAGCCTTCGTTTGAAACGTCTATATCTTCACATCAAACCTAGACAGAAGCATTCTCAGAAAGTTTTCTGCGATGACTGCATACAACTCATAGAGTTGAGTAATCCTTTTGATGGAGCAGTTTTGAAACCCTCTTTCTTTGGAATCTGCAAGGGGATATGTGGACCTCTTTCAAGATTTCACTGGAAACGGGATCATCTTCACATAAGAACTAAACAGAAGCATTCTCGGAAACTACTTTGTGATGTTTGTATTCAACTCCCAGAGTTGAACTTTCCTTTTGAAAGAGCAGCTATGAAACACTCTTTTTCGAGAATCTGCAAGTGGACGTTTGGAGGGCTTTGAGGCCTGTGGTGGAAAAGGAAATATCTTCACATAAAAACTAGATAGAAGCATTCTCAGAAACGACTTTGTGAGGATGGCATTCAACTCATGGAGTTGAACAATCCTATTGATAGAGCAGATTGGAATCACTCTTTTTGTAGAATCTGCAAAGGGAGATTTGGACTGCTTTGAGGCCTACGGTAGTATAGGAAGGAACTTCATATAAAAGGCAAACGGAGCATTCTCAGAATATTCTTTGTGATGATGGAGTTTCACTCACAGAGCTGAACATGCCTTTTGATGGAGCAGTTTCCAAATACACTTTTGGTAGAATCTGCAGGTGGATATTTGGACCTGTCGGAGGATTTCGTTGGAAACGGGAATAATTTCCCATAACTAAACACAAACAGCATTCTCAGAAACTTCTGAGTGATGATTGCATTCAAGTCACACAGTTGAACCCGCCTTTTGATTGAGCAGTTTTGAAACTGTCTTTTTGTAGAATCTGTAAGTGGATACGTGGACCTCTTGGAAGATTTCCTTGGAAACGGGAATATTTCCACAGAAAAACTAAACTGAAGCATTCTCAGAAACTGCTTTGTGATGTTGGTGTTCGAGCCGCAGAGTTTAACATTGCTTTTCATAGAGCACTTTTGAAATATTCTTTTGGCAGAATCTGCAAGTGGACATTTAGAGCGTTTTCAGGCCTGTGGTGGAAAAGGCCTGAAAGCCTTTTCCTTTATCTTCACAGAAAGACGAGAGAGAAGCATTGTCAGAAACTTCTTTGTGATGATTGCATTCAACTCACAGAGTTGAAGATTCCTTTTGAAACAGCAGTTTCGAAACACTCTTTCTGTGGGATCCGCAAGGGGATATTTGGACCTCTTTGAAGATTTCGTTGGAAACGGGATAATCTTCACCTAAAAGCTAAACGGAGGCATTCTCAGAAACTTCTTTGGGATGTTTGCATTCACCTCACAGAGTTGAACTTTCCCTTTGATAGCGCAGCTTTGACACACTTTTTCTACAATGTGCAAGTGGATATTTAGCGGGCTTGGAGGACTGTGGTGGAAAAGGAAATATCTTCTCCTAAAAACGACACAGAAGCATTCTCAGAATCTGCTCTGTGATGATTGCATTCAACTCCCAGAGTTGAACATTCCTTTTGATAGAGCAGTTTGCAAACACTCTTTTTGTAGAATCTGCAAGTGGAGATTTGGACCGCTTTGAGGCCTGTGGTAGTAAAGGAAAGAACTTCCTATAAAAACTAGACGGTAGCACTCTCAGAAAATTCTTTGTGACGATGGAGTTTAACTCAGAGAGCTGAACATTCGTTATGATGGAGCAGTTTCCAAACACACGTTTTGTAGAATCTGCAAGGGGATATTTGGACCTCTCTGAGGATTTCGTTGGAAACGGGATCAACTTCCCATAACTGAACGGAAGCAAACTCAGAACATTCTTTGTGACGTTTGTATTCAACTCACAGAGTTGAACCTTCCTTTGATAGTTCAGGTTTCAACACCGTTTTAGTGGAATCTGCAAGTGTATATTTTGAACACTTTGTAGCCTTCGTTTGAAACGTCTATATCTTCACATCAAACCTAGACAGAGGCATTCTCAGAAAGTTTTCTGCGATGACTGCATTCAACTCACAGAGTTGAACAATCCTTTTGATGGAGCAGTTTTGAAACCCTCTTTCTTTGGAATCTGCAAGGGGATATGTGGACCTCTTTGAAGATTTCACTGGAAACGGGATCATCTTCACATAAAAACTAAACAGAAGCATTCTCGGAAACTACTTTGTGATGTTTGTATTCAACTCCCAGAGTTGGACTTTCCTTTTGAAAGAGCAGCTATGAAACACTCTTTTTCGAAAATCTGCAAGTGGACGTTTGGAGGGCTTTGAGGCCTGTGGTGGAAAAGGAAATATCTTCACATAAAAACTAGATAGAAGCATTCTCAGAAACGACTTTGTGAGGATGGCATTCAACTCATGGAGTTGAACAATCCTATTGATAGAGCAGATTGGAATCACTCTTTTTGTAGAATCTGCAAATGGAGATTTGGACTGCTTTGAGGCCTACGGTAGTACAGGAAGGAACTTCATATAAAAGGCAAACGGAAGCATTCTCAGAATATTCTTTGTGATGATGGAGTTTCACTCACAGACCTGAACATGCCTTTTGATGGAGCAGTTTCCAAATACACTTTTGGTAGAATCAGCAGGTGGATATTTGGAGCTCTCTGAGGATTTCGTTGGAAACGGGAATAATTTCCCATAACTAAACACAAAACACGCTGAGAAAGTTCTTCATGATGAATGCATTTAACTCGCAGTGATGAACCTGCCTTTGAGAGTTCAGGTTCGAAACACTCTTTCTGTAGAATCTGCAAGTGGATATTTGGACCACTGGGTGGCCTTCGTTCGAAACGGGTATATGTTCACGTAAAAACTAAAGAGAAGCATTCTCAGAAACTTCTGAGTGATGATTGCATTCAAGTCACACAGTTGAACCCTCCTTTTGATGGAGCAGTTTTGAAACTGTCTTTTTGTAGAATCTGTAAGTGGATGCGTGGACCTCTTTGAAGATTTCTTTGGAAACGGGAATATTTCCACAGAAAAACTAAACTGAAGCATTCTCAGAAACCGCTTTGTGATGTTTGTGTTCGAGCCGCAGAGTTTAACATTGCTTTTCATAGAGCAGTTTTGAAATATTCTTTTCGCAGAATCTGCAAGTGGACATTTGGAGCGCTTTCAGGCCTGTGGTGGAAAAGGCCTGAAAGCCTTTTCCTTTATCTTCACAGAAAGACGAGAGAGAAGCATTGTCAGAAACTTCTTTGTGATGATTGCATTCAACTCACAGAGTTGAAGATTCCTTTTGAAACAGCAGTTTCGAAACACTCTTTCTGTGGGATCCGCAAGGGGATATTTGGACCTCTTTGAAGGTTTCGTTGGAAACGGGATAATCTTCACCTAAAAGCTAAACGGAAGCATTCTCAGAAACTTCTTTGGGATGTTTGCATTCACCTCACAGAGTTGAACTTTCCCTTTGATAGCGCAGCTTTGACACACTTTTTCTACAATGTGCAAGTGGCTATTTAGCGGGCTTGGAGGACTGTGTTGGAAAAGGAAATATCTTCTCCTAAAAACGACATAGAAGCATTCTCAGAAACTGCTCTGTGATGATTGCATTCAACTCCCAGAGTTGAACATTCCTTTTGATAGAGCAGTTTGCAAACACTCTTTTTGTAGAATCTGCAAGTGGAGATTTGGACCGCTTTGAGGTCTGTGGTAGTGAAGGAAAGAGCTTCATATAAAAACCAGACGGTAGCACTCTCAGAAAATTCTTTGTGACGATGGAGTTTAACTCAGGGAGCTGAACATTCGTTATGATGGAGCAGTTTCCAAACACACGTTTTGTAGAATCTGCAAGGGGATATTTGGACCTCTCTGAGGATTTCGTTGGAAACGGGATCAACTTCCCATAACTGAACGGAAGCAAACTCAGAACATTCTTTGTGATGTTTGTATTCAACTCACAGAGTTGAACCTTCCTTTGATAGTTCAGGTTTGCAACACCCTTGTAGTAGAATCTGCAAGTGTATATTTTGACCACTTTGTAGCCTTCGTTTGAAACGTCTATATCTTCACATCAAACCTAGACAGAAGCATTCTCAGAAAGTTTTCTGCGATGACTGCATTCAACTCACAGAGTTGAACAATCCTTCTGATGGAGCAGTTTTGAAACCCTCTTTCTTTGGAATCTGCAAGGGGATATGTGGACCTCTTTGAAGATTTCACTGGAAACGGGATCATCTTCACATAAAAACTAAACAGAAGCATTCTCGGAAACTACTTTGTGATGTTTGTATTCAACTCCCAGAGTTGAACTTTCCTTTTGAAAGAGCAGCTATGAAACACTCTTTTTCGAGAATCTGCAAGTGGACGTTTGGAGGGCTTTGAGGCCTGTGGTGGAAAAGGAAATATCTTCACATAAAAACTAGATAGAAGCATTCTCAGAAACTACTTTGTGAGGATGGCATTCAACTCATGGAGTTGAACAATCCTATTGATAGAGCAGATTGGAATCACTCTTTTTGTAGAATCTGCAAATGGAGATTTGGACTGCTTTGAGGCCTACGGTCGTATAGGAAGGAACTTCAGATAAAAGGCAAACGGAAGCATTCTCAGAATATTCTTTGTGATGATGGAGTTTCACTCACAGAGCTGAACATGCCTGTTGATGGAGCAGTTTCCAAATACACTTTTGGTAGAATCTGCAGGTGGATATTTGGAGCTCTCTGAGGATTTCGTTGGAAACGGGAATAATTTCCCATAACTAAACACAAACACTCTGAGAAAGTTCTTCATGATGAATGCATTTAACTCGCAGAGATGAACCTGCCTTTGAGAGTTCAGGTTCGAAACACTCTTTCTGTATAATCTGCAAGTGGATATTTGGACCACTGGGTGGCCTTCGTTCGAAACGGGTATATGTTCACGTAAAAACTAAAGAGAAGCATTCTCAGAAACTTCTGAGTGATGATTGCATTCAAGTCACACAGTTGAACCCTCCTTTTGATGGAGCAGTTTTGAAACTGTCTTTTTGTAGAATCTGTAAGTGGATACGTGGACCTCTGAAGATTTCTTTGGAAACGGGAATATTTCCACAGAAAAACTAAACTGAAGCATTCTCAGAAACCGCTTTGTGATGTTTGTGTTCGAGCCACAGAGTTTAACATTGCTTTTCATAGAGCAGTTTTGAAATATTCTTTTCGCAGAATCTGCAAGTGGACATTTGGAGCGCTTTCAGGCCTGTGGTGGAAAAGGCCTGAAAGCCTTTTCCTTTATCTTCACAGAAAGACGAGAGAGAAGCATTGTCAGAAACTTCTTTGTGATGATTGCATTCAACTCACAGAGTTGAAGATTCCTTTTGAAACAGCAGTTTCGAAACACTCTTTCTGTGGGATCCGCAAGGGGATATTTGGACCTACTTTGAAGGTTTCGTTGGAAACGGGATAATCTTCACCTAAAAGCTAAACGGAAGCATTCTCAGAAACTTCTTTGGGATGTTTGCATTCACCTGACAGAGTTGAACTTTCCCTTTGATAGCGCAGCTTTGACACACTTTTTCTACAATGTGCAAGTGGCTATTTAGCGGGCTTGGAGGACTGTGTTGGAAAAGGAAATATCTTCTCCTAAAAACGACATAGAAGCATTCTCAGAAACTGCTCTGTGATGATTGCATTCAACTCCCAGAGTTGAACATTCCTTTTGATAGAGCAGTTTGCAAACACTCTTTTTGTAGAATCTGCAAGTGGAGATTTGGACCGCTTTGAGGCCTGTGGTAGTGAAGGAAAGAGCTTCATATAAAAACCAGACGGTAGCACTCTCAGAAAATTCTTTGTGACGATGGAGTTTAACTCAGGGAGCTGAACATTCGTTATGATGGAGCAGTTTCCAAACACACGTTTTGTAGAATCTGCAAGGGGATATTTGGACCTCTCTGAGGATTTCGTTGGAAACGGGATCAACTTCCCATAACTGAACGGAAGCAAACTCAGAAAATTCTTTGTGATGTTTGTATTCAACTCCCAGAGTTGAACTTTCCTTTTGAAAGAGCAGCTATGAAACACTCTTTTTCTAGAATCTGCAAGTGGACGTTTGGAGGGCTTTGAGGCCTGTGGTGGAAAAGGAAATATCTTCACATAAAAACTAGATAGAAGCATTCTCAGAAACTACTTTGTGAGGATGGCATTCAACTCATGGAGTTGAACAATCCTATTGATAGAGCAGATTGGAATCACTCTTTTTGTAGAATCTGCAAATGGAGATTTGGACTGCTTTGAGGCCTACGGTAGTACAGGAAGGAACTTCATATAAAAGGCAAACGGAAGCATTCTCAGAATATTCTTTGTGATGATGGAGTTTCACTCACAGAGCTGAACATGCCTTTTGATGGAGCAGTTTCCAAATACACTTTTGGTAGAATCTGCAGGTGGATATTTGGACCACTCTGAGGATTTCGTTGGAAACGGGAATAATTTCCCATAACTAAACACAAACACTCTGAGAAAGTTCTTCATGATGAATGCATTTAACTCGCAGAGATGAACCTGCCTTTGAGAGTTCAGGTTCGAAACACTCTTTCTGTAGAATCTGCAAGTGGATATTTGGACCACTGGGTGGCCTTCGTTCGAAACGGGTATATGTTCACGTAAAAACTAAAGAGAAGCATTCTCAGAAACTTCTGAGTGATGATTGCATTCAAGTCACACAGTTGAACACTCCTTTTGATGGAGCAGTTTTGAAACTGTCTTTTTGTAGAATCTGTAAGTGGATACGTGGACCTCTTTGAAGATTTCTTTGGAAACGGGAATATTTCCACAGAAAAACTAAACTGAAGTATTCTCAGAAACCGCTTTGTGATGTTTGTGATCGAGCCACAGAGTTTAACATTGCTTTTCATAGAGCAGTTTTGAAATATTCTTTTGGCAGAATCTGCAAGTGGACATTTGGAGCGCTTTCAGGCCTGTGGTGGAAAAGGCCTGAAAGCCTTTTCCTTTATCTTCACAGAAAGACGAGAGAGAAGCATTGTCAGAAACTTCTTTGTGATGATTGCATTCAACTCACAGAGTTGAAGATTCCTTTTGAAACAGCAGTTTTGAAACACTCTTTCTGTGGGATCCGCAAGGGGATATTTGGACCTCTTTGAAGGTTTCGTTGGAAACGGGATAATCTTCACCTAAAAGCTAAACGGAAGCATTCTCAGAAACTTCTTTGGGATGTTTGCATTCACCTCACAGAGTTGAACTTTCCCTTTGATAGCGCAGCTTTGACACACTTTTTCTACAATGTGCAAGTGGCTATTTAGCGGGCTTGGAGGACTGTGTTGGAAAAGGAAATATCTTCTCCTAAAAACGACATAGAAGCATTCTCAGAAACTGCTCTGTGATGATTGCATTCAACTCCCAGAGTTGAACATTCCTTTTGATAGAGCAGTTTGCAAACACTCTTTTTGTAGAATCTGCAAGTGGAGATTTGGACCGCTTTGAGGCCTGTGGTAGGGAAGGAAAGAACTTCATATAAAAACCAGACGGTAGCACTCTCAGAAAATTCTTTGTGACGATGGAGTTTAACTCAGGGAGCTGAACATTCGTTATGATGGAGCAGTTTCCAAACACACGTTTTGTAGAATCTGCGAGGGGATATTTGGACCTCTCTGAGGATTTCGTTGGAAACGGGATCAACTTCCCATAACTGAACGGAAGCAAACTCAGAACATTCTTTGTGATGTTTGTATTCAACTCACAGAGTTGAACCTTCCTTTGATAGTTCAGGTTTGCAACACCCTTGTAGTAGAATCTGCAAGTGTATATTTTGACCACTTTGTAGCCTTCGTTTGAAACGTCTATATCTTCACATCAAACCTAGACAGAAGCATTCTCAGAAAGTTTTCTGCGTTGACTGCATTCAACTCACAGAGTTGAACAATCCTTCTGATGGAGCAGTTTTGAAACCCTCTTTCTTTGGAATCTGCAAGGGGATATGTGGACCTCTTTGAAGATTTCACTGGAAACGGGATCATCTTCACATAAAAACTAAACAGAAGCATTCTCGGAAACTACTTTGTGATGTTTGTATTCAACTGCCAGAGTTGAACTTTCCTTTTGAAAGAGCAGCTATGAAACACTCTTTTTCGAGAATCTGCAAGTGGACGTTTGGAGGGCTTTGAGGCCTGTGGTGGAAAAGGAAATATCTTCACACAAAAACCAGATAGAAGCATTCTCAGAAACTGCTTTGTGAGGATGGCATTCAACTCATGGAGTTGAACAATCCTATTGATAGAGCAGATTGGAATCACTCTTTTTGTAGAATCTGCAAATGGAGATTTGGACTGCTTTGAGGCCTACGGTAGTACAGGAAGGAACTTCATATAAAAGGCAAACGGAAGCATTCTCAGAATATTCTTTGTGATGATGGAGTTTCACTCACAGAGCTGAACATGCCTTTTGATGGAGCAGTTTCCAAATACACTTTTGGTAGAATCTGCAGGTGGATATTTGGAGCTCTCTGAGGATTTCGTTGGAAACGGGAATAATTTCCCATAACTAAACACAAACACGCTGAGAAAGTTCTTCATGATGAATGCATTTAACTCGCAGAGATGAACCTGCCTTTGAGAGTTCAGGTTCGAAACACTCTTTCTGTATAATCTGCAAGTGGATATTTGGACCACTGGGTGGCCTTCGTTCGAAACGGGTATATGTTCACGTAAAAACTAAAGAGAAGCATTCTCAGAAACTTCTGAGTGATGATTGCATTCAAGTCACACAGTTGAACCCTCCTTTTGATGGAGCAGTTTTGAAACTGTCTTTTTGTAGAATCTGTAAGTGGATACGTGGACCTCTTTGAAGATTTCTTTGGAAACGGGAATATTTCCACAGAAAAACTAAACTGAAGCATTCTCAGAAACCGCTTTGTGATGTTTGTGTTCGAGCCGCAGAGGTTAACATTGCTTTTCATAGAGCAGTTTTGAAATATTCTTTTGGCAGAATCTGCAAGTGGACATTTGGAGCGCTTTCAGGCCTGTGGTGGCAAAGGCCTGAAAGCCTTTTCCTTTATCTTCACAGAAAGACGAGAGAGAAGCATTGTCAGAAACTTCTTTGTGATGATTGCATTCAACTCACAGAGTTGAAGATTCCTTTTGAAACAGCAGTTTCGAAACACTCTTTCTGTGGGATCCGCAAGGGGATATTTGGACCTCTTTGAAGGTTTCGTTGGAAACGGGATAATCTTCACCTAAAAGCTAAACGGAAGCATTCTCAGAAACTTCTTTGGGATGTTTGCATTCACCTCACAGAGTCGAACTTTCCCTTTGATAGCGCAGCTTCGACACACTTTTTCTAAAATGTGCAAGTGGATATTTAGCGGGCTTGCAGGACTGTGTTGGAAAAGGAAATATCTTCTCCTAAAAACCACATAGAAGCATTCTCAGAAACTGCTCTGTGATGATTGCATTCAACTCCCAGAGTTGAACATTCCTTTTGATAGAGCAGTTTGCAAACACTCTTTTTGTAGAATCTGCAAGTGGAGATTTGGACCGCTTTGAGGCCTGTGGTAGTAAAGGAAACAACTTCATATAAAAACCAGACGGTAGCACTCACAGAAAATTCTTTGTGACGATGGAGTTTAACTCAGAGAGCTGAACATCCGTTATGATGGAGCAGTTTCCAAACACACGTTTTGTAGAATCTGCAAGGGGATATTTGGACCTCTCTGAGGATTTCGTTGGAAACGGGATCAACTTCCCATAACTGAACGGAAGCAAACTCAGAACATTCTTTGTGATGTTTGTATTCAATTCACAGAGTTGAACCTTCCTTTGATAGTTCAGGTTTGCAACACCCTTGTAGTAGAATCTGCAAGTGTATATTTTGACCACTTTGTAGCCTTCGTTTGAAACGTCTATATCTTCACATCAAACCTAGACAGAAGCATTCTCAGAAAGTTTTCTGCGATGACTGCATTCAACTCACAGAGTTGAACAATCCTTCTGATGGAGCAGTTTTGAAACCCTCTTTCTTTGGAATCTGCAAGGGGATATGTGGACCTCTTTGAAGATTTCACTGGAAACGGGATCATCTTCACATAAAAACTAAACAGAAAGCATTCTCGGAAACTATTTTGTGATGTTTGCATTCAACTCCCAGAGTTGAACTTTCCTTTTGAAAGAGCAGCTATGAAACACTCTTTTTCGAGAATCTGCAAGTGGACGTTTGGAGGGCTTTGAGGCCTGTGGTGGAAAAGGAAATATCTTCACACAAAAACCAGATAGAAGCATTCTCAGAAACTACTTTGTGAGGATGGCATTCAACTCATGGAGTTGAACAATCCTATTGATAGAGCAGATTGGAATCACTCTTTTTGTAGAATCTGCAAATGGAGATTTGGACTGCTTTGAGGCCTACGGTAGTACAGGAAGGAACTTCATATAAAAGGCAAACGGAAGCATTCTCAGAATATTCTTTGTGATGATGGAGTTTCACTCACAGAGCTGAACATGCCTTTTGATGGAGCAGTTTCCAAATACACTTTTGGTAGAATCTGCAGGTGGATATTTGGAGCTCTCTGAGGATTTCGTTGGAAACGGGAATAATTTCCCATAACTAAACACAAACACGCTGAGAAAGTTCTTCATGATGAATGCATTGAACTCGCAGAGATGAACCTGCCTTTGAGAGTTCAGGTTCGAAACACTCTTTCTGTAGAATCTGCAAGTGGATATTTGGACCACTGGGTGGCCTTCTTTCGAAACGGGTATATGTTCACGTAAAAACTAAAGAGAAGCGTTCTCAGAAACTTCTGAGTGATGATTGCATTCAAGTCACACAGTTGAACCCTCCTTTTGATTGAGCAGTTTTGAAACTGTCTTTTTGTAGAATCTGTAAGTGGATGCGTGGACCTCTTTTGAAGATTTCTTTGGAAACGGGAATATTTCCACAGAAAAACTAAACTGAAGTATTCTCAGAAACTGCTTTGTGATGTTTGTGTTCGAGCCACAGAGTTTAACATTGCTTTTCATAGAGCAGTTTTGTAATATTCTTTTCGCAGAATCTGCAAGCGGATATTTGGAGCGCTTTCAGGCCTGTGGTGGAAAAGGCCTGAAAGCCTTTTCCTTTATCTTCACAGAAAGACGAGAGAGAAGCATTGTCAGAAACTTCTTTGTGATGATTGCATTCAACTCACAGAGTTGAAGATTCCTTTTGAAACAGCAGTTTCGAAACACTCTTTCTGTGGGATCCGCAAGGGGATATTTGGACCTCTTTGAAGGTTTCGTTGGAAACGGGATAATCTTCACCTAAAAGCTAAACGGAAGCATTCTCAGAAACTTCTTTGGGATGTTTGCATTCACCTCACAGAGTTGAACTTTCCCTTTGATAGCGCAGCTTTGACACACTTTTTCTACAATGTGCAAGTGGCTATTTAGCGGGCTTGGAGGACTGTGTTGGAAAAGGAAATATCTTCTCCTAAAAACGACATAGAAGCATTCTCAGAAACTGCTCTGTGATGATTGCATTCAACTCCCAGAGTTGAACATTCCTTTTGATAGAGCAGTTTGCAAACACTCTTTTTGTAGAATCTGCAAGTGGAGATTTGGACCGCTTTGAGGCCTGTGGTAGTGAAGGAAAGAGCATCATATAAAAACCAGACGGTAGCACTCTCAGAAAATTCTTTGTGACGATGGAGTTTAACTCAGGGAGCTGAACATTCGTTATGATGGAGCAGTTTCCAAACACACGTTTTGTAGAATCTGCAAGGGGATATTTGGACCTCTCTGAGGATTTCGTTGGAAACGGGATCAACTTCCCATAACTGAACGGAAGCAAACTCAGAACATTCTTTGTGATGTTTGTATTCAACTCACAGAGTTGAACCTTCCTTTGATAGTTCAGGTTTGCAACACCCTTGTAGTAGAATCTGCAAGTGTATATTTTGACCACTTTGTAGCCTTCGTTTGAAACGTATATATCTTCACATCAAACCTAGACAGAAGCATTCTCAGAAAGTTTTCTGCGATGACTGCATTCAACTCACAGAGTTGAACAATCCTTCTGATGGAGCAGTTTTGAAACCCTCTTTCTTTGGAATCTGCAAGGGGATATGTGGACCTCTTTGAAGATTTCACTGGAAACGGGATCATCTTCACATAAAAACTAAACAGAAGCATTCTCGGAAACTACTTTGTGATGTTTGTATTCAACTCCCAGAGTTGAACTTTCCTTTTGAAAGAGCAGCTATGAAACACTCTTTTTCGAGAATCTGCAAGTGGACGTTTGGAGGGCTTTGAGGCCTGTGGTGGAAAAGGAAATATCTTCACATAAAAACTAGATAGAAGCATTCTCAGAAACTACTTTGTGAGGATGGCATTCAACTCATGGAGTTGAACAATCCTATTGATAGAGCAGATTGGAATCACTCTTTTTGTAGAATCTGCAAATGGAGATTTGGACTGCTTTGAGGCCTACGGTCGTATAGGAAGGAACTTCATATAAAAGGCAAACGGAAGCATTCTCAGAATATTCTTTGTGATGATGGAGTTTCACTCACAGAGCTGAACATGCCTTTTGATGGAGCAGTTTCCAAATACACTTTTGGTAGAATCTGCAGGTGGATATTTGGAGCTCTCTGAGGATTTCGTTGGAAACGGGAATAATTTCCCATAACTAAACACAAACACTCTGAGAAAGTTCTTCATGATGAATGCATTTAACTCGCAGAGATGAACCTGCCTTTGAGAGTTCAGGTTCGAAACACTCTTTCTGTAGAATCTGCAAGTGGATATTTGGACCACTGGGTGGACTTCGTTCGAAACGGGTATATGTTCACGTAAAAACTAAAGAGAAGCATTCTCAGAAACTTCTGAGTGATGATTGCATTCAAGTCACACAGTTGAACCCTCCTTTTGATGGAGCAGTTTTGAAACTGTCTTTTTGTAGAATCTGTAAGTGGACACGTGGACCTCTTTGAAGATTTCTTTGGAAACGGGAATATTTCCACAGAAAAACTAAACTGAAGCATTCTCAGAAACTGCTTTGTGATGTTTGTGTTCGAGCCACAGAGTTTAACATTGCTTTTCATAGAGCAGTTTTGCAATATTCTTTTCACAGAATCTGCAAGTGGACATTTGGAGCGCTTTCAGGCCTGTGGTGGAAAAGGCCTGAAAGCCTTTTCCTTTATCTTCACAGAAAGACGAGAGAGAAGCATTGTCAGAAACTTCTTTGTGATGATTGCATTCAACTCACAGAGTTGAAGATTCCTTTTGAAACAGCAGTTTCGAAACACTCTTTCTGTGGGATCCGCAAGGGGATATTTGGACCTCTTTGAAGGTTTCGTTGGAAACGGGATAATCTTCACCTAAAAGCTAAACGGAAGCATTCTCAGAAACTTCTTTGGGATGTTTGCATTCACCTCACAGAGTTGAACTTTCCCTTTGATAGCGCAGCTTTGACACACTTTTTCTACAATGTGCAAGTGGCTATTTAGCGGGCTTGGAGGACTGTGTTGGAAAAGGAAATATCTTCTCCTAAAAACGACATAGAAGCATTCTCAGAAACTGCTCTGTGATGATTGCATTCAACTCCCAGAGTTGAACATTCCTTTTGATAGAGCAGTTTGCAAACACTCTTTTTGTAGAATCTGCAAGTGGAGATTTGGACCGCTTTGAGGCCTGTGGTAGTGAAGGAAAGAACTTCATATAAAAACCATACGGTAGCACTCTCAGAAAATTCTTTGTGACGATGGAGTTTAACTCAGGGAGCTGAACATTCGTTATGATGGAGCAGTTTCCAAACACACGTTTTGTAGAATCTGCAAGGGGATATTTGGACCTCTCTGAGGATTTCGTTGGAAACGGGATCAACTTCCCATAACTGAACGGAAGCAAACTCAGAACATTCTCTGTGATGTTTGTATTCAACTCACAGAGTTGAACCTTCCTTTGATAGTTCAGGTTTGCAACACTCTTGTAGTAGAATCTGCAAGTGTATATTTTGACCACTTTGTAGCCTTCGTTTGAAACGTCTATATCTTCACATCAAACCTAGACAGAAGCATTCTCAGAAAGTTTTCTGCGATGACTGCATTCAACTCACAGAGTTGAACAATCCTTCTGATGGAGCAGTTTTGAAACCCTCTTTCTTTGGAATCTGCAAGGGGATATGTGGACCTCTTTGAAGATTTCACTGGAAACGGGATCATCTTCACATAAAAACTAAACAGAAGCATTCTCGGAAACTATTTTGTGATGTTTGTATTCAACTCCCAGAGTTGAACTTTCCTTTTGAAAGAGCAGCTATGAAACACTCTTTTTCGAGAATCTGCAAGTGGACGTTTGGAGGGCTTTGAGGCCTGTGGTGGAAAAGGAAATATCTTCACACAAAAACCAGATAGAAGCATTCTCAGAAACTACTTTGTGAGGATGGCATTCAACTCATGGAGTTGAACAATCCTATTGATAGAGCAGATTGGAATCACTCTTTTTATAGAATCTGCAAATGGAGATTTGGACTGCTTTGAGGCCTACGGTAGTACAGGAAGGAACTTCATATAAAAGGCAAACGGAAGCATTCTCAGAATATTCTTTGTGATGATGGAGTTTCACTCACAGAGCTGAACATGCCTTTTGATGGAGCAGTTTCCAAATACACTTTTGGTAGAATCTGCAGGTGGATATTTGGAGCTCTCTGAGGATTTCGTTGGAAACGGGAATAATTTCCCATAACTAAACACAAACACTCTGAGAAAGTTCTTCATGATGAATGCATTTAACTCGCAGAGATGAACCTGCCTTTGAGAGTTCAGGTTCGAAACACTCTTTCTGTATAATCTGCAAGTGGATATTTGGACCACTGGGTGGCCTTCGTTCGAAACGGGTATATGTTCACGTAAAAACTAAAGAGAAGCATTCTCAGAAACTTCTGAGTGATGATTGCATTCAAGTCACACGGTTGAACCCTCCTTTTGATGGAGCAGTTTTGAAACTGTCTTTTTGTAGAATCTGTAAGTGGATACGTGGACCTCTTTGAAGATTTCTTTGGAAACGGGAATATTTCCACAGAAAAACTAAACTGAAGCATTCTCAGAAACTGCTTTGTGATGTTTGTGTTCGAGCCACAGAGTTTAACATTGCTTCTCATAGAGCAGTTTTGAAATATTCTTTTCGCAGAATCTGCAAGTGGACATTTGGAGCGCTTTCAGGCCTGTGGTGGAAAAGGCCTGAAAGCCTTTTCCTTTATCTTCACAGAAAGACGAGAGAGAAGCATTGTCAGAAACTTCTTTGTGATGATTGCATTCAACTCACAGAGTTGAAGATTCCTTTTGAAACAGCAGTTTCGAAACACTCTTTCTGTGGGATCCGCAAGGGGATATTTGGACCTCTTTGAAGATTTCGTTGGAAACGGGATAATCTTCACCTAAAAGCTAAACGGAAGCATTCTCAGAAACTTCTTTGGGATGTTTGCATTCACCTCACAGAGTTGAACTTTCCCTTTGATAGCGCAGCTTCGACACACTTTTTCTACAATGTGCAAGTGGATATTTAGCGGGCTTGGAGGACTGTGGTGGAAAGGGAAATATCTTCTCCTAAAAACCACATAGAAGCATTCTCAGAAACTGCTCTGTGATGATTGCATTCAACTCCCAGAGTTGAACATTCCTTTTGATAGAGCAGTTTGCAAACACTCTTTTTGTAGAATCTGCAAGTGGAGATTTGGACCGCTTTGAGGTCTGTGGCAGTGAAGGTAAGAATTTCATATAAAAACCACACGGTAGCACTCTCAGAAAATTCTTTGTGACGATGGAGTTTAACTCAGGGAGCTGAACATTCGTTATGATGGAGCAGTTTCCAAACACACGTTTTGTAGAATCTGCAAGGGGATATTTGGACCTCTCTGAGGATTTCGTTGGAAACGGGATCAACTTCCCATAACTGAACGGAAGCAAACTCAGAACATTCTTTGTGATGTTTGTATTCAACTCACAGAGTTGAACCTTCCTTTGATAGTTCAGGTTTGCAACACCCTTGTAGTAGAATCTGCAAGTATATATTTTGACCACTTTGTAGCCTTCGTTTGAAACTTCTATATCTTCACATCAAACCTAGACAGAAGCATTCTCAGAAAGTTTTCTGCGATGACTGCATTCAACTCACAGAGTTGAACAATCCTTCTGATGGAGCAGTTTTGAAACCCTCTTTCTTTGGAATCTGCAAGGGGATATGTGGACCTCTTTGAAGATTTCACTGGAAACGGGATCATCTTCACATAAAAACTAAACTGAAGCATTCTCGGAAACTATTTTGTGATGTTTGTATTCAACTCCCAGAGTTGAACTTTCCTTTTGAAAGAGCAGCTATGAAACACTCTTTTTCGAGAATCTGCAAGTGGACGTTTGGAGGGCTTTGAGGCCTGTGGTGGAAAAGGAAATATCTTCACACAAAAACCAGATAGAAGCATTCTCAGAATATTCTTTGTGATGATGGAGTTTCACTCACAGAGCTGAACATGCCTTTTGATGGAGCAGTTTCCAAATACACTTTTGGTAGAATCTGCAGGTGGATATTTGGAGCTCTCTGAGGATTTCGTTGGAAACGGGAATAATTTCCCATAACTAAACACAAACACTCTGAGAAAGTTCTTCATGATGAATGCATTTAACTCGCAGAGATGAACCTGCCTTTGAGAGTTCAGGTTCGAAACACTCTTTCTGTAGAATCTGCAAGTGGATATTTGGACCACTGGGTGGCCTTCGTTCGAAACGGGTATATGTTCACGTAAAAACTAAAGAGAAGCATTCTCAGAAACTTCTGAGTGATGATTGCATTCAAGTCACACAGTTGAACCCTCCTTTTGATGGAGCAGTTTTGAAACTGTCTTTTTGTAGAATCTGTAAGTGGATACGTGGACCTCTTTGAAGATTTCTTTGGAAACGGGAATATTTCCACAGAAAAACTAAACTGAAGCATTCTCAGAAACCGCTTTGTGATGTTTGTGTTCGAGCCACAGAGTTTAACATTGCTTTTCATAGAGCAGTTTTGAAATATTCTTTTGGAGCGCTTTCAGGCCTGTGGTGGAAAAGGCCTGAAAGCCTTTTCCTTTATCTTCACAGAAAGACGAGAGAGAAGCATTGTCAGAAACTTCTTTGTGATGATTGCATTCAACTCACAGAGTTGAAGATTCCTTTTGAAACAGCAGTTTCGAAACACTCTTTCTGTGGGATCCGCAAGGGGATATTTGGACCTCTTTGAAGGTTTCGTTGGAAACGGGATAATCTTCACCTAAAAGCTAAACGGAAGCACTCTCAGAAACTTCTTTGGGATGTTTGCATTCACCTCTCAGAGTTGAACTTTCCCTTTGATAGCGCAGCTTTGACACACTTTTTCTACAATGTGCAAGTGGCTATTTAGCGGGCTTGGAGGACTGTGTTGGAAAAGGAAATATCTTCTCCTAAAAACGACATAGAAGCATTCTCAGAAACTGCTCTGTGATGATTGCATTCAACTCCCAGGGTTGAACATTCCTTTTGATAGAGCAGTTTGCAAACACTCTTTTTGTAGAATCTGCAAGTGGAGATTTGGACCGCTTTGAGGCCTATGGTAGTAAAGGAAAGAACTTCATATAAAAACCAGACGGTAGCACTCTCAGAAAATTCTTTGTGACGATGGAGTTTAACTCAGGGAGCTGAACATTCGTTATGATGGAGCAGTTTCCCAACACACGTTTTGTAGAATCTGCAAGGGGATATTTGGACCTCTCTGAGGATTTTGTTGGAAACGGGATCAACTTCCCATAACTGAACGGAAGCAAACTCAGAACATTCTTTGTGATGTTTGTATTCAACTCACAGAGTTGAACCTTCCTTTGATAGTTCAGGTTTGCAACACCCTTGTAGCAGAATCTGCAAGTGTATATTTTGACCACTTTGTAGCCTTCGTTTGAAACGTCTATATCTTCACATCAAACCTAGACAGAAGCATTCTCAGAAAGTTTTCTGCGATGACTGCATTCAACTCACAGAGTTGAACAATCCTTCTGATGGAGCAGTTTTGAAACCCTCTTTCTTTGGAATCTGCAAGGCGATATGTGGACCTCTTTGAAGATTTCACTGGAAACGGGATCATCTTCATATAAAAACTAAACAGAAGCATTCTCGGAAACTACTTTGTGATGTTTGTATTCAACTCCCAGAGTTGAACTTTCCTTTTGAAAGAGCAGCTATGAAACACTCTTTTTCGAGAATCTGCAAGTGGACGTTTGGAGGGCTTTGAGGCCTCTGGTGGAAAAGGAAATATCTTCACACAAAAACCAGATAGAAGCATTCTCAGAAACTACTTTGTGAGGATGGCATTCAACTCATGGAGTTGAACAATCCTATTGATAGAGCAGATTGGAATCACTCTTTTTGTAGAATCTGCAAATGGAGATTTGGACTGCTTTGAGGCCTACAGTAGTACAGGAAGGAACTTCATATAAAAGGCAAACGGAAGCATTCTCAGAATATTCTTTGTGATGATGGAGTTTCACTCACAGAGCTGAACATGCCTTTTGATGGAGCAGTTTCCAAATACACTTTTGGTAGAATCTGCAGGTGGATATTTGGAGCTCTCTGAGGATTTCGTTGGAAACGGGAATAATTTCCCATAACTAAACACAAACACTCTGAGAAAGTTCTTCATGATGAATGCATTTAACTCGCAGAGATGAACCTGCCTTTGAGAGTTCAGGTTCGAAACACTCTTTCTGTAGAATCTGCAAGTGGATATTTGGACCACTGGGTGGCTTCGTTCGAAACGGGTATATGTTCACGTAAAAACTAAAGAGAAGCATTCTCAGAAACTTCTGAGTGATGATTGCATTCAAGTCACACAGTTGAACCCTCCTTTTGATGGAGCAGTTTTGAAACTGTCTTTTTGTAGAATCTGTAAGTGGATACGTGGACCTCTTTGAAGATTTCTTTGGAAACGGGAATATTTCCACAGAAAAACTAAACTGAAGCATTCTCAGAAACCGCTTTGTGATGTTTGTGTTCGAGCCACAGAGTTTAACATTGCTTTTCATAGAGCAGTTTTGAAATATTCTTTTGGCAGAATCTGCAAGTGGACATTTGGAGCGCTTTCAGGCCTGTGGTGGAAAAGGCCTGAAAGCCTTTTCCTTTATCTTCACAGAAAGACGAGAGAGAAGCATTGTCAGAAACTTCTTTGTGATGATTGCATTCAACTCACAGAGTTGATTTTCCTTTTGAAACAGCAGTTTCGAAACACTCTTTCTGTGGGATCCGCAAGGGGATATTTGGACCTCTTTGAAGGTTTCGTTGGAAACGGGATAATCTTCACCTAAAAGCTAAACGGAAGCATTCTCAGAAACTTCTTTGGGATGTTTGCATTCACCTCACAGAGTTGAACTTTCCCTTTGATAGCGCAGCTTTGACACACTTTTTCTACAATGTGCAAGTGGCTATTTAGCGGGCTTGGAGGACTGTGTTGGAAAAGGAAATATCTTCTCCTAAAAACGACATAGAAGCATTCTCAGAAACTGCTCTGTGATGATTGCATTCAACTCCCAGAGTTGAACATTCCTTTTGATAGAGCAGTTTGCAAACACTCTTTTTGTAGAATCTGCAAGTGGAGATTTGGACCGCTTTGAGGCCTGTGGTAGTGAAGGAAAGAACTTCATATAAAAACCAGACGGTAGCACTCTCAGAAAATTCTTTGTGACGATGGAGTTTAACTCAGGGAGCTGAACATTCGTTATGATGGAGCAGTTTCCAAACACATGTTTTGTAGAATCTGCGAGGGGATATTTGGACCTCTCTGAGGATTTCGTTGGAAACGGGATCAACTTCCCATAACTGAACGGAAGCAAACTCAGAACATTCTTTGTGATGTTTGTATTCAATTCACAGAGTTGAACCTTCCTTTGATAGTTCAGGTTTGCAACACCCTTGTAGTAGAATCTGCAAGTGTATATTTTGACCACTTTGTAGCCTTCGTTTGAAACGTCTATATCTTCACATCAAACCTAGACAGAAGCATTCTCAGAAAGTTTTCTGCGATGACTGCATTCAACTCACAGAGTTGAACAATCCTTTTGATGGAGCAGTTTTGAAACCCTCTTTCTTTGGAATCTGCAAGGGGATATGTGGACCTCTTTGAAGATTTCACTGGAAACGGGATCATCTTCACATAAGAACTAAACAGAAAGCATTCTCGGAAACTACTTTGTGATGTTTGTATTCAACTCCCAGAGTTGAACTTTCCTTTTGAAAGAGCAGCTATGAAACACTCTTTTTCGAGAATCTGAAAGTGGACGTTTGGAGGGCTTTGAGGCCTGTGGTGGAAAAGGAAATATCTTCACATAAAAACTAGATAGAAAGCATTCTCAGAAACGACTTTGTGAGGATGGCATTCAACTCATGGAGTTGAACAATCCTATTGATAGAGCAGATTGGAATCACTCTTTTTGTAGAATCTGCAAATGGAGATTTGGACTGCTTTGAGGCCTACGGTCGTATAGGAAGGAACTTCAGATAAAAGGCAAACGGAAGCATTCTCAGAATATTCTTTGTGATGATGGAGTTTCACTCACAGAGCTGAACATACCTTTTGATGGAGCAGTTTCCAAATAAACTTTTGGTAGAATCTGCAGGTGGATATTTGGAGCTCTCTGAGGATTTCGTTGGAAACGGGAATAATTTCCCATAACTAAACACAAACACGCTGAGAAAGTTCTTCATGATGAATGCATTTAACTCACAGAGATGAACCTGCCTTTGAGAGTTCAGGTTCGAAACACTCTTTCTGTAGAATCTGCAAGTGGATATTTGGACCACTGGCTGGCCTTCGTTCGAAACGGGTATATGTTCACGTAAAAACTAAAGAGATGCATTCTCAGAAACTTCTGAGTGATGATTGCATTCAAGTCACACAGTTGAACCCTCCTTTTGATTGAGCAGTTTTGAAACTGTCTTTTTGTAGAATCTCTAAGTGGATGCGTGGACCTCTTTGAAGATTTCTTTGGAAACGGGAATATTTCCACAGAAAAACTAAACTGAAGCATTCTCAGAAACTGCTTTGTTATGTTTGTGTTCGAGCCGCAGAATTTAACATTGCTATTCATAGAGCAGTTTTGAAATATTCTTTTGGCAGAATCTGCAAGTGGACATTTGGAGCGCTTTCAGGCCTGTGGTGGAAAAGGCCTGAAAGCCTTTTCCTTTATCTTCACAGAAAGATGAGAGAGAAGCATTGTCAGAAACTTCTTTGTGATGATTGCATTCAACTCACAGAGTTGAAGATTCCTTTTGAAACAGCAGTTTCGAAACACTCTTTCTGTGGGATCCGCAAGGGGATATTTGGACCTCTTTGAAGATTTCGTTGCAAACGGGATAATCTTCACCTAAAAGCTAAACGGAAGCATTCTCAGAAACTTCTTTGGGATGTTTGCATTCACCTCACAGAGTTGAACTTTCCCTTTGATAGCGCAGCTTCGACACACTTTTTCTACAATGTGCAAGTGGATATTTAGCGGGCTTGGAGGACTGTGTTGGAAAAGGAAATATCTTCTCCTAAAAACGACATAGAAGCATTCTCAGAAACTGCTCTGTGATGATTGCATTCAACTCCCAGAGTTGAACATTCCTTTTGATAGAGCAGTTTGCAAACACTCTTTTTGTAGAATCTGCAAGTGGAGATTTGGACCGCTTTGAGGCCTGTGGTAGTGAAGGAAAGAACTTCATATAAAAACCAGACGGTAGCACTCTCAGAAAATTCTTTGTGACGATGGAGTTTAACTCAGGGAGCTGAACATTCGTTATGATGGAGCAGTTTCCAAACACACGTTTTGTAGAATCTGCAAGGGGATATTTGGACCTCTCTGAGGATTTCGTTGGAAACGGGATCAACTTCCCATAACTGAACGGAAGCAAACTCAGAACATTCTTTGTGATGTTTGTATTCAACTCACAGAGTTGAACCTTCCTTTGATAGTTCAGGTTTGCAACACCCTTGTAGTAGAATCTGCAAGTGTATATTTTGACCACTTTGTAGCCTTCGTTTGAAACGTCTATATCTTCACATCAAACCTAGAAAGAAGCATTCTCAGAAAGTTTTCTGCGATGACTGCATTCAACTCACAGAGTTGAACAATCCTTTTGATGGAGCAGTTTTGAAACCCTCTTTCTTTGGAATCTGCAAGGGGATATGTGGACCTCTTTGAAGATTTCACTGGAAACGGGATCATCTTCACATAAAAACTAAACAGAAGCATTCTCGGAAACTACTTTGTGATGTTTGTATTCAACTCCCAGAGTTGAACTTTCCTTTTGAAAGAGCAGCTATGAAACACTCTTTTTCGAGAATCTGCAAGTGGACGTTTGGAGGGCTTTGAGGCCTGTGGTGGAAAAGGAAATATCTTCACATAAAAACTAGATAGAAGCATTCTCAGAAACGACTTTGTGAGGATGGCATTCACCTCATGGAGTTGAACAATACTATTGATAGAGCAGATTGGAATCACTCTTTTTGTAGAATCTGCAAATGGAGATTTGGACTGCTTTGAGGCCTACGGTCGTATAGGAAGGAACTTCATATAAAAGGCAAACGGAAGCATTCTCAGAATATTCTTTGTGATGATGGAGTTTCACTCACAGAGCTGAACATGCCTTTTGATGGAGCAGTTTCCAAATACACTTTTGGTAGAATCAGCAGGTGGATATTTGGAGCTCTCTGAGGATTTCGTTGGAAACGGGAATAATTTCCCATAACTAAACACAAACACTCTGAGAAAGTTCTTCATGATGAATGCATTTAACTCGCAGAGATGAACCTGCCTTTGAGAGTTCAGGTTCGAAACACTCTTTCTGTAGAATCTGCAAGTGGATATTTGGACCACTGGGTGGCCTTCGTTCGAAACGGGTATATGTTCACGTAAAAACTAAAGAGAAGCATTCTCAGAAACTTCTGAGTGATGATTGCATTCAAGTCACACAGTTGAACCCTCCTTTTGATGGAGCAGTTTTGAAACTGTCTTTTTGTAGAATCTGTAAGTGGATACGTGGACCTCTTTGAAGATTTCTTTGGAAACGGGAATATTTCCACAGAAAAACTAAACTGAAACATTCTCAGAAACCGCTTTGTGATGTTTGTGTTCCAGCCACAGAGTTTAACATTGCTTTTCATAGAGCAGTTTTGAAATATTCTTTTCGCAGAATCTGCAAGTGGACATTTGGAGTGCTTTCAGGCCTGTGGTGGAACAGGCCTGAAAGCCTTTTCCTTTATCTTCACAGAAAGACGAGAGAGAAGCATTGTCAGAAACTTCTTTGTGATGATTGCATTCAACTCACAGAGTTGAAGATTCCTTTTGAAACAGCAGTTTCGAAACACTCTTTCTGTGGGATCCGCAAGGGGATATTTGGACCTCTTTGAAGGTTTCGTTGGAAACGGGATAATCTTCACCTAAAAGCTAAACGGAAGCATTCTCAGAAACTTCTTTGGGATGTTTGCATTCACCTCACAGAGTTGAACTTTCCCTTTGATAGCGCAGCTTTGACACACTTTTTCTACAATGTGCAAGTGGCTATTTAGCGGGCTTGGAGGACTGTGTTGGAAAAGGAAATATCTTCTCCTAAAAACGACATAGAAGCATTCTCAGAAACTGCTCTGTGATGATTGCATTCAACTCCCAGAGTTGAACATTCCTTTTGATAGAGCAGTTTGCAAACACTCTTTTTGTAGAATCTGCAAGTGGAGATTTGGACCGCTTTGAGGCCTGTGGTAGTGAAGGAAAGAGCTTCATATAAAAACCAGACGGTAGCACTCTCAGAAAATTCTTTGTGACGATGGAGTTTAACTCAGGGAGCTGAACATTCGTTATGATGGAGCAGTTTCCAAACACACGTTTTGTAGAATCTGCAAGGGGATATTTGGACCTCTCTGAGGATTTCGTTGGAAACGGGATCAACTTCCCATAACTGAACGGAAGCAAACTCAGAACATTCTTTGTGATGTTTGTATTCAACTCACAGAGTTGAACCTTCCTTTGATAGTTCAGGTTTGCAACACCCTTGTAGTAGAATCTGCAAGTGTATATTTTGACCACTTTGTAGCCTTTGTTTGAAACGTCTATATCTTCACATCAAACCTAGACAGAAGCATTCTCAGAAAGTTTTCTGCGATGACTGCATTCAACTCACAGAGTTGAACAATCCTTCTGATGGAGCAGTTTTGAAACCCTCTTTCTTTGGAATCTGCAAGGCGATATGTGGACCTCTTTGAAGATTTCACTGGAAACGGGATCATCTTCACATAAAAACTAAACAGAAGCATTCTCGGAAACTACTTTGTGATGTTTGTATTCAACTCCCAGAGTTGAACTTTCCTTTTGAAAGAGCAGCTATGAAACACTCTTTTTCGAGAATCTGCAAGTGGACGTTTGGAGGGCTTTGAGGCCTGTGGTGGAAAAGGAAATATCTTCACATAAAAACTAGATAGAAGCATTCTCAGAAACTACTTTGTGACGATGGCATTCAACTCATGGAGTTGAACAATCCTATTGATAGAGCAGATTGGAATCACTCTTTTTGTAGAATCTGCAAATGGAGATTTGGACTGCTTTGAGGCCTACGGTAGTATAGGAAGGAACTTCATAAAAAGGCAAACGGAAGCATTCTCAGAATATTCTTTGTGATGATGGAGTTTCACTCACAGAGCTGAACATGCCTTTTGATGGAGCAGTTTCCAAATACACTTTTGGTAGAATCTGCAGGTGGATATTTGGACCACTCTGAGGATTTCGTTGGAAACGGGAATAATTTCCCATAACTAAGCACAAACACTCTGAGAAAGTTCTTCATGATGAATGCATTTAACTCGCAGAGATGAACCTGCCTTTGAGAGTTCAGGTTCGAAACACTCTTTCTGTAGAATCTGCAAGTGGATATTTGGACCACTGGCTGGCCTTCGTTCGAAACGGGTATATGTTCACGTAAAAACTAAAGAGAAGCATTCTCAGAAACTTCTGAGTGATGATTGCATTCAAGTCACACAGTTGAACCCTCCTTTTGATGGAGCAGTTTTGAAACTGTCTTTTTGTAGAATCTGTAAGTGGATATGTGGACCTCTTTGAAGATTTCTTTGGAAACGGGAATATTTCCACAGAAAAACTAAACTGAAGCATTCTCAGAAACCGCTTTGTGATGTTTGTGTTCGAGCCACAGAGTTTAACATTGCTTTTCATAGAGCAGTTTTGAAATATTCTTTTGGCAGAATCTGCAAGTGGACATTTGGAGCGCTTTCAGGCCTGTGGTGGAAAAGGCCTGAAAGCCTTTTCCTTTATCTTCACAGAAAGACGAGAGAGAAGCATTGTCAGAAACTTCTTTGTGATGATTGCATTCAACTCACAGAGTTGAAGATTCCTTTTGAAACAGCAGTTTCGAAACACTCTTTCTGTGGGATCCGCAAGGGGATATTTGGACCTCTTTGAAGGTTTCGTTGGAAACGGGATAATCTTCACCTAAAAGCTAAACGGAAGCATTCTCAGAAACTTCTTTGGGATGTTTGCATTCACCTCACAGAGTTGAACTTTCCCTTTGATAGCGCAGCTTTGACACACTTTTTCTACAATGTGCAAGTGGCTATTTAGCGGGCTTGGAGGACTGTGTTGGAAAAGGAAATATCTTCTCCTAAAAACGACATAGAAGCATTCTCAGAAACTGCTCTGTGATGATTGCATTCAACTCCCAGAGTTGAACAATCCTTTTGATAGAGCAGTTTGCAAACACTCTTTTTGTAGAATCTGCAAGTGGAGATTTGGACCGCTTTGAGGCCTGTGGTAGTGAAGGAAAGAACTTCATATAAAAACCAGACGGTAGCACTCTCAGAAAATTCTTTGTGACGATGGAGTTTAACTCAGGGAGCTGAACATTCGTTATGATGGAGCAGTTTCCAAACACACGTTTTGTAGAATCTGCAAGGGGATATTTGGACCTCTCTGAGGATTTCGTTGGAAACGGGATCAACTTCCCATAACTGAACGGAAGCAAACTCAGAACATTCTTTGTGATGTTTGTATTCAACTCCCAGAGTTGAACTTTCCTTTTGAAAGAGCAGCTATGAAACACTCTTTTTCGAGAATCTGCAAGTGGACGTTTGGAGGGCTTTGAGGCCTGTGGTGGAAAAGGAAATATCTTCACACAAAAACCAGATAGAAGCATTCTCAGAAACTACTTTGTGAGGATGGCATTCAACTCATGGAGTTGAACAATCCTATTGATAGAGCAGATTGGAATCACTCTTTTTGTAGAATCTGCAAATGGAGATTTGGACTGCTTTGAGGCCTACGGTCGTATAGGAAGGAACTTCATATAAAAGGCAAACGGAAGCATTCTCAGAATATTCTTTGTGATGACGGAGTTTCACTCACAGAGCTGAACATGCCTTTTCATGGAGCAGTTTCCAAATACACTTTTGGTACAATCTGCAGGTGGATATTTGGAGCTCTCTGAGGATTTCGTTGGAAACGGGAATAATTTCCCATAACTAAACACAAACACGCTGAGAAAGTTCTTCATGATGAATGCATTTAACTCGCAGAGATGAACCTGCCTTTGAGAGTTCAGGTTCGAAACACTCTTTCTGTGGAATCTGCAAGTGGATATTTGGACCACTGGCTGGCCTTCATTCCAAACGGGTATATGTTCACGTAAAAACTAAAGAGAAGCGTTCTCAGAAACTTCTGAGTGATGATTGCATTCAAGTCACACAGTTGAACCCTCCTTTTGATTGAGCAGTTTTGAAACTGTCTTTTTGTAGAATCTGTAAGTGGATGCGTGGACCTCTTTGAAGATTTCTTTGGAAACGGGAATATTTCCACAGAAAAACTAAACTGAAGCATTCTCAGAAACTGCTTTGTGATGTTTGTGTTCGAGCCACAGAGTTTAACATTGCTTTTCATAGAGCAGTTTTGAAATATTCTTTTGGCAGAATCTGCAAGTGGACATTTGGAGCGCTTTCAGGCCTGTGGTGGAAAAGGCCTGAAAGCCTTTTCCTTTATCTTCACAGAAAGACGAGAGAGAAGCATTGTCAGAAACTTCTTTGTGATGACTGCATTCAACTCACAGAGTTGAAGATTCCTTTTGAAACAGCAGTTTCGAAACACTCTTTCTGTGGGATCCGCAAGGGGATATTTTGACCTCTTTGAAGATTTCGTTGGAAACGGGATAATCTTCACCTAAAAGCTAAACGGAAGCATTCTCAGAAACTTCTTTGGGATGTTTGCATTCACCTCACAGAGTTGAACTTTCCCTTTGATAGCGCAGCTTCGACACACTTTTTCTACAATGTGCAAGTGGATATTTAGCGGGCTTGGAGGACTGTGTTGGAAAAGGAAATATCTTCTCCTAAAAACGACATAGAAGCATTCTCAGAAACTGCTCTGTGATGATTGCATTCAACTCCCAGAGTTGAACATTCCTTTTGATAGAGCAGTTTGCAGACACTCTTTTTGTAGAATCTGCAAGTGGAGATTTGGACCGCTTTGAGGCCTGTGGTAGTAAAGGAAAGAACTTCATATAAAAACTAGACGGTAGCACTCTCAGAAAATTCTTTGTGACGATGGAGTTTAACTCAGAGAGCTGAACATTCGTTATGATGGAGCAGTTTCCAAACACACGTTTTGTAGAATCTGCAAGGGGATATTTGGACCTCTCTGAGGATTTCGTTGGAAACGGGATCAACTTCCCATAACTGAACGGAAGCAAACTCAGAACATTCTTTGTGATGTTTGTATTCAACTCACAGAGTTGAACCTTCCTTTGATAGTTCAGGTTTGCAACACCCTTGTAGTAGAATCTGCAAGTGTATATTTTGACCACTTTGTAGCCTTCGTTTGAAACGTCTATATCTTCACATCAAACCTAGACAGAAGCATTCTCAGAAAGTTTTCTGCGATGACTGCATTCAACTCACAGAGTTGAACAATCCTTCTGATGGAGCAGTTTTGAAACCCTCTTTCTTTGGAATCTGCAAGGGGATATGTGGACCTCTTTGAAGATTTCACTGGAAACGGGATCATCTTCACATAAAAACTAAACAGAAGCATTCTCGGAAACTATTTTGTGATGTTTGTATTCAACTCCCAGAGTTGAACTTTCCTTTTGAAAGAGCAGCTATGAAACACTCTTTTTCGAGAATCTGCAAGTGGACGTTTGGAGGGCTTTGAGGCCTGTGGTGGAAAAGGAAATATCTTCACACAAAAACCAGATAGAAGCATTCTCAGAAACTACTTTGTGAGGATGGCATTCAACTCATGGAGTTGAACAATCCTATTGATAGAGCAGATTGGAATCACTCTTTTTATAGAATCTGCAAATGGAGATTTGGACTGCTTTGAGGCCTACGGTAGTACAGGAAGGAACTTCATATAAAAGGCAAACGGAAGCATTCTCAGAATATTCTTTGTGATGATGGAGTTTCACTCACAGAGCTGAACATGCCTTTTGATGGAGCAGTTTCCAAATACACTTTTGGTAGAATCTGCAGGTGGATATTTGGAGCTCTCTGAGGATTTCGTTGGAAACGGGAATAATTTCCCATAACTAAACACAAACACTCTGAGAAAGTTCTTCATGATGAATGCTTTTAACCCGCAGAGATGAACCTGCCTTTGAGAGTTCAGGTTCGAAACACTCTTTCTGTATAATCTGCAAGTGGATATTTGGACCACTGGGTGGCCTTCGTTCGAAACGGGTATATGTTCACGTAAAAACTAAAGAGAAGCATTCTCAGAAACTTCTGAGTGATGATTGCATTCAAGTCACACGGTTGAACCCTCCTTTTGATGGAGCAGTTTTGAAACTGTCTTTTTGTAGAATCTGTAAGTGGATACGTGGACCTCTTTGAAGATTTCTTTGGAAACGGGAATATTTCCACAGAAAAACTAAACTGAAGCATTCTCAGAAACTGCTTTGTGATGTTTGTGTTCGAGCCACAGAGTTTAACATTGCTTTTCATAGAGCAGTTTTGCAATATTCTTTTCACAGAATCTGCAAGTGGACATTTGGAGCGCTTTCAGGCCTGTGGTGGAAAAGGCCTGAAAGCCTTTTCCTTTATCTTCACAGAAAGACGAGAGAGAAGCATTGTCAGAAACTTCTTTGTGATGATTGCATTCAACTCACAGAGTTGAAGATTCCTTTTGAAACAGCAGTTTCGAAACACTCTTTCTGTGGGATCCGCAAGGGGATATTTGGACCTCTTTGAAGGTTTCGTTGGAAACGGGATAATCTTCACCTAAAAGCTAAACGGAAGCATTCTCAGAAACTTCTTTGGGATGTTTGCATTCACCTCACAGAGTTGAACTTTCCCTTTGATAGCGCAGCTTCGACACACTTTTTCTACAATGTGCAAGTGGCTATTTAGCGGGCTTGGAGGACTGTGTTGGAAAAGGAAATATCTTCTCCTAAAAACGACATAGAAGCATTCTCAGAAACTGCTCTGTGATGATTGCATTCAACTCCCAGAGTTGAACATTCCTTTTGATAGAGCAGTTTGCAAACACTCTTTTTGTAGAATCTGCAAGTGGAGATTTGGACCGCTTTGAGGCCTGTGGTAGTGAAGGAAAGAACTTCATATAAAAACCAGACGGTAGCACTCTCAGAAAATTCTTTGTGACGATGGAGTTTAACTCAGGGAGCTGAACATTCGTTATGATGGAGCAGTTTCCAAACACACGTTTTGTAGAATCTGCAAGGGGATATTTGGACCTCTCTGAGGATTTCGTTGGAAACGGGATCAACTTCCCATAACTGAACGGAAGCAAACTCAGAACATTCTTTGTGATGTTTGTATTCAACTCACAGAGTTGAACCTTCCTTTGATAGTTCAGGTTTGCAACACCCTTGTAGTAGAATCTGCAAGTGTATATTTTGACCACTTTGTAGCCTTCGTTTGAAATATCTATATCTTCACATCAAACCTAGACAGAAGCATTCTCAGAAAGTTTTCTGCGATGACTGCATTCAACTCACAGAGTTGAACAATCCTTCTGATGGAGCAGTTTTGAAACCCTCTTTCTTTGGAATCTGCAAGGGGATATGTGGACCTCTTTGAAGATTTCACTGGAAACGGGATCATCTTCACATAAAAACTAAACAGAAGCATTCTCGGAAACTACTTTGTGATGTTTGTATTCAACTCCCAGAGTTGAACTTTCCTTTTGAAAGAGCAGCTATGAAACACTCTTTTTCTAGAATCTGCAAGTGGACGTTTGGAGGGCTTTGAGGCCTGTGGTGGAAAAGGAAATATCTTCACACAAAAACCAGATAGAAGCATTCTCAGAAACTACTTTGTGAGGATGGCATTCAACTCATGGAGTTGAACAATCCTATTGATAGAGCAGATTGGAATCACTCTTTTTGTAGAATCTGCAAATGGAGATTTGGACTGCTTTGAGGCCTACGGTAGTACAGGAAGGAACTTCATATAAAAGGCAAACGGAAGCATTCTCAGAATATTCTTTGTGATGATGGAGTTTCACTCACAGAGCTGAACATGCCTTTTGATGGAGCAGTTTCCAAATACACTTTTGGTAGAATCTGCAGGTGGATATTTGGAGCTCTCTGAGGATTTTGTTGGAAACGGGAATAATTTCCCATAACTAAACACAAACACTCTGAGAAAGTTCTTCATGATGAATGCATTTAACTCGCAGAGATGAACCTGCCTTTGAGAGTTCAGGTTCGAAACACTCTTTCTGTATAATCTGCAAGTGGATATTTGGACCACTGGGTGGCCTTCGTTCGAAACGGGTATATGTTCACGTAAAAACTAAAGAGAAGCATTCTCAGAAACTTCTGAGTGATGATTGCATTCAAGTCACACAGTTGAACCCTCCTTTTGATGGAGCAGTTTTGAAACTGTCTTTTTGTAGAATCTGTAAGTGGATACGTGGACCTCTTTGAAGATTTCTTTGGAAACGGGAATATTTCCACAGAAAAACTAAACTGAAACATTCTCAGAAACCGCTTTGTGATGTTTGTGTTCCAGCCACAGAGTTTAACATTGCTTTTCATAGAGCAGTTTTGAAATATTCTTTTGGCAGAATCTGCAAGTGGACATTTGGAGCGCTTTCAGGCCTGTGGTGGAAAAGGCCTGAAAGCCTTTTCCTTTATCTTCACAGAAAGACGAGAGAGAAGCATTGTCAGAAACTTCTTTGTGATGATTGCATTCAACTCACAGAGTTGAAGATTCCTTTTGAAACAGCAGTTTTGAAACACTCTTTCTGTGGGATCCGCAAGGGGATATTTGGACCTCTTTGAAGGTTTCGTTGGAAACGGGATAATCTTCACCTAAAAGCTAAACGGAAGCATTCTCAGAAACTTCTTTGGGATGTTTGCATTCACCTCACAGAGTTGAACTTTCCCTTTGATAGCGCAGCTTTGACACACTTTTTCTACAATGTGCAAGTGGCTATTTAGTGGGCTTGGAGGACTGTGTTGGAAAAGGAAATATCTTCTCCTAAAAACGACATAGAAGCATTCTCAGAAACTGCTCTGTGATGATTGCATTCAACTCCCAGAGTTGAACATTCCTTTTGATAGAGCAGTTTGCAAACACTCTTTTTGTAGAATCTGCAAGTGGAGATTTGGACCGCTTTGAGGCCTGTGGTAGTGAAGGAAAGAACTTCATATAAAAACCAGACGGTAGCACTCTCAGAAAATTCTTTGTGACGATGGAGTTTAACTCAGGGAGCTGAACATTCGTTATGATGGAGCAGTTTCCAAACACACGTTTTGTAGAATCTGCAAGGGGATATTTGGACCTCTCTGAGGATTTCGTTGGAAACGGGATCAACTTCCCATAACTGAACGGAAGCAAACTCAGAACATTCTTTGTGATGTTTGTATTCAACTCACAGAGTTGAACCTTCCTTTGATAGTTCAGGTTTGCAACACCCTTGTAGTAGAATCTGCAAGTGTATATTTTGACCACTTTGTAGCCTTCGTTTGAAACGTCTATATCTTCACATCAAACCTAGACAGAAGCATTCTCAGAAAGTTTTCTGCGATGACTGCATTCAACTCACAGAGTTGAACAATCCTTCTGATGGAGCAGTTTTGAAACCCTCTTTCTTTGGAATCTGCAAGGGGATATGTGGACCTCTTTGAAGATTTCACTGGAAACGGGATCATCTTCACATAAAAACTAAACAGAAGCATTCTCGGAAACTACTTTGTGATGTTTGTATTCAACTCCCAGAGTTGAACTTTCCTTTTGAAAGAGCAGCTATGAAACACTCTTTTTCGAGAATCTGCAAGTGGACGTTTGGAGGGCTTTGAGGCCTGTGGTGGAAAAGGAAATATCTTCACATAAAAACTAGATAGAAGCATTCTCAGAAACTACTTTGTGAGGATGGCATTCAACTCATGGAGTTGAACAATCCTATTGATAGAGCAGATTGGAATCACTCTTTTTGTAGAATCTGCAAATGGAGATTTGGACTGCTTTGAGGCCTACGGTCGTATAGGAAGGAACTTCATATAAAAGGCAAACGGAAGCATTCTCAGAATATTCTTTGTGATGATGGAGTTTCACTCACAGAGCTGAACATGCCTTTTGATGGAGCAGTTTCCAAATACACTTTTGGTAGAATCTGCAGGTGGATATTTGGAGCTCTCTGAGGATTTCGTTGGAAACGGGAATAATTTCCCATAACTAAACACAAACACTCTGAGAAAGTTCTTCATGATGAATGCATTTAACTCGCAGAGATGAACCTGCCTTTGAGAGTTCAGGTTCGAAACACTCTTTCTGTAGAATCTGCAAGTGGATATTTGGACCACTGGGTGGCCTTCGTTCGAAACGGTATATGTTCACGTAAAAACTAAAGAGAAGCATTCTCAGAAACTTCTGAGTGATGATTGCATTCAAGTCACACAGTTGAACCCTCCTTTTGATGGAGCAGTTTTGAAACTGTCTTTTTGTAGAATCTGTAAGTGGATACGTGGACCTCTTTGAAGATTTCTTTGGAAACGGGAATATTTCCACAGAAAAACTAAACTGAAGCATTCTCAGAAACTGCTTTGTGATGTTTGTGTTCGAGCCACAGAGTTTAACATTGCTTTTCATAGAGCAGTTTTGAAATATTCTTTTGGCAGAATCTGCAAGTGGACTTTTGGAGCGCTTTCAGGCCTGTGGTGGAAAAGGCCTGAAAGCCTTTTCCTTTATCTTCACAGAAAGACGAGAGAGAAGCATTGTCAGAAACTTCTTTGTGATGATTGCATTCAACTCACAGAGTTGAAGATTCCTTTTGAAACAGCAGTTTCGAAACACTCTTTCTGTGGGATCCGCAAGGGGATATTTGGACCTCTTTGAAGGTTTCGTTGGAAACGGGATAATCTTCACCTAAAAGCTAAACGGAAGCATTCTCAGAAACTTCTTTGGGATGTTTGCATTCACCTCACAGAGTTGAACTTTCCCTTTGATAGCGCAGCTTTGACACACTTTTTCTACAATGTGCAAGTGGCTATTTAGCGGGCTTGGAGGACTGTGTTGGAAAAGGAAATATCTTCTCCTAAAAACGACATAGAAGCATTCTCAGAAACTGCTCTGTGATGATTGCATTCAACTCCCAGAGTTGAACATTCCTTTTGATAGAGCAGTTTGCAAACACTCTTTTTGTAGAATCTGCAAGTGGAGATTTGGACCGCTTTGAGGCCTGTGGTAGTGAAGGAAAGAGCTTCATATAAAAACCAGACGGTAGCACTCTCAGAAAATTCTTTGTGACGATGGAGTTTAACTCAGGGAGCTGAACATTCGTTATGATGGAGCAGTTTCCAAACACACGTTTTGTAGAATCTGCGAGGGGATATTTGGACCTCTCTGAGGATTTCGTTGGAAACGGGATCAACTTCCCATAACTGAACGGAAGCAAACTCAGAACATTCTTTGTGATGTTTGTATTCAACTCACAGAGTTGAACCTTCCTTTGATAGTTCAGGTTTGCAACACCCTTGTAGTAGAATCTGCAAGTGTATATTTTGACCACTTTGTAGCCTTCGTTTGAAACGTCTATATCTTCACATCAAACCTAGACAGAAGCATTCTCAGAAAGTTTTCTGCGATGACTGCATTCAACTCACAGAGTTGAACAATCCTTCTGATGGAGCAGTTTTGAAACCCTCTTTCTTTGGAATCTGCAAGGGGATATGTGGACCTCTTTGAAGATTTCACTGGAAACGGCATCATCTTCACATAAAAACTAAACAGAAGCATTCTCGGAAACTACTTTGTGATGTTTGTATTCAACTCCCAGAGTTGAACTTTCCTTTTGAAAGAGCAGCTATGAAACACTCTTTTTCGAGAATCTGCAAGTGGACGTTTGGAGGGCTTTGAGGCCTGTGGTGGAAAAGGAAATATCTTCACATAAAAACTAGATAGAAGCATTCTCAGAAACTACTTTGTGAGGATGGCATTCAACTCATGGAGTTGAACAATCCTATTGATAGAGCAGATTGGAATCACTCTTTTTGTAGAATCTGCAAATGGAGATTTGGACTGCTTTGAGGCCTACGGTCGTATAGGAAGGAACTTCATATAAAAGGTAAACGGAAGCATTCTCAGAATATTCGTTGTGATGATGGAGTTTCACTCACAGAGCTGAACATGCCTTTTGATGGAGCAGTTTCCAAATACACTTTTGGTAGAATCTGCAGGTGGATATTTGCAGCTCTCTGAGGATTTCGTTGGAAACGGGAATAATTTCCCATAACTAAACACAAACACTCTGAGAAAGTTCTTCATGATGAATGCATTTAACTCGCAGAGATGAACCTGCCTTTGAGAGTTCAGGTTCGAAACACTCTTTCTGTATAATCTGCAAGTGGATATTTGGACCACTGGGTGGCCTTCGTTCGAAACGGGTATATGTTCACGTAAAAACTAAAGAGAAGCATTCTCAGAAACTTCTGAGTGATGATTGCATTCAAGTCACACAGTTGAACCCTCCTTTTGATGGAGCAGTTTTGAAACTGTCTTTTTGTAGAATCTGTAAGTGGATACGTGGACCTCTTTGAAGATTTCTTTGGAAACGGGAATATTTCCACAGAAAAACTAAACTGAAACATTCTCAGAAACTGCTTTGTGATGTTTGTGTTCCAGCCACAGAGTTTAACATTGCTTTTCATAGAGCAGTTTTGAAATATTCTTTTCGCAGAATCTGCAAGTGGACATTTGGAGCGCTTTCAGGCCTGTGGTGGAAAAGGCCTGAAAGCCTTTTCCTTTATCTTCACAGAAAGACGAGAGAGAAGCATTGTCAGAAACTTCTTTGTGATGATTGCATTCAACTCACAGAGTTGAAGATTCCTTTTGAAACAGCAGTTTCGAAACACTCTTTCTGTGGGATCCGCAAGGGGATATTTGGACCTCTTTGAAGATTTCGTTGGAAACGGGATAATCTTCACCTAAAAGCTAAACGGAAGCATTCTCAGAAACTTCTTTGGGATGTTTGCATTCACCTCACAGAGTTGAACTTTCCCTTTGATAGCGCAGCTTCGACCCACTTTTTCTACAATGTGCAAGTGGATATTTAGCGGGCTTGGAGGACTGTGTTGGAAAAGGAAATATCTTCTCCTAAAAACAACATAGAAGCATTCTCAGGAACTGCTCTGTGATGATTGCATTCAACTCCCATAGTTGAACATTCCTTTTGATAGAGCAGTTTGCAAACACTCTTTTTGTAGAATCTGCAAGTGGAGATTTGGACCGCTTTGAGGCCTGTGGTAGTAAAGGAAAGAACTTCATATAAAAACTAGACGGTAGCACTCTCAGAAAAAACTTTGTGACGATGGAGTTTAACTCAGAGAGCTGAACATTCGTTATGATGGAGCAGTTCCCAAACACACGTTTTGCAGAATCTGCAAGGGGATATTTGGACCTCTCTGAGGATTTCGTTGGAAACGGGATCAACTTCCCATAACTGAACGGAAGCAAACTCAGAACATTCTTTGTGATGTTTGTATTCAACTCACAGAGTTGAACCTTCCTTTGATAGTTCAGGTTTGCAACACCCTTGTAGTAGAATCTGCAAGTGTATATTTTGACCACTTTGTAGCCTTCGTTTGAAACGTCTATATCTTCACATCAAACCTAGACAGAAGCATTCTCAGAAAGTTTTCTGCGATGACTGCATACAACTCATAGAGTTGAGTAATCCTTTTGATGGAGCAGTTTTGAAACCCTCTTTCTTTGGAATCTGCAAGGGGATATGTGGACCTCTTTCAAGATTTCACTGGAAACGGGATCATCTTCACATAAGAACTAAACAGAAGCATTCTCGGAAACTACTTTGTGATGTTTGTATTCAACTCCCAGAGTTGAACTTTCCTTTTGAAAGAGCAGCTATGAAACACTCTTTTTCGAGAATCTGCAAGTGGACGTTTGGAGGGCTTTGAGGCCTGTGGTGGAAAAGGAAATATCTTCACATAAAACTAGATAGAAGCATTCTCAGAAACTACTTTGTGAGGATGGCATTCAACTCATGGAGTTGAACAATCCTATTGATAGAGCAGATTGGAATCACTCTTTTTGTAGAATCTGCAAATGGAGATTTGGACTGCTTTGAGGCCTACGGTCGTATAGGAAGGAACTTCAGATAAAAGGCAAACGGAAGCATTCTCAGAATATTCTTTGTGATGATGGAGTTTCACTCACAGAGCTGAACATGCCTTTTGATGGAGCAGTTTCCAAATACACTTTTGGTAGAATCTGCAGGTGGATATTTGGAGCTCTCTGAGGATTTCTTTGGAAACGGGAATAATTTCCCATAACTAAACACAAACACTCTGAGAAAGTTCTTCATGATGAATGCATTTAACTCGCAGAGATGAACCTGCCTTTGAGAGTTCAGGTTCGAAACACTCTTTCTGTAGAATCTGCAAGTGGGTATTTGGACCACTGGGTGGCCTTCGTTCGAAACGGGTATATGTTCACGTAAAAACTAAAGAGAAGCATTCTCAGAAACTTCTGAGTGATGATTGCATTCAAGTCACACAGTTGAACCCTCCTTTTGATGGAGCAGTTTTGAAACTGTCTTTTTGTAGAATCTGTAAGTGGATACGTGGACCTCTTTGAAGATTTCCTTTGGAAACGGGAATATTTCCACAGAAAAACTAAACTGAAACATTCTCAGAAACCGCTTTGTGATGTTTGTGTTCCAGCCACAGAGTTTAACATTGCTTTTCATAGAGCAGTTTTGAAATATTCTTTTGGCAGAATCTGCAAGTGGACATTTGGAGCGCTTTCAGGCCTGTGGTGGCAAAGGCCTGAAAGCCTTTTCCTTTATCTTCACAGAAAGACGAGAGAGAAGCATTGTCAGAAACTTCTTTGTGATGATTGCATTCAACTCACAGAGTTGAAGATTCCTTTTGAAACAGCAGTTTCGAAACACTCTTTCTGTGGGATCCGCAAGGGGATATTTGGACCTCTTTGAAGGTTTCGTTGGAAACGGGATAATCTTCACCTAAAAGCTAAACGGAAGCATTCTCAGAAACTTCTTTGGGATGTTTGCATTCACCTCACAGAGTTGAACTTTCCCTTTGATAGCGCAGCTTTGACACACTTTTTCTACAATGTGCAAGTGGCTATTTAGCGGGCTTGGAGGACTGTGTTGGAAAAGGAAATATCTTCTCCTAAAAACGACATAGAAGCATTCTCAGAAACTGCTCTGTGATGATTGCATTCAACTCCCAGAGTTGAACATTCCTTTTGATAGAGCAGTTTGCAAACACTCTTTATGTAGAATCTGGAAGTGGAGATTTGGACCGCTTTGAGGCCTGGGGTAGTGAAGGAAAGAGCTTCATATAAAAACCAGACGGTAGCACTCTCAGAAAATTCTTTGTGACGATGGAGTTTAACTCAGGGAGCTGAACATTCGTTATGATGGAGCAGTTTCCAAACACACGTTTTGTAGAATCTGCAAGGGGATATTTGGACCTCTCTGAGGATTTCGTTGGAAACGGGATCAACTTCCCATAACTGAACGGAAGCAAACTCAGAACATTCTTTGTGATGTTTGTATTCAACTCACAGAGTTGAACCTTCCTTTGATAGTTCAGGTTTGCAACACCCTTGTAGTAGAATCTGCAAGTGTATATTTTGACCACTTTGTAGCCTTCGTTTGAAACGTCTATATCTTCACATCAAACCTAGACAGAAGCATTCTCAGAAAGTTTTCTGCGATGACTGCATTCAACTCACAGAGTTGAACAATCCTTCTGATGGAGCAGTTTTGAAACCCTCTTTCTTTGGAATCTGCAAGGGGATATGTGGACCTCTTTGAAGATTTCACTGGAAACGGGATCATCTTCACATAAAAACTAAACAGAAGCATTCTCGGAAACTACTTTGTGATGTTTGTATTCAACTCCCAGAGTTGAACTTTCCTTTTGAAAGAGCAGCTATGAAACACTCTTTTTCGAGAATCTGAAAGTGGACGTTTGGAGGGCTTTGAGGCCTGTGGTGGAAAAGGAAATATCTTCACATAAAAACTAGATAGAAGCATTCTCAGAAACGACATTGTGAGGATGGCATTCAACTCATGGAGTTGAACAATCCTATTGATAGAGCAGATTGGAATCACTCTTTTTGTAGAATCTGCAAATGGAGATTTGGACTGCTTTGAGGCCTACGGTAGTATAGGAAGGAACTTCATATAAAAGGCAAACGGAAGCATTCTCAGAATATTCTTTGTGATGATGGAGTTTCACTCACAGAGCTGAACATGCCTTTTGATGGAGCAGTTTCCAAATACACTTTTGGTAGAATCTGCAGGTGGATATTTGGAGCTCTCTGAGGATTTCGTTGGAAACGGGAATAATTTCCCATAACTAAACACAAACACTCTGAGAAAGTTCTTCATGATGAATGCATTTAACTCGCAGAGATGAACCTGTCTTTGACAGTTCAGGTTCGAAACACTCTTTCTGTAGAATCTGCAAGTGGATATTTGGACCACTGGGTGGCCTTCGTTCGAAACGGGTATATGTTCACGTAAAAACTAAAGAGAAGCATTCTCAGAAACTTCTGAGTGATGATTGCATTCAAGTCACACAGTTGAACCCTCCTTTTGATGGAGCAGTTTTGAAACTGTCTTTTTGTAGAATCTGTAAGTGGATACGTGGACCTCTTTGAAGATTTCTTTGGAAACGGGAATATTTCCACAGAAAAACTAAACTGAAGCATTCTCAGAAACCGCTTTGTGATGTTTGTGTTCGAGCCACAGAGTTTAACATTGCTTTTCATAGAGCAGTTTTGAAATATTCTTTTGGCAGAATCTGCAAGTGGACATTTGGAGCGCTTTCAGGCCTGTGGTGGAAAAGGCCTGAAAGCCTTTTCTTTATCTTCACAGAAAGACGAGAGAGAAGCATTGTCAGAAACTTCTTTTTGATGATTGCATTCAACTCACAGAGTTGAAGATTCCTTTTGAAACAGCAGTTTCGAAACACTCTTTCTGTGGGATCCGCAAGGGGATATTTGGACCTCTTTGAAGGTTTCGTTGGAAACGGGATAATCTTCACCTAAAAGCTAAACGGAAGCATTCTCAGAAACTTCTTTGGGATGTTTGCATTCACCTCACAGAGTTGAACTTTCCCTTTGATAGCGCAGCTTCGACACACTTTTTCTACAATGTGCAAGTGGCTATTTAGCGGGCTTGGAGGACTGTGTTGGAAAAGGAAATATCTTCTCCTAAAAACGACATAGAAGCATTCTCAGAAACTGCTCTGTGATGATTGCATTCAACTCCCAGAGTTGAACATTCCTTTTGATAGAGCAGTTTGCAAACACTCTTTTTGTAGAATCTGCAAGTGGAGATTTGGACCGCTTTGAGGTCTGTGGTAGTGAAGGAAAGAACTTCATATAAAAACCAGACGGTAGCACTCTCAGAAAATTCTTTGTGACGATGGAGTTTAACTCAGGGAGCTGAACATTCGTTATGATGGAGCAGTTTCCAAACACACGTTTTGTAGAATCTGCAAGGGGATATTTGGACCTCTCTGAGGATTTCGTTGGAAACGGGATCAACTTCCCATAACTGAACGGAAGCAAACTCAGAACATTCTTTGTGATGTTTGTATTCAACTCACAGAGTTGAACCTTCCTTTGATAGTTCAGGTTTGCAACACCCTTGTAGTAGAATCTGCAAGTGTATATTTTGACCACTTTGTAGCCTTCGTTTGAAACGTCTATATCTTCACATCAAACCTAGACAGAAGCATTCTCAGAAAGTTTTCTGCGATGACTGCATTCAACTCACAGAGTTGAACAATCCTTCTGATGGAGCAGTTTTGAAACCCTCTTTCTTTGGAATCTGCAAGGGGATATGTGGACCTCTTTGAAGATTTCACTGGAAACGGGATCATCTTCACATAAAAACTAAACAGAAGCATTCTCGGAAACTACTTTGTGATGTTTGTATTCAACTCCCAGAGTTGAACTTTCCTTTTGAAAGAGCAGCTATGAAACACTCTTTTTCGAGAATCTGCAAGTGGACGTTTGGAGGGCTTTGAGGCCTGTGGTGGAAAAGGAAATATCTTCACATAAAAACTAGATAGAAGCATTCTCAGAAACGACTTTGTGAGGATGGCATTCAACTCATGGAGTTGAACAATCCTATTGATAGAGCAGATTGGAATCACTCTTTTTGTAGAATCTGCAAATGGAGATTTGGACTGCTTTGAGGCCTACGGTCGTATAGGAAGGAACTTCATATAAAAGGCAAACGGAAGCATTCTCAGAATATTCTTTGTGATGATGGAGTTTCACTCACAGAGCTGAACATGCCTTTTGATGGAGCAGTTTCCAAATACACTTTTGGTAGAATCTGCAGGTGGATATTTGGAGCTCTTTGAGGATTTCGTTGGAAACGGGAATAATTTCCCATAACTAAACACAAACACTCTGAGAAAGTTCTTCATGATGAATGCATTTAACTCGCAGAGATGAACCTGCCTTTGAGAGTTCAGGTTCGAAACACTCTTTCTGTATAATCTGCAAGTGGATATTTGGACCACTGGGTGGCCTTCGTTCGAAACGGGTATATGTTCACGTAAAAACTAAAGAGAAGCATTCTCAGAAACTTCTGAGTGATGATTGCATTCAAGTCACACGGTTGAACCCTCCTTTTGATGGAGCAGTTTTGAAACTGTCTTTTTGTAGAATCTGTAAGTGGATACGTGGACCTCTTTGAAGATTTCTTTGGAAACGGGAATATTTCCACAGAAAAACTAAACTGAAGCATTCTCAGAAACCGCTTTGTGATGTTTGTGTTCGAGCCACAGAGTTTAACATTGCTTTTCATAGAGCAGTTTTGAAATATTCTTTTCGCAGAATCTGCAAGTGGACATTTGGAGCGCTTTCAGGCCTGTGGTGGAAAAGGCCTGAAAGCCTTTTCCTTTATCTTCACAGAAAGACGAGAGAGAAGCATTGTCAGAAACTTCTTTGTGATGATTGCATTCAACTCACAGAGTTGAAGATTCCTTTTGAAACAGCAGTTTCAAAACACTCTTTCTGTGGGATCCGCAAGGGGATATTTGGACCTCTTTGAAGGTTTCGTTGGAAACGGGATAATCTTCACCTAAAAGCTAAACGGAAGCATTCTCAGAAACTTCTTTGGGATGTTTGCATTCACCTCACAGAGTTGAACTTTCCCTTTGATAGCGCAGCTTTGACACACTTTTTCTACAATGTGCAAGTGGCTATTTAGCGGGCTTGGAGGACTGTGTTGGAAAAGGAAATATCTTCTCCTAAAAACGACATAGAAGCATTCTCAGAAACTGCTCTGTGATGATTGCATTCAACTCCCAGAGTTGAACATTCCTTTTGATAGAGCAGTTTGCAAACACTCTTTTTGTAGAATCTGCAAGTGGAGATTTGGACCGCTTTGAGGCCTGTGGTAGTGAAGGAAAGAACTTCATATAAAAACCAGACGGTAGCACTCTCAGAAAATTCTTTGTGACGATGGAGTTTAACTCAGGGAGCTGAACATTCGTTATGATGGAGCAGTTTCCAAACACACGTTTTGTAGAATCTGCAAGGGGATATTTGGACCTCTCTGAGGATTTCGTTGGAAACGGGATCAACTTCCCATAACTGAACGGAAGCAAACTCAGAACATTCTTTGTGATGTTTGTATTCAACTCACAGAGTTGAACCTTCCTTTGATAGTTCAGGTTTGCAACACCCTTGTAGTAGAATCTGCAAGTGTATATTTTGACCACTTTGTAGCCTTCGTTTGAAACGTCTATATCTTCACATCAAACCTAGACAGAAGCATTCTCAGAAAGTTTTCTGCGATGACTGCATTCAACTCACAGAGTTGAACAATCCTTCTGATGGAGCAGTTTTGAAACCCTCTTTCGTTGGAATCTGAAAGGGGATATGTGGACCTCTTTGAAGATTTCACTGGAAACGGGATCATCTTCACATAAAAACTAAACAGAAGCATTCTCGGAAACTACTTTGTGATGTTTGTATTCAACTCCCAGAGTTGAACTTTCCTTTTGAAAGAGCAGCTATGAAACACTCTTTTTCGAGAATCTGCAAGTGGACGTTTGGAGGGCTTTGAGGCCTGTGGTGGAAAAGGAAATATCTTCACATTAAAACTAGATAGAAGCATTCTCAGAAACTACTTTGTGAGGATGGCATTCAACTCATGGAGTTGAACAATCCTATTGATAGAGCAGATTGGAATCACTCTTTTTGTAGAATCTGCAAATGGAGATTTGGACTGCTTTGAGGCCTACAGTAGTACAGGAAGGAACTTCATATAAAAGGCAAACGGAAGCATTCTCAGAATATTCTTTGTGATGATGGAGTTTCACTCACAGAGCTGAACATGCCTTTTGATGGAGCAGTTTCCAAATACACTTTTGGTAGAATCTGCAGGTGGATATTTGGAGCTCTCTGAGGATTTCGTTGGAAACGGGAATAATTTCCCATAACTAAACACAAACACTCTGAGAAAGTTCTTCATGATGAATGCATTTAACTCGCAGAGATGAACCTGCCTTTGAGAGTTCAGGTTCGAAACACTCTTTCTGTATAATCTGCAAGTGGATATTTGGACCACTGGGTGGCCTTCGTTCGAAACGGGTATATGTTCACGTAAAAACTAAAGAGAAGCATTCTCAGAAACTTCTGAGTGATGATTGCATTCAAGTCACACAGTTGAACCCTCCTTTTGATGGAGCAGTTTTGAAACTGTCTTTTTGTAGAATCTGTAAGTGGATACGTGGACCTCTTTGAAGATTTCTTTGGAAACGGGAATATTTCCACAGAAAAACTAAACTGAAGCATTCTCAGAAACCGCTTTGTGATGTTTGTGTTCGAGCCACAGAGTTTAACATTGCTTTTCATAGAGCAGTTTTGAAATATTCTTTTCGCAGAATCTGCAAGTGGACATTTGGAGCGCTTTCAGGCCTGTGGTGGAAAAGGCCTGAAAGCCTTTTCCTTTATCTTCACAGAAAGACGAGAGAGAAGCATTGTCAGAAACTTCTTTGTGATGATTGCATTCAACTCACAGAGTTGAAGATTCCTTTTGAAACAGCAGTTTCGAAACACTCTTTCTGTGGGATCCGCAAGGGGATATTTGGACCTCTTTGAAGGTTTCGTTGGAAACGGGATAATCTTCACCTAAAAGCTAAACGGAAGCATTCTCAGAAACTTCTTTGGGATGTTTGCATTCACCTCACAGAGTTGAACTTTCCCTTTGATAGCGCAGCTTTGACACACTTTTTCTACAATGTGCAAGTGGCTATTTAGCGGGCTTGGAGGACTGTGTTGGAAAAGGAAATATCTTCTCCTAAAAACGACATAGAAGCATTCTCAGAAACTGCTCTGTGATGATTGCATTCAACTCCCAGGAGTTGAACATTCCTTTTGATAGAGCAGTTTGCAAACACTCTTTTTGTAGAATCTGCAAGTGGAGATTTGGACCGCTTTGAGGCCTGTGGTAGTGAAGGAAAGAACTTCATATAAAAACCAGACGGTAGCACTCTCAGAAAATTCTTTGTGACGATGGAGTTTAACTCAGGGAGCTGAACATTCGTTATGATGGAGCAGTTTCCAAACACACGTTTTGTAGAATCTGCAAGGGGATATTTGGACCTCTCTGAGGATTTCGTTGGAAACGGGATCAACTTCCCATAACTGAACGGAAGCAAACTCAGAACATTCTTTGTGATGTTTGTATTCAACTCACAGAGTTGAACCTTCCATTGATAGTTCAGGTTTGCAACACCCTTGTAGTAGAATCTGCAAGTGTATATTTTGACCACTTTGTAGCCCTTCGTTTGAAACGTCTATATCTTCACATCAAACCTAGACAGAAGCATTCTCAGAAAGTTTTCTGCGATGACTGCATTCAACTCACAGAGTTGAACAATCCTTCTGATGGAGCAGTTTTGAAACCCTCTTTCTTTGGAATCTGCAAGGGGATATGTGGACCTCTTTGAAGATTTCACTGGAAACGGGATCATCTTCACATAAAAACTAAACAGAAGCATTCTCGGAAACTACTTTGTGATGTTTGTATTCAACTCCCAGAGTTGAACTTTCCTTTTGAAAGAGCAGCTATGAAACACTCTTTTTCGAGAATCTGCAAGTGGACGTTTGGAGGGCTTTGAGGCCTGTGGTGGAAAAGGAAATATCTTCACATAAAGACTAGATAGAAGCATTCTCAGAAACGACTTTGTGAGGATGGCATTCAACTCATGGAGTTGAACAATCCTATTGATAGAGCAGATTGGAATCACTCTTTTTGTAGAATCTGCAAATGGAGATTTGGACTGCTTTGAGGCCTACGGTCGTATAGGAAGGAACTTCATATAAAAGGCAAACGGAAGCATTCTCAGAATATTCTTTGTGATGATGGAGTTTCACTCACAGACCTGAACATGCCTTTTGATGGAGCAGTTTCCAAATACACTTTTGGTAGAATCAGCAGGTGGATATTTGGAGCTCTCTGAGGATTTCGTTGGAAACGGGAATAATTTCCCATAACTAAACACAAAACACTCTGAGAAAGTTCTTCATGATGAATGCATTTAACTCGCAGAGATGAACCTGCCTTTGAGAGTTCAGGTTCGAAACACTCTTTCTGTATAATCTGCAAGTGGATATTTGGACCACTGGGTGGCCTTCGTTCGAAACGGGTATATGTTCACGTAAAAACTAAAGAGAAGCATTCTCAGAAACTTCTGAGTGATGATTGCATTCAAGTCACACAGTTGAACCCTCCTTTTGATGGAGCAGTTTTGAAACTGTCTTTTTGTAGAATCTGTAAGTGGATGCGTGGACCTCTTTGAAGATTTCTTTGGAAACGGGAATATTTCCACAGAAAAACTAAACTGAAGCATTCTCAGAAACCGCTTTGTGATGTTTGTGTTCGAGCCGCAGAGTTTAACATTGCTTTTCATAGAGCAGTTTTGAAATATTCTTTTGGCAGAATCTGCAAGTGGACATTTGGAGCGCTTTCAGGCCTGTGGTGGAAAAGGCCTGAAAGCCTTTTCCTTTATCTTCACAGAAAGACGAGAGAGAAGCATTGTCAGAAACTTCTTTGTGATGATTGCATTCAACTCACAGAGTTGAAGATTCCTTTTGAAACAGCAGTTTCGAAACTCTCTTTCTGTGGGATCCGCAAGGGGATATTTGGACCTCTTTGAAGGTTTCGTTGGAAACGGGATAATCTTCACCTAAAAGCTAAACGGAAGCATTCTCAGAAACTTCTTTGGGATGTTTGCATTCACCTCACAGAGTTGAACTTTCCCTTTGATAGCGCAGCTTTGACACACTTTTTCTACAATGTGCAAGTGGCTATTTAGCAGGCTTGGAGGACTGTGTTGGAAAAGGAAATATCTTCTAAAAACGACATAGAAGCATTCTCAGAAACTGCTCTGTGATGATTGCATTCAACTCCCAGAGTTGAACATTCCTTTTGATAGAGCAGTTTGCAAACACTCTTTTTGTAGAATCTGCAAGTGGAGATTTGGACCGCTTTGAGGCCTGTGGTAGTGAAGGAAAGAACTTCATATAAAAACCAGACGGTAGCACTCTCAGAAAATTCTTTGTGACGATGGAGTTTAACTCAGGGAGCTGAACATTCGTTATGATGGAGCAGTTTCCAAACACACGTTTTGTAGAATCTGCGAGGGGATATTTGGACCTCTCTGAGGATTTCTTTGGAAACGGGATCAACTTCCCATAACTGAACGGAAGCAAACTCAGAACATTCTTTGTGATGTTTGTATTCAACTCACAGAGTTGAACCTTCCTTTGATAGTTCAGGTTTGCAACACCCTTGTAGTAGAATCTGCAAGTGTATATTTTGACCACTTTGTAGCCTTCGTTTGAAACGTCTATATCTTCACATCAAACCTAGAAAGAAGCATTCTCAGAAAGTTTTCTGCGATGACTGCATTCAACTCACAGAGTTGAACAATCCTTCTGATGGAGCAGTTTTGAAACCCTCTTTCTTTGGAATCTGCAAGGGGATATGTGGACCTCTTTGAAGATTTCACTGGAAACGGGATCATCTTCACATAAAAACTAAACAGAAGCATTCTCGGAAACTACTTTGTGATGTTTGTATTCAACTGCCAGAGTTGAACTTTCCTTTTGAAAGAGCAGCTATGAAACACTCTTTTTCGAGAATCTGCAAGTGGACGTTTGGAGGGCTTTGAGGCCTGTGGTGGAAAAGGAAATATCTTCACATAAAAACTAGATAGAAGCATTCTCAGAAACTACTTTGTGAGGATGGCATTCAACTCATGGAGTTGAACAATCCTATTGATAGAGCAGATTGGAATCACTCTTTTTGTAGAATCTGCAAATGGAGATTTGGACTGCTTTGAGGCCTACGGTAGTACAGGAAGGAACTTCATATAAAAGGCAAACGGAAGCATTCTCAGAATATTCTTTGTGATGATGGAGTTTCACTCACAGAGCTGAACATGCCTTTTGATGGAGCAGTTTCCAAATACACTTTTGGTAGAATCTGCAGGTGGATATTTGGAGCTCTCTGAGGATTTCGTTGGAAACGGGAATAATTTCCCATAACTAAACACAAACACTCTGAGAAAGTTCTTCATGATGAATGCATTTAACTCGCAGAGATGAACCTGCCTTTGAGAGTTCAGGTTCGAAACACTCTTTCTGTAGAATCTGCAAGTGGATATTTGGACCACTGGCTGGGTTCGTTCGAAACGGGTATATGTTCACGTAAAAACTAAAGAGAAGCGTTCTCAGAAACTTCTGAGTGATGATTGCATTCAAGTCACACAGTTGAACCCTCCTTTTGATTGAGCAGTTTTGAAACTGTCTTTTTGTAGAATCTGTAAGTGGATGCGTGGACCTCTTTGAAGATTTCTTTGGAAACGGGAATATTTCCACAGAAAAACTAAACTGAAGCATTCTCAGAAACGGCTTTGTGATGTTTGTGTTCGAGCCACAGAGTTTAACATTGCTTTTCATAGAGCAGTTTTGAAATATTCTTTTGGCAGAATCTGCAAGTGGACATTTGGAGCACGTTCAGGCCTGTGGTGGAAAAGGCCTGAAAGCCTTTTCCTTTACCTTCACAGAAAGACGAGAGAGAAGCATTGTCAGAAACTTCTTTGTGATGATTGCATTCAACTCACAGAGTTGAAGATTCCTTTTGAAACAGCAGTTTCGAAACACTCTTTCTGTGGGATCCGCAGGGGGATATTTGGACCTCTTTGAAGATTTCGTTGGAAACGGGATAATCTTCACCTAAAAGCTAAACGGAAGCATTCTCAGAAACTTCTTTGGGATGTTTGCATTCACCTCACAGAGTTGAACTTTCCCTTTGATAGCGCAGCTTCGACACACTTTTTCTACAATGTGCAAGTGGCTATTTAGCGGGCTTGGAGGACTGTGTTGGAAAAGGAAATATCTTCTCCTAAAAACGACATAGAAGCATTCTCAGAAACTGCTCTGTGATGATTGCATTCAACTCCCAGAGTTGAACATTCCTTTTGATAGAGCAATTTGCAAACACTCTTTTTGTAGAATCTGCAAGTGGAGATTTGGACCGCTTTGAGGCCTGTGGTAGTAAAGGAAAGAACTTCATATAAAAAGTAGACGGTAGCACTCTCAGAAAATTCTTTGTGACGATGGAGTTTAACTCAGAGAGCTGAACATTCGTTATGATGGAGCAGTTTCCAAACACACGTTTTGTAGAATCTGCAAGGGGATATTTGGACCTCTCTGAGGATTTCGTTGGAAACGGGATCAACTTCCCATAACTGAACGGAAGCAAACTCAGAACATTCTTTATGATGTTTGAATTCAACTCACAGAGTTGAACCTTCCTTTGATAGTTCAGGTTTGCAACACCCTTGTAGTAGAATCTGCAAGTGTATATTTTGACCACTTTGTAGCATTCGTTTGAAACGTCTATATCTTCACATCAAACCTAGACAGAACCATTCTCAGAAAGTTTTCTGCGATGACTGCATTCAACTCACAGAGGTGAACAATCCTTTTGATGGAGCAGTTTTGAAACCCTCTTTCTTTGGAATCTGCAAGGGGATATGTGGACCTCTTTGAAGATTTCACTGGAAACGGGATCATCTTCACATAAGAACTAAACAGAAGCATTCTCGGAAACTACTTTGTGATGTTTGTATTCAGCTCCCAGAGTTGAACTTTCCTTTTGAAAGAGCAGCTATGAAACACACTTTTTCGAGAATCTGCAAGTGGACGTTTGGAGGGCTTTGAGGCCTGTGGTGGAAAAGGAAATATCTTCACATAAAAACTAGATAGAAGCATTCTCAGAAACTACTTTGTGAGGATGGCATTCAACTCATGGAGTTGAACAATCCTATTGATAGAGCAGATTGGAATCACTCTTTTTGTAGAATCTGCAAATGGAGATTTGGACTGCTTTGAGGCCTACGGTAGTATAGGAAGGAACTTCATATAAAAGGCAAACGGAAGCATTCTCAGAATATTCTTTGTGATGACGGAGTTTCACTCACAGAGCTGAACATGCCTTTTCATGGAGCAGTTTCCAAATACACTTTTGGTAGAATCTGCAGGTGGATATTTGGAGCTCTCTGAGGATTTCGTTGGAAACGGGAATAATTTCCCATAACTAAACACAAACACGCTGAGAAAGTTCTTCATGATGAATGCATTTAACGCGCAGAGATGAACCTGCCTTTGAGAGTTCAGGTTCGAAACACTCTTTCTGTAGAATCTGCAAGTGGATATTTGGACCACTGGCTGGCCTTCGTTCGAAACGGGTATATGTTCACGTAAAAACTAAAGAGAAGCGTTCTCAGAAACTTCTGAGTGATGATTGCATTCCAGTCACACAGTTGAACCCTCCTTTTGATTGAGCAGTTTTGAAACTGTCTTTTTGTAGAATCTGTAAGTGGATGCGTGGACCTCTTTGAAGATTTCTTTGGAAACGGGAATATTTCCACAGAAAAACTAAACTGAAGCATTCTCAGAAACCGCTTTGTGATGTTTGTGTTCGAGCCACAGAGTTTAACATTGCTTTTCATAGAGCAGTTTTGAAATATTCTTTTGGCAGAATCTGCAAGTGGACATTTGGAGCGCTTTCAGGCCTGTGGTGGAAAAGGCCTGAAAGCCTTTTCCTTTATCTTCACAGAAAGACGAGAGAGAAGCATTGTCAGAAACTTCTTTGTGATGATTGCATTCAACTCACAGAGTTGAAGATTCCTTTTGAAACAGCAGTTTCGAAACACTCTTTCTGTGGGATCCGCAAGGGGATATTTGGACCTCTTTGAAGGTTTCGTTGGAAACGGGATAATCTTCACCTAAAAGCTAAACGGAAGCATTCTCAGAAACTTCTTTGGGATGTTTGCATTCACCTCACAGAGTTGAACTTTCCCTTTGATAGCGCAGCTTTGACACACTTTTTCTACAATGTGCAAGTGGCTATTTAGCGGGCTTGGAGGACTGTGTTGGAAAAGGAAATATCTTCTCCTAAAAACGACATAGAAGCATTCTCAGAAACTGCTCTGTGATGATTGCATTCAACTCCCAGAGTTGAACATTCCTTTTGATAGAGCAGTTTGCAAACACTCTTTTTGTAGAATCTGCAAGTGGAGATTTGGACCGCTTTGAGGCCTGTGGTAGTGAAGGAAAGAACTTCATATAAAAACCAGACGGTAGCACTCTCAGAAAATTCTTTGTGACGATGGAGTTTAACTCAGGGAGCTGAACATTCGTTATGATGGAGCAGTTTCCAAACACACGTTTTGTAGAATCTGCAAGGGGATATTTGGACCTCTCTGAGGATTTCGTTGGAAACGGGATCAACTTCCCATAACTGAACGGAAGCAAACTCAGAACATTCTTTGTGATGTTTGTATTCAACTCACAGAGTTGAACCTTCCTTTGATAGTTCAGGTTTGCAACACCCTTGTAGTAGAATCTGCAAGTGTATATTTTGACCACTTTGTAGCCTTCGTTTGAAATATCTATATCTTCACATCAAACATAGACAGAAGCATTCTCAGAAAGTTTTCTGCGATGACTGCATTCAACTCACAGAGTTGAACAATCCTTCTGATGGAGCAGTTTTGAAACCCTCTTTCTTTGGAATCTGCAAGGGGATATGTGGACCTCTTTGAAGATTTCACTGGAAACGGGATCATCTTCACATAAAAACTAAACAGAAGCATTCTCGGAAACTACTTTGTGATGTTTGTATTCAACTCCCAGAGTTGAACTTTCCTTTTGAAAGAGCAGCTATGAAACACTGTTTTTCGAGAATCTGCAGGTGGACGTTTGGAGGGCTTTGAGGCCTGTGGTGGAAAAGGAAATATCTTCACATAAAAACTAGATAGAAGCATTCTCAGAAACGACTTTGTGAGGATGGCATTCAACTCATGGAGTTGAACAATCCTATTGATAGAGCAGATTGGAATCACTCTTTTTGTAGAATCTGCAAATGGAGATTTGGACTGCTTTGAGGCCTACGGTCGTATAGGAAGGAACTTCATATAAAAGGCAAACGGAAGCATTCTCAGAATATTCTTTGTGATGATGGAGTTTCACTCACAGAGCGGAACATGCCTTTTGATGGAGCAGTTTCCAAATACACTTTTGGTAGAATCTGCAGGTGGATATTTGGAGCTCTCTGAGGATTTCGTTGGAAACGGGAATAATTTCCCATAACTAAACACAAACACGCTGAGAAAGTTCTTCATGATGAATGCATTTAACTTGCAGAGATGAACCTGCCTTTGAGAGTTCAGGTTCGAAACACTCTTTCTGTATAATCTGCAAGTGGATATTTGGACCAGTGGGTGGCCTTCGTTCGAAACGGGTATATGTTCACGTAAAAACTAAAGAGAAGCATTCTCAGAAACTTCTGAGTGATGATTGCATTCAAGTCACACAGTTGAACCCTCCTTTTGATGGAGCAGTTTTGAAACTGTCTTTTTGTAGAATCTGTAAGTGGATACGTGGACCTCTTTGAAGATTTCTTTGGAAACGGGAATATTTCCACAGAAAAACTAAACTGAAGCATTCTCAGAAACTGCTTTGTGATGTTTGTGTTCGAGCCGCAGAGTTTAACATTGCTTTTCATAGAGCAGTTTTGAAATATTCTTTTGGCAGAATCTGCAAGTGGACATTTGGAGCGCTTTCAGGCCTGTGGTGGCAAAGGCCTGAAAGCCTTTTCCTTTATCTTCACAGAAAGACGAGAGAGAAGCATTGTCAGAAACTTCTTTGTGATGATTGCATTCAACTCACAGAGTTGAAAATTCCTTTTGAAACAGCAGTTTCGAAACACTCTTTCTGTGGGATCCGCAAGGGGATATTTGGACCTCTTTGAAGATTTCGTTGGAAACGGGATAATCTTCACTTAAAGCTAAACGGAAGCATTCTCAGAAACTTCTTTGGGATGTTTGCATTCACCTCACAGAGTTGAACTTTCCCTTTGATAGCGCAGCTTCGACACACTTTTTCTACAATGTGCAAGTGGATATTTAGCGGGCTTGGAGGACTGTGTTGGAAAAGGAAATATCTTCTCCTAAAAACGACATAGAAGCATTCTCAGAAACTGCTCTGTGATGATTGCATTCAACTCCCAGAGTTGAACATTCCTTTTGATAGAGCAATTTGCAAACACTCTTTTTGTAGAATCTGCAAGTGGAGATTTGGACCGCTTTGAGGCCTGTGGTAGTAAAGGAAAGAACTTCATATAAAAAGTAGACGGTAGCACTCTCAGAAAATTCTTTGTGACGATGGAGTTTAACTCAGAGAGCTGAACATTCGTTATGATGGAGCAGTTTCCAAACACACGTTTTGTAGAATCTGCAAGGGGATATTTGGACCTCTCTGAGGATTTCGTTGGAAACGGGATCAACTTCACATAACTGAACGGAAGCAAACTCAGAACATTCTTTGTGATGTTTGCATTCGTCTCACAGAGTTGAACCTTCCTTTGATAGTTGAGGTTTGCAACACCCTTGTAGTAGAATCTGCAAGTGTATATTTTGACCACTTTGTAGCCTTCGTTTGAAACGTCTATATCTTCACATCAAACCTAGACAGAAGCATTCTCAGAAAGTTTTCTGCGATGACTGCATTCAACTCACAGAGCTGAACAATCCTTCTGATGGAGCAGTTTTGAAACCCTCTTTCTTTGGAATCTGCAAGGGGATATGTGGACCTCTTTGAAGATTTCACTGGAAACGGGATCATCTTCACATAAAAACTAAACAGAAGCATTCTCGGAAACTACTTTGTGATGTTTGTATTCAACTCCCAGAGTTGAACTTTCCTTTTGAAAGAGCAGCTATGAAACACTCTTTTTCGAGAATCTGCAAGTGGACGTTTGGAGGGCTTTGAGGCCTGTGGTGGAAAAGGAAATATCTTCACATAAAAACTAGATAGAAGCATTCTCACAAACGACATTGTGAGGATGGAATTCAACTCATGGAGTTGAACAATCCTATTGATAGAGCAGATTGGAATCACTCTTTTTGTAGAATCTGCAAATGGAGATTTGGACTGCTTTGAGGCCTACGGTAGTATAGGAAGGAACTTCATATAAAAGGCAAACGGAAGCATTCTCAGAATATTCTTTGTGATGATGGAGTTTCACTCACAGAGCTGAACATGCCTTTTGATGGAGCAGTTTCCAAATACACTTTTGGTAGAATCTGCAGGTGGATATTTGGAGCTCTCTGAGGATTTCGTTGGAAACGGGAATAATTTCCCATAACTAAACACAAACACTCTGAAGAAAGTTCTTCATGATGAATGCATTTAACTCGCAGAGATGAACCTGCCTTTGAGAGTTCAGGTTCGAAACACTCTTTCTGTAGAATCTGCAAGTGGATATTTGGACCACTGGGTGGCCTTCGTTCGAAACGGGTATATGTTCACGTAAAAACTAAAGAGAAGCATTCTCAGATACTTCTGAGTGATGATTGCATTCAAGTCACACGGTTGAACACTCCTTTTGATGGAGCAGTTTTGAAACTGTCTTTTTGTAGAATCTGTAAGTGGATACGTGGACCTCTTTGAAGATTTCTTTGGAAACGGGAATATTTCCACAGAAAAACTAAACTGAAGCATTCTCAGAAACCGCTTTGTGATGTTTGTGTTCGAGCCACAGAGTTTAACATTGCTTTTCATAGAGCAGTTTTGAAATATTCTTTTGGCAGAATCTGCAAGTGGACATTTGGAGCGCTTTCAGGCCTGTGGTGGAAAAGGCCTGAAAGCCTTTTCCTTTACCTTCACAGAAAGACGAGAGAGAAGCATTGTCAGAAACTTCTTTGTGATGATTGCATTCAACTCACAGAGTTGAAGATTCCTTTTGAAACAGCAGTTTCGAAACACTCTTTCTGTGGGATCCGCAAGGGGATATTTGGACCTCTTTGAAGGTTTCGTTGGAAACGGGATAATCTTCACCTAAAAGCTCAACGGAAGCATTCTCAGAAACTTCTTTGGGATGTTTGCATTCACCTCACAGAGTTGAACTTTCCCTTTGATAGCGCAGCTTTGACACACTTTTTCTACAATGTGCAAGTGGCTATTTAGCGGGCTTGGAGGACTGTGTTGGAAAAGGAAATATCTTCTCCTAAAAACGACATAGAAGCATTCTCAGAAACTGCTCTGTGATGATTGCATTCAACTCCCAGAGTTGAACATTCCTTTTGATAGAGCAGTTTGCAAACACTCTTTTTGTAGAATCTGCAAGTGGAGATTTGGACCGCTTTGAGGACTGGGGTAGTAAAGGAAAGAGCTTCATATAAAAAACAGACGGTAGCACTCTCAGAAAATTCTTTGTGACGATGGAGTTTAACTCAGGGAGCTGAACATTCGTTATGATGGAGCAGTTTCCGAACACACGTTTTGTAGAATCTGCAAGGGGATATTTGGACCTCTCTGAGGATTTCGTTGGAAACGGGATCAACTTCCCATAACTGAACGGAAGCAAACTCAGAACATTCTTTGTGATGTTTGTATTCAACTCCCAGAGTTGAAATTTCCTTTTGAAAGAGCAGCTATGAAACACTCTTTTTCGAGAATCTGCAAGTGGACGTTTGGAGGGCTTTGAGGCCTGTGGTGGAAAAGGAAATATCTTCACATAAAAACTAGATAGAAGCATTCTCAGAAACTACTTTGTGAGGATGGCATTCAACTCATGGAGTTGAACAATCCTATTGATAGAGCAGATTGGAATCACTCTTTTTGTAGAATCTGCAAATGGAGATTTGGACTGCTTTGAGGCCTACGGTAGTATAGGAAGGAACTTCATATAAAAGGCAAACGGAAGCATTCTCAGAATATTCTTTGTGATGATGGAGTTTCACTCACAGAGCTGAACATGCCTTTTGATGGAGCAGTTTCCAAATACACTTTTGGTAGAATCTGCAGGTGGATATTTGGAGCTCTCTGAGGATTTCGTTGGAAACGGGAATAATTTCCCATAACTAAACACAAACACTCTGAGAAAGTTCTTCATGATGAATGCATTTAACTCGCAGAGATGAACCTGCATTTGAGAGTTCAGGTTCGAAACACTCTTTCTGTAGAATCTGCAAGTTGATATTTGGACCACTGGCTGGCCTTCGTTCGAAACGGGTATATGTTCACGTAAAAACTAAAGAGAAGCATTCTCAGAAACTTCTGAGTGATGATTGCATTCAAGTCACACGGTTGAACCCTCCTTTTGATGGAGCAGTTTTGAAACTGTCTTTTTGTAGAATCTGTAAGTGGATACGTGGACCTCTTTGAAGATTTCTTTGGAAACGGGAATATTTCCACAGAAAAACTAAACTGAAGCATTCTCAGAAACCGCTTTGTGATGTTTGTGTTCGAGCCGCAGAGTTTAACATTGCTTTTCATAGAGCAGTTTTGAAATATTCTTTTGGCAGAATCTGCAAGTGGACATTTGGAGCGCTTTCAGGCCTGTGGTGGAAAAGGCCTGAAAGCCTTTTCCTTTATCTTCACAGAAAGATGAGAGAGAAGCATTGTCAGAAACTTCTTTGTGATGATTGCATTCAACTCACAGAGTTGAAGATTCCTTTTGAAACAGCAGTTTCGAAACACTCTTTCTGTGGGATCCGCAAGGGGATATTTGGACCTCTTTGAAGGTTTCGTTGGAAACGGGATAATCTTCACCTAAAAGCTAAATGGAAGCATTCTCAGAAACTTCTTTGGGATGTTTGCATTCACCTCACAGAGTTGAACTTTCCCTTTGATAGCGCAGCTTTGACACACTTTTTCTACAATGTGCAAGTGGCTATTTAGCGGGCTTGGAGGACTGTGTTGGAAAAGGAAATATCTTCTAAAAACGACATAGAAGCATTCTCAGAAACTGCTCTGTGATGATTGCATTCAACTCCCAGAGTTGAACATTCCTTTTGATAGAGCAGTTTGCAAACACTCTTTTTGTAGAATCTGCAAGTGGAGATTTGGACCGCTTTGAGGCCTGTGGTAGTGAAGGAAAGAACTTCATATAAAAACCAGACGGTAGCACTCTCAGAAAATTCTTTGTGACGATGGAGTTTAACTCAGGGAGCTGAACATTCGTTATGATGGAGCAGTTTCCAAACACACGTTTTGTAGAATCTGCAAGGGGATATTTGGACCTCTCTGAGGATTTCGTTGGAAACGGGATCAACTTCCCATAACTGAACGGAAGCAAACTCAGAACATTCTTTGTGATGTTTGTATTCAATTCACAGAGTTGAACCTTCCTTTGATAGTTCAGGTTTGCAACACCCTTGTAGTAGAATCTGCAAGTGTATATTTTGACCACTTTGTAGCCTTCGTTTGAAACGTCTATATCTTCACATCAAACCTAGACAGAAGCATTCTCAGAAAGTTTTCTGCGATGACTGCATTCAACTCACAGAGTTGAACAATCCTTCTGATGGAGCAGTTTTGAAACCCTCTTTCTTTGGAATCTGCAAGGGGATATGTGGACCTCTTTGAAGATTTCACTGGAAACGGGATCATCTTCACATAAAAACTAAACAGAAGCATTCTCGGAAACTATTTTGTGATGTTTGTATTCAACTCCCAGAGTTGAACTTTCCTTTTGAAAGAGTAGCTATGAAACACTCTTTTTCGAGAATCTGCAAGTGGACGTTTGGAGGGCTTTGAGGCCTGTGGTGGAAAAGGAAATATCTTCACACAAAAACCAGATAGAAGCATTCTCAGAAACGACTTTGTGAGGATGGCATTCAACTCATGGAGTTGAACAATCCTATTGATAGAGCAGATTGGAATCACTCTTTTTGTAGAATCTGCAAATGGAGATTTGGACTGCTTTGAGGCCTACGGTAGTACAGGAAGGAACTTCATATAAAAGGCAAACGGAAGCATTCTCAGAATATTCTTTGTGATGATGGAGTTTCACTCACAGAGCTGAACATGCCTTTTGATGGAGCAGTTTCCAAATACACTTTTGGTAGAATCTGCAGGTGGATATTTGGAGCTCTCTGAGGATTTCGTTGGAAACGGGAATAATTTCCCATAACTAAACACAAACACTCTGAGAAAGTTCTTCATGATGAATGCATTTAACTCGCAGAGATGAACCTGCCTTTGAGAGTTCAGGTTCGAAACATTCTTTCTGTAGAATCTGCAAGTGGATATTTGGACCACTGGCTGGCCTTGGTTCGAAAAGGTTATATGTTCACGTAAAAACTAAAGAGAAGCATTCTCAGAAACTTCTGAGTGATGATTGCATTCAAGTCACACAGTTGAACCCTCCTTTTGATGGAGCAGTTTTGAAACTGTCTTTTTGTAGAATCTGTAAGTGGATACGTGGACCTCTTTGAAGATTTCTTTGGAAACGGGAATATTTCCACAGAAAAACTAAACTGAAGCATTCTCAGAAACCGCTTTGTGATGTTTGTGTTCGAGCCACAGAGTTTAACATTGCTTTTCATAGAGCAGTTTTGAAATATTCTTTTGGCAGAATCTGCAAGTGGACATTTGGAGCGCTTTCAGGCCTGTGGTGGAAAAGGGCCTGAAAGCCTTTTCCTTTATCTTCACAGAAAGACGAGAGAGAAGCATTGTCAGAAACTTCTTTGTGATGATTGCATTCAACTCACAGAGTTGAAGATTCCTTTTGAAACAGCAGTTTCGAAACACTCTTTCTGTGGGATCCGCAAGGGGATATTTGGACCTCTTTGAAGGTTTCGTTGGAAACGGGATAATCTTCACCTAAAAGCTAAACGGAAGCATTCTCAGAAACTTCTTTGGGATGTTTGCATTCACCTCACAGAGTTGAACTTTCCCTTTGATAGCGCAGCTTTGACACACTTTTTCTACAATGTGCAAGTGGCTATTTAGCGGGCTTGGAGGACTGTGTTGGAAAAGGAAATATCTTCTCCTAAAAACGACATAGAAGCATTCGCAGAAACTGCTCTGTGATGATTGCATTCAACTCCCAGAGTTGAACATTCCTTTTGATAGAGCAGTTTGCAAACACTCTTTTTGTAGAATCTGCAAGTGGAGATTTGGACCGCTTTGAGGCCTGTGGTAGTGAAGGAAAGAACTTCATATAAAAACCAGACGGTAGCACTCTCAGAAAATTCTTTGTGACGATGGAGTTTAACTCAGGGAGCTGAACATTCGTTATGATGGAGCAGTTTCCAAACACACGTTTTGTAGAATCTGCAAGGGGATATTTGGACCTCTCTGAGGATTTCGTTGGAAACGGGATCAACTTCCCATAACTGAACGGAAGCAAACTCAGAACATTCTTTGTGATGTTTGTATTCAACTCACAGAGTTGAACCTTCCTTTGATAGTTCAGGTTTGCAACACCCTTGTAGTAGAATCTGCAAGTGTATATTTTGACCACTTTGTAGCCTTCGTTTGAAAGTTCTATATCTTCACATGAAACCTAGACAGAAGCATTCTCAGAAAGTTTTCTGCGATGACTGCATTCAACTCACAGAGTTGAACAATCCTTCTGATGGAGCAGTTTTGAAACCCTCTTTCTTTGGAATCTGCAAGGGGATATGTGGACCTCTTTGAAGATTTCACTGGAAACGGGATCATCTTCACATAAAAACTAAACAGAAGCATTCTCGGAAACTACTTTGTGATGTTTGTATTCAACTCCCAGAGTTGAACTTTCCTTTTGAAAGAGCAGCTATGAAACACTCTTTTTCGAGAATCTGCAAGTGGACGTTTGGAGGGCTTTGAGGCCTGTGGTGGAAAAGGAAATATCTTCACATAAAAACTAGATAGAAGCATTCTCAGAAACGACTTTGTGAGGATGGCATTCAACTCATGGAGTTGAACAATCCTATTGATAGAGCAGATTGGAATCACTCTTTTTGTAGAATCTGCAAATGGAGATTTGGACTGCTTTGAGGCCTACGGTCGTATAGGAAGGAACTTCATATAAAAGGCAAACGGAAGCATTCTCAGAATATTCTTTGTGATGATGGAGTTTCACTCACAGAGCTGAACATGCCTTTTGATGGAGCAGTTTCCAAATACACTTTTGGTAGAATCTGCAGGTGGATATTTGGAGCTCTTTGAGGATTTCGTTGGAAACGGGAATAATTTTCCATAACTAAACACAAACACGCTGAGAAAGTTCTTCATGATGAATGCATTGAACTCGCAGAGATGAACCTGCCTTTGAGAGTTCAGATTCGAAACACTCTTTCTGTAGAATCTGCAAGTGGATATTTGGACCACTGGCTGGCCTTCGTTCGAAACGGGTATATGTTCACGTAAAAACTAAAGAGAAGCGTTCTCAGAAACTTCTGAGTGATGATTGCATTCAAGTCACACAGTTGAACCCTCCTTTTGATTGACCAGTTTTGAAACTGTCTTTTTGTAGAATCTGTAAGTGGATACGTGGACCTCTTTGAAGATTTCTTTGGAAACGGGAATATATCCACAGAAAAACTAAACTGAAGCATTCTCAGAAACCGCTTTGTGATGTTTGTGTTTGAGCCGCAGAGTTTAACATTGCTTTTCATAGAGCAGTTTTGAAATATTCTTTTGGCAGAATCTGCAAGTGGACATTTGGAGCGCTTTCAGGCCTGTGGTGGAAAAGGCCTGAAAGCCTTTTCCTTTATCTTCACAGAAAGACGAGAGAGAAGCATTGTCAGAAACTTCTTTGTGATGATTGCATTCAACTCACAGAGTTGAAGATTCCTTTTGAAACAGCAGTTTCGAAACACTCTTTCTGTGGGATCCGCAAGGGGATATTTGGACCTCTTTGAAGGTTTCGTTGGAAACGGGATAATCTTCACCTAAAAGCTAAACGGAAGCATTCTCAGAAACATCTTTGGGATGTTTGCATTCACCTCACAGAGTTGAACTTTCCCTTTGATAGCGCAGCTTTGACACACTTTTTCTACAATGTGCAAGTGGCTATTTAGCGGGCTTGGAGGACTGTGTTGGAAAAGGAAATATCTTCTCCTAAAAACGACATAGAAGCATTCTCAGAAACTGCTCTGTGATGATTGCATTCAACTCCCAGAGTTGAACATTCCTTTTGATAGAGCAATTTGCAAACACTCTTTTTGTAGAATCTGCAAGTGGAGATTTGGAACGCTTTGAGGCCTGTGGTAGTAAAGGAAAGAACTTCATATAAAAAGTAGACGGTAGCAGTCTCAGAAAATTGTTTGTGACGATGGAGTTTAACTCAGAGAGCTGAACATTCGTTATGATGGAGCAGTTTCCAAACACACGTTTTGTAGAATCTGCAAGGGGATATTTGGACCTCTCTGAGGATTTCGTTGGAAACGGGATCAACTTCCCATAACTGAACGGAAGCAAACTCAGAACATTCTTTGTGATGTTTGCATTCATCTCACAGAGTTGAACCTTCCTTTGATAGTTGAGGTTTGCAGCACCCTTGTAGGAGAATCTGCAAGTGTATATTTTGACCACTTTGTAGCCTTCGTTTGAAACGTCTATATCTTCACATCAAACCTAGACAGAAGCATTCTCAGAAAGTTTTCTGCGATGACTGCATTCAACTCACAGAGTTGAACAATCCTTTTGATGGAGCAGTTTTGAAACCCTCTTTTTTTGGAATCTGCAAGGGGATATGTGGACCTCTTTGAAGATTTCACTGGAAACGGGATCATCTTCACATAAGAACTAAACAGAAGCATTCTCGGAAACTACTTTGTGATGTTTGTATTCAACTCCCAGAGTTGAACTTTCCTTTTGAAAGAGCAGCTATGAAACACTCTTTTTCGAGAATCTGCAAGTGGACGTTTGGAGGGCTTTGAGGCCTGTGGTGGAAAAGGAAATATCTTCACATAAAAACTACATAGGAGCATTCTCAGAAACTACTTTGTGAGGATGGCATTCAACTCATGGAGTTGAACAATCCTATTGATAGAGCAGATTGGAATCACTCTTTTTGTAGAATCTGCAAATGGAGATTTGGACTGCTTTGAGGCCTACGGTAGTATAGGAAGGAACTTCATATAAAAGGCAAACGGAAGCATTCTCAGAATATTCTTTGTGATGACGGAGTTTCACTCACAGAGCTGAACATGCCTTTTCATGGAGCAGTTTCCAAATACAGTTTTGGTACAATCTGCAGGTGGATATTTGGAGCTCTCTGAGGATTTCGTTGGAAACGGGAATAATTTCCCATAACTAAACACAAACACGCTGAGAAAGTTCTTCATGATGAATGCATTTAACTCGCAGAGATGAACCTGCCTTTGAGAGTTCAGGTTTGAAACACTCTTTCTGTAGAATCTGCAAGTGGATATTTGGACCACTGGCTGGCCTTCGTTCGAAACGGGTATATGTTCACGTAAAAACTAAAGAGAAGCATTCTCAGAAACTTCTGAGTGATGATTGCATTCAAGTCACACAGTTGAACCCTCCTTTTGATTGAGCAGTTTTGAAACTGCCTTTTTGTAGAATCTGTAAGTGGATACGTGGACCTCTTTGAAGATTTCTTTGGAAACGGGAATATTTCCACAGAAAAACTAAACTGAAGCATTCTCAGAAACTGCTTTGTGATGTTTGTGTTCGAGCCGCAGAGTTTAACATTGCTTTTCATAGAGCAGTTTTGAAATATTCTTTTGGCAGAATCTGCAAGTGGACATTTGGAGTGCTTTCAGGCCTGTGGTGGAAAAGGCCTGAAAGACTTTTCCTTTATCTTCATAGAAGGACGAGAGAGAAGCATTGTCGGAAACTTCTTTGTGATGATTGCATTCAACTCACAGAGTTGAAGATTCCTTTTGAAACAGCAGTTTCGAAACACTCTTTCTGTGGGATCCGCAAGGGGATATTTGGACCTCTTTGAACATTTCGTTGGAAACGGGATAATCTTCACCTAAAAGCTAAACGGAAAGCATTCTCAGAAACTTCTTTGGGATGTTTGCATTCACCTCACAGAGTTGAACTTTCCCTTTGATAGCGCAGCTTCGACACACTTTTTCTACAATGTGCAAGTGGATATTTAGCGGGCTTGGAGGACTGTGTTGGAAAAGGAAATATCTTCTCCTAAAAACGACATAGAAGCATTCTCAGAAACTGCTCTGTGATGATTGCATTCAACTCCCAGAGTTGAACATTCCTTTTGATAGAGCAGTTTGCAAACACTCTTTTTGTAGAATCTGCCAGTGGAGATTTGGACCGCTTTGAGGCCTGTGGTAGTAAAGGAAAGAACTTCATATAAAAACCAGACGGTAGCACTCTCAGAAAATTCTTTGTGACGATGGAGTTTAACTCAGAGAGCTGAACATTCGTTATGATGGAGCAGTTTCCAAACACACGTTTTGTAGGATCTGCAAGGGGATATTTGGACCTCTCTGAGGATTTCGTTGGAAACGGGATCAACTTCCCATAACTGAACGGAAGCAAACTCAGAACATTCTTTGTGATGTTTGTATTCAACTCACAGAGTTGAACCTTCCTTTGATAGTTGAGGTTTGCAACACCCTTGTAGTAGAATCTGCAAGTGTATATTTTGACCACTTTGTAGCCTTCGTTTGAAACGTCTATATCTTCACCACAAACCTAGACAGAAGCATTCTCAGAAAGTTTTCTGCGATGACTGCATTCAACTCACAGAGTTGAACAATCCTTCTGATGGAGCAGTTTTGAAACCCTCTTTCTTTGGAATCTGCAAGGGGATATGTGGACCTCTTTGAAGATTTCACTGGAAACGGGATCATCTTCACATAAAAACTAAACAGAAGCATTCTCGGAAACTACTTTGTGATGTTTGTATTCAACTCCCAGAGTTGAACTTTCCTTTTGAAAGAGCAGCTATGAAACACTCTTTTTCGAGAATCTGCAAGTGGACGTTTGGAAGGCTTTGAGGCCTGTGGTGGAAAAGGAAATATCTTCACATAAAAACTAGATAGAAGCATTCTCAGAAACTACTTTGTGAGGATGGCATTCAACTCATGGAGTTGAACAATCCTATTGATAGAGCAGATTGGAATCACTCTTTTTATAGAATCTGCAAATGGAGATTTGGACTGCTTTGAGGCCTACGGTAGTACAGGAAGGAACTTCATATAAAAGGCAAACGGAAGCATTCTCAGAATATTCTTTGTGATGATGGAGTTTCACTCACAGAGCTGAACATGCCTTTTGATGGAGCAGTTTCCAAATACACTTTTGGTAGAATCTGCAGGTGGATATTTGGAGCTCTCTGAGGATTTCGTTGGAAACGGGAATAATTTCCCATAACTAAACACAAACACTCTGAGAAAGTTCTTCATGATGAATGCATTTAACTTGCAGAGATGAACCTGCCTTTGAGAGTTCAGGTTCGAAACACTCTTTCTGTAGAATCTGCAAGTGGATATTTGGACCACTGGGTGGCCTTCGTTCGAAACGGGTATATGTTCACGTAAAAACTAAAGAGAAGCATTCTCAGAAACTTCTGAGTGATGATTGCATTCAACTCACACAGTTGAACCCTCCTTTTGATGGAGCAGTTTTGAAACTGTCTTTTTGTAGAATCTGTAAGTGGATACGTGGACCTCTTTGAAGATTTCTTTGGAAACGGGAATATTTCCACAGAAAAACTAAACTGAAGCATTCTCAGAAACCGCTTTGTGATGTTTGTGTTCGAGCCACAGAGTTTAACATTGCTTTTCATAGAGCAGTTTTGAAATATTCTTTTGGCAGAATCTGCAAGTGGACATTTGGAGCGCTTTCAGGCCTGTGGGTGGAAAAGGCCTGAAAGCCTTTTCCTTTACCTTCACAGAAAGACGAGAGAGAAGCATTGTCAGAAACTTCTTTGTGATGATTGCATTCAACTCACAGAGTTGAAGATTCCTTTTGAAACAGCAGTTTCGAAACACTCTTTCTGTGGGATCCGCAAGGGGATATTTGGACCTCTTTGAAGGTTTCGTTGGAAACGGGATAATCTTCACCTAAAAGCTAAACGGAAGCATTCTCAGAAACTTCTTTGGGATGTTTGCATTCACCTCACAGAGTTGAACTTTCCCTTTGATAGCGCAGCTTCGACACACTTTTTCTACAATGTGCAAGTGGATATTTAGCGGGCTTGGAGGACTGTGTTGGAAAAGGAAATATCTTCTCCTAAAAACGACATAGAAGCATTCTCAGAAACTGCTCTGTGATGATTGCATTCAACTCCCAGAGTTGAACATTCCTTTTGATAGAGCAGTTTGCAAACACTGTTTTTGTAGAATCTGCAAGTGGAGATTTGGACCGCTTTGAGGCCTGAGGTAGTAAAGGAAAGAACTTCATATAAAAACCAGACGGTAGCACTCTCAGAAAATTTTTTGTGACGATGGAGTTTAACTCAGAGAGCTGAACATTCGTTATGATGGAGCAGTTTCCAAACACACGTTTTGTAGAATCTGCAAGGGGATATTTGGACCTCTCTGAGGATTTCGTTGGAAACGGGATCAACTTCCCATAACTGAACGGAAGCAAACTCAGAACATTCTTTGTGATGTTTGTATTCAACTCACAGAGTTGAACCTTCCTTTGATAGTTCAGGTTTGCAACACCCTTGTAGTAGAATCTGCAAGTGTATATTTTGACCACTTTGTAGCCTTCGTTTGAAACGTCTATATCTTCACCTCAAACCTAGACAGAAGCATTCTCAGAAAGTTTTCTGCGATGACTGCATTCAACTCACAGAGTTGAACAATCCTTTTGATGGAGCAGTTTTGAAACCCTCTTTCTTTGGAATCTGCAAGGGGATATGTGGACCTCTTTGAAGATTTCACTGGAAACGGGATCATCTTCACATAAGAACTAAACAGAAGCATTCTCCGAAACGACTTTGTGATGTTTGTATTCAACTCCCAGAGTTGAACATTCCTTTTGAAAGAGCAGCTATGAAACACTCTTTTTCGAGAATCTGCAAGTGGACGTTTGGAGGGCTTTGAGGCCTGTGGTGGAAAAGGAAATATCTTCACATAAAAACTAGATAGAAGCATTCTCAGAAACGACTTTGTGAGGATGGCATTCAACTCATGGAGTTGAACAATCCTATTGATAGAGCAGATTGGAATCACTCTTTTTGTAGAATCTGCAAATGGAGATTTGGACTGCTTTGAGGCCTACGGTAGTATAGGAAGGAACTTCATATAAAAGGCAAACGGAAGCATTCTCAGAATATTCTTTGTGATGATGGAGTTTCACTCACAGAGCTGCACATGCCTTTTCATGGAGCAGTTTCCAAATACACTTTTGGTAGAATCTGCAGGTGGATATTTGGACCTCTCTGAGGATTTCGTTGGAAACGGGAATAATTTCCCATACCTAAACACAAATACGCTGAGAAAGTTCTTCATGATGAATGCATTTAACTCGCAGAGATGAACCTGCCTTTGAGAGTTCAGGTTCGAAACACTCTTTCTGTAGAATCTGCAAGTGGATATTTGGACCACTGGCTGGCCTTCGTTCGAAACGGGTATATGTTCACGTAAAAACTAAAGAGAAGCGTTCTCAGAAACTTCTGAGTGATGATTGCATTCAAGTCACACAGTTGAACCCTCCTTTTGATTGAGCAGTTTTGAAACTGTCTTTTTGTAGAATCTGTAAGTGGATGTGTGGACCTCTTTGAAGATTTCTTTGGAAACGGGAATATTTCCACAGAAAAACTAAACTGAACATTCTCAGAAACCGCTTTGTGATGTTTGTGTTCGAGCCACAGAGTTTAACATTGCTTTTCATAGAGCAGTTTTGAAATATTCTTTTGGCAGAATCTGCAAGTGGACATTTGGAGCGCTTTCAGGCCTGTGGTGGCAAAGGCCTGAAAGCCTTTTCCTTTATCTTCACAGAAAGACGAGAGAGAAGCATTGTCAGAAACTTCTTTGTGATGATTGCATTCAACTCACAGAGTTGAAGATTCCTTTTGAAACAGCAGTTTCGAAACACTCTTTCTGTGGGATCCGCAAGGGGATATTTGGACCTCTTTGAAGGTTTCGTTGGAAACGGGATAATCTTCACCTAAAAGCTAAACGGAAGCATTCTCAGAAACTTCTTTGGGATGTTTGCATTCACCTCACAGAGTTGAACTTTCCCTTTGATAGCGCAGCTTCGACACACTTTTTCTACAATGTGCAAGTGGCTATTTAGCGGGCTTGGAGGACTGTGTTGGAAAAGGAAATATCTTCTCCTAAAAACGACATAGAAGCATTCTCAGAAACTGCTCTGTGATGATTGCATTCAACTCCCAGAGTTGAACATTCCTTTTGATAGAGCAGTTTGCAAACACTCTTTTTGTAGAATCTGCAAGTGGAGATTTGGACCGCTTTGAGGTCTGTGGTAGTGAAGGAAAGAACTTCATATAAAAACCAGACGGTAGCACTCTCAGAAAATTCTTTGTGACGATGGAGTTTAACTCAGGGAGCTGAACATTCGTTATGATGGAGCAGTTTCCAAACACACGTTTTGTAGAATCTGCAAGGGGATATTTGGACCTCTCTGAGGATTTCGTTGGAAACGGGATCAACTTCCCATAACTGAACGGAAGCAAACTCAGAACATTCTTTGTGATGTTTGTATTCAACTCACAGAGTTGAACCTTCCTTTGATAGTTCAGGTTTGCAACACCCTTGTAGTAGAATCTGCAAGTGTATATTTTGACCACTTTGTAGCCTTCGTTTGAAACGTCTATATCTTCACATCAAACCTAGACAGAAGCATTCTCAGAAAGTTTTCTGCGATGACTGCATTCAACTCACAGAGTTGAACAATCCTTCTGATGGAGCAGTTTTGAAACCCTCTTTCTTTGGAATCTGCAAGGGGATATGTGGACCTCTTTGAAGATTTCACTGGAAACGGGATCATCTTCACATAAAAACTAAACAGAAGCATTCTCGGAAACTACTTTGTGATGTTTGTATTCAACTCCCAGAGTTGAACTTTCCTTTTGAAAGAGCAGCTATGAAACACTCCTTTTCGAGAATCTGCAAGTGGACGTTTGGAGGGCTTTGAGGCCTGTGGTGGAAAAGGAAATATCTTCACATAAAAACTAGATAGAAGCATTCTCAGAAACGACTTTGTGAGGATGGCATTCAACTCATGGAGTTGAACAATCCTATTGATAGAGCAGATTGGAATCACTCTTTTTGTAGAATCTGCAAATGGAGATTTGGACTGCTTTGAGGCCTACGGTCGTATAGGAAGGAACTTCAGATAAAAGGCAAACGGAAGCATTCTCAGAATATTCTTTGTGATGATGGAGTTTCACTCACAGAGCTGAACATGCCTTTTGATGGAGCAGTTTCCAAATACACTTTTGGTAGAATCTGCAGGTGGATATTTGGAGCTCTCTGAGGATTTCGTTGGAAACGGGAATAATTTCCCATAACTAAACACAAACACTCTGAGAAAGTTCTTCATGATGAATGCATTTAACTAACAGAGATGAACCTGCCTTTGAGAGTTCAGGTTCGAAACACTCTTTCTGTAGAATCTGCAAGTGGATATTTGGACCACTGGGTGGCCTTCGTTCGAAACGGGTATATGTTCACGTAAAAACTAAAGAGAAGCATTCTCAGAAACTTCTGAGTGATGATTGCATTCAAGTCACACAGTTGAACCCTCCTTTTGATGGAGCAGTTTTGAAACTGTCTTTTTGTAGAATCTGTAAGTGCATACGTGGACCTCTTTGAAGATTTCTTTGGAAACGGGAATATTTCCACAGAAAAACTAAACTGAAGCATTCTCAGAAACTGCTTTGTGATGTTTGTGTTCGAGCCACAGAGTTTAACATTGCTTTTCATAGAGCAGTTTTGAAATATTCTTTTGGCAGAATCTGCAAGTGGACATTTGGAGCGCTTTCAGGCCTGTGGTTGGGAAAAGGCCTGAAAGCCTTTTCCTTTATCTTCACAGAAAGACGAGAGAGAAAGCATTGTCAGAAACTTCTTTGTGATGATTGCATTCAACTCACAGTAGTTGAAGATTCCTTTTGAAACAGCAGTTTCGAAACACTCTTTCTGTGGGATCCGCAAGGGGATATTTGGACCTCTTTGAAGGTTTCGTTGGAAACGGGATAATCTTCACCTAAAAGCTAAACGGAAGCATTCTCAGAAACTTCTTCGGGATGTTTGCATTCACCTCACAGAGTTGAACTTTCCCTTTGATAGCGCAGCTTTGACACACTTTTTCTACAATGTGCAAGTGGCTATTTAGCGGGCTTGGAGGACTGTGTTGGAAAAGGAAATATCTTCTCCTAAAAACTACATAGAAGCATTCTCAGAAACTGCTCTGTGATGATTGCATTCAACTCCCAGAGTTGAACATTCCTTTTGATAGAGCAGTTTGCAAACACTCTTTTTGTAGAATCTGCAAGTGGAGATTTGGACCGCTTTGAGGCCTGTGGTAGTGAAGGAAAGAACTTCATATAAAAACCAGACGGTAGCACTCTCAGAAAATTCTTTGTGACGATGGAGTTTAACTCAGGGAGCTGAACATTCGTTATGATGGAGCAGTTTCCAAACACACGTTTTGTAGAATCTGCGAGGGGATATTTGGACCTCTCTGAGGATTTCGTTGGAAACGGGATCAACTTCCCATAACTGAACGGAAGCAAACTCAGAACATTCTTTGTGATGTTTGTATTCAACTCACAGAGTTGAACCTTCCTTTGATAGTTCAGGTTTGCAACACCCTTGTAGTAGAATCTGCAAGTGTATATTTTGACCACTTTGTAGCCTTTGTTTGAAACGTCTATATCTTCACATCAAACCTAGACAGAAGCATTCTCAGAAAGTTTTCTGCGATGACTGCATTCAACTCACAGAGTTGAACAATCCTTCTGATGGAGCAGTTTTGAAACCCTCTTTCTTTGGAATCTGCAAGGGGATATGTGGACCTCTTTGAAGATTTCACTGGAAACGGGATCATCTTCACATAAAAACTAAACAGAAGCATTCTCGGAAACTATTTTGTGATGTTTGTATTCAACTCCCAGAGTTGAACTTTCCTTTTGAAAGAGCAGCTATGAAACACTCTTTTTCGAGAATCTGCAAGTGGACGTTTGGAGGGCTTTGAGGCCTGTGGTGGAAAAGGAAATATCTTCACACAAAAACCAGATAGAAGCATTCTCAGAAACTACTTTGTGAGGATGGCATTCAACTCATGGAGTTGAACAATCCTATTGATAGAGCAGATTGGAATCACTCTTTTTGTAGAATCTGCAAATGGAGATTTGGACTGCTTTGAGGCCTACAGTAGTACAGGAAGGAACTTCATATAAAAGGCAAACGGAAGCATTCTCAGAATATTCTTTGTGATGATGGAGTTTCACTCACAGAGCTGAACATGCCTTTTGATGGAGCAGTTTCCAAATACACTTTTGGTAGAATCTGCAGGTGGATATTTGGAGCTCTCTGAGGATTTCGTTGGAAACGGGAATAATTTCCCATAACTAAACACAAACACTCTGAGAAAGTTCTTCATGATGAATGCATTTAACTCGCAGAGATGAACCTGCCTTTGAGAGTTCAGGTTCGAAACACTCTTTCTGTAGAATCTGCAAGTGGATATTTGGACCACTGGCTGGCCTTCGTTCGAAACGGGTATATGTTCACGTAAAAACTAAAGAGAAGCATTCTCAGAAACTTCTGAGTGATGATTGCATTCAAGTCACACAGTTGAACCCTCCTTTTGATGGAGCAGTTTTGAAACTGTCTTTTTGTAGAATCTGTAAGTGGATAAGTGGACCTCTTTGAAGATTTCTTTGGAAACGGGAATATTTCCACAGAAAAACTAAACTGAAGCATTCTCAGAAACTGCTTTGTGATGTTTGTGTTCGAGCCACAGAGTTTAACATTGCTTTTCATAGAGCAGTTTTGAAATATTCTTTTCGCAGAATCTGCAAGTGGACATTTGGAGCGCTTTCAGGCCTGTGGTGGCAAAGGCCTGAAAGCCTTTTCCTTTATCTTCACAGAAAGACGAGAGAGAAGCATTGTCAGAAACTTCTTTGTGATGATTGCATTCAACTCACAGAGTTGATTTTCCTTTTGAAACAGCAGTTTCGAAACACTCTTTCTGTGGGATCCGCAAGGGGATATTTGGACCTCTTTGAAGATTTCGTTGGAAACGGGATAATCTTCACCTAAAAGCTAAACGGAAGCATTCTCAGAAACTTCTTTGGGATGTTTGCATTCACCTCACAGAGTTGAACTTTCCCTTTGATAGCGCAGCTTTGACACACTTTTTCTACAACGTGCAAGTGGCTATTTAGCGGGCTTGGAGGACTGTGTTGGAAAAGGAAATATCTTCTCCTAAAAACGACATAGAAGCATTCTCAGAAACTGCTCTGTGATGATTGCATTCAACTCCCAGAGTTGAACATTCCTTTTGATAGAGCAGTTTGCAAACACTCTTTTTGTAGAATCTGCAAGTGGAGATTTGGACCGCTTTGAGGCCTGTGGTAGTGAAGGAAAGAACTTCATATAAAAACCAGACGGTAGCACTCTCAGAAAATTCTTTGTGACGATGGAGTTTAACTCAGGGAGCTGAACATTCGTTATGATGGAGCAGTTTCCAAACACACGTTTTGTAGAATCTGCAAGGGGATATTTGGACCTCTCTGAGGATTTCGTTGGAAACGGGATCAACTTCCCATAACTGAACGGAAGCAAACTCAGAACATTCTTTGTGATGTTTGTATTCAACTCACAGAGTTGAACTTTCCTTTGATAGTTCAGGTTTGCAACACCCTTGTAGTAGAATCTGCAAGTGTATATTTTGACCACTTTGTAGCCTTCGTTTGAAACGTCTATATCTTCACATCAAACCTAGACAGAAGCATTCTCAGAAAGTTTTCTGCGATGACTGCATTCAACTCACAGAGTTGAACAATCCTTCTGATGGAGCAGTTTTGAAACCCTCTTTCTTTGGAATCTGCAAGGGGATATGTGGACCTCTTTGAAGATTTCACTGGAAACGGGATCATCTTCACATAAAAACTAAACAGAAGCATTCTCGGAAACTACTTTGTGATGTTTGTATTCAACTGCCAGAGTTGAACTTTCCTTTTGAAAGAGCAGCTATGAAACACTCTTTTTCGAGAATCTGAAAGTGGACAGTTTGGAGGGCTTTGAGGCCTGTGGTGGAAAAGGAAATATCTTCACATAAAAACTAGATAGAAGCATTCTCAGAAACTACTTTGTGAGGATGGCATTCAACTCATGGAGTTGAACAATCCTATTAATAGAGCAGATTGGAATCACTCTTTTTGTAGAATCTGCAAATGGAGATTTGGACTGCTTTGAGGCCTACGGTCGTATAGGAAGGAACTTCATATAAAAGGCAAACGGAAGCATTCTCAGAATATTCTTTGTGATGATGGAGTTTCACTCACAGAGCTGAACATGCCTTTTGATGGAGCAGTTTCCAAATACACTTTTGGTAGAATCTGCAGGTGGATATTTGGAGCTCTTTGAGGATTTCGTTGGAAACGGGAATAATTTCCCATAACTAAACACAAACACGCTGAGAAAGTTCTTCATGATGAATCCATTTAACTCGCAGAGATGAACCTGCCTTTGAGAGTTCAGGTTCGAAACACTCTTTCTGTAGAATCTGCAAGTGGATATTTGGACCACTGGGTGGCCTTCGTTCGAAACGGGTATATGTTCACGTAAAAACTAAAGAGAAGCATTCTCAGAAACTTCTGAGTGATGATTGCATTCAAGTCACACAGTTGAACCCTCCTTTTGATGGAGCAGTTTTGAAACTGTCTTTTTGTAGAATCTGTAAGTGGATACGTGGACCTCTTTGAAGATTTCTTTGGAAACGGGAATATTTCCACAGAAAAACTAAACTGAAAGCATTCTCAGAAACTGCTTTGTGATGTTTGTGTTCGAGCCGCAGAGTTTAACATTGCTTTTCATAGAGCAGTTTTGAAATATTCTTTTGGCAGAATCTGCAAGTGGACATTTGGAGCGCTTTCAGGCCTGTGGTGGAAAAGGCCTGAAAGCCTTTTCCTTTATCTTCACAGAAAGACGAGAGAGAGCATTGTCAGAAACTTCTTTGTGATGATTGCATTCAACTCACAGAGTTGAAGATTCCTTTTGAAACAGCAGTTTCGAAACACTCTTTCTGTGGGATCCGCAAGGGGATATTTGGACCTCTTTGAAGGTTTCGTTGGAAACGGGATAATCTTCACCTAAAAGCTAAACGGAAGCATTCTCAGAAACTTCTTTGGGAAGTTTGCATTCACCTCACAGAGTTGAATTTTCCCTTTGATAGCGCAGCTTCGACACACTTTTTCTACAATGTGCAAGTGGATATTTAGCGGGCTTGGAGGACTGTGTTGGAAAAGGAAATATCTTCTCCTAAAAACGACATAGAAGCATTCTCAGAAACTGCTCTGTGATGATTGCATTCAACTCCCAGAGTTGAACATTCCTTTTGATAGAGCAGTTTGCAAACACTCTTTTTGTAGAATCTGCAAGTGGAGATTTGGACCGCTTTGAGGCCTGTGGTAGTAAAGGAAAGAACTTCATATAAAAACTAGACGGTAGCACTCTCAGAAAATTCTTTGTGACGATGGAGTTTAACTCAGGGAGCTGAACATTCGTTATGATGGAGCAGTTTCCAAACACACGTTTTGTAGAATCTGCAAGGGGATATTTGGACCTCTCTGAGGATTTCGTTGGAAACGGGATCAACTTCCCATAACTGAACGGAAGCAAACTCAGAACATTCTTTGTGATGTTTGTATTCAACTCACAGAGTTGAACCTTCCTTTGATAGTTCAGGTTTGCAACACCCTTGTAGTAGAATCTGCAAGTGTATATTTTGACCACTTTGTAGCCTTCGTTTGAAACGTCTATATCTTCACATCAAACCTAGACAGAAGCATTCTCAGAAAGTTTTCTGCGATGACTGCATTCAACTCACAGAGTTGAACAATCCTTCTGATGGAGCAGTTTTGAAACCCTCTTTCGTTGGAATCTGAAAGGGGATATGCGGACCTCTTTGAAGATTTCACTGGAAACGGGATCATCTTCACATAAAAACTAAACAGAAGCATTCTCGGAAACTACTTTGTGATGTTTGTATTCAACTCCCAGAGTTGAACTTTCCTTTTGAAAGAGCAGCTATGAAACACTCTTTTTCGAGAATCTGCAAGTGGACGTTTGGAGGGCTTTGAGGCCTGTGGTGGAAAAGGAAATATCTTCACATAAAAACTAGATAGAAGCATTCTCAGAAACTACTTCGTGAGGATGGCATTCAACTCATGGAGTTGAACAATCCTATTGATAGAGCAGATTGGAATCACTCTTTTTGTAGAATCTGCAAATGGAGATTTGGACTGCTTTGAGGCCTACGGTAGTATAGGAAGGAACTTCATATAAAAGGCAAACGGAAGCATTCTCAGAATATTCTTTGTGATGATGGAGTTTCACTCACAGAGCTGAACATGCCTTTTGATGGAGCAGTTTCCAAATACACTTTTGGTAGAATCTGCAGGTGGATATTTGGAGCTCTCTGAGGATTTCGTTGGAAACGGGAATAATTTCCCATAACTAAACACAAACACTCTGAGAAAGTTCTTCATGATGAATGCATTTAACTCGCAGAGATGAACCTGCCTTTGAGAGTTCAGGTTCGAAACACTCTTTCTGTAGAATCTGCAAGTGGATATTTGGACCACTGGGTGGCCTTCGTTCGAAACGGGTATATGTTCACGTAAAAACTAAAGAGAAGCATTCTCAGAAACTTCTGAGTGATGATTGCATTCAAGTCACACAGTTGAACCCTCCTTTTGATGGAGCAGTTTTGAAACTGTCTTTTTGTAGAATCTGTAAGTGGATACGTGGACCTCTTTGAAGATTTCTTTGGAAACGGGAATATTTCCACAGAAAAACTAAACTGAATCATTCTCAGAAACCGCTTTGTGATGTTTGTGTTCGAGCCACAGAGTTTAACATTGCTTTTCATAGAGCAGTTTTGAAATATTCTTTTGGCAGAATCTGCAAGTGGACATTTGGAGCGCTTTCAGGCCTGTGGTGGAAAAGGCCTGAAAGCCTTTTCCTTTATCTTCACAGAAAGACGAGAGAGAAGCATTGTCAGAAACTTCTTTGTGATGATTGCATTCAACTCACAGAGTTGAAGATTCCTTTTGAAACAGCAGTTTCGAAACACTCTTTCTGTGGGATCCGCAAGGGGATATTTGGACCTCTTTGAAGGTTTCGTTGGAAACGGGATAATCTTCACCTAAAAGCTAAACGGAAGCATTCTCAGAAACTTCTTTGGGATGTTTGCATTCACCTCACAGAGTTGAACTTTCCCTTTGATAGCGCAGCTTTGACACACTTTTTCTACAATGTGCAAGTGGCTATTTAGCGGGCTTGGAGGACTGTGTTGGAAAAGGAAATATCTTCTCCTAAAAACGACATAGAAGCATTCTCAGAAACTGCTCTGTGATGATTGCATTCAACTCCCAGAGTTGAACAATCCTTTTGATAGAGCAGTTTGCAAACACTCTTTTTGTAGAATCTGCAAGTGGAGATTTGGACCGCTTTGAGGCCTGTGGTAGTGAAGGAAAGAACTTCATATAAAAACCAGACGGTAGCACTCTCAGAAAATTCTTTGTGACGATGGAGTTTAACTCAGGGAGCTGAACATTCGTTATGATGGAGCAGTTTCCAAACACACGTTTTGTAGAATCTGCAAGGGGATATTTGGACCTCTCTGAGGATTTCGTTGGAAACGGGATCAACTTCCCATAACTGAACGGAAGCAAACTCAGAACATTCTTTGTGATGTTTGTATTCAACTCACAGAGTTGAACCTTCCTTTGATAGTTCAGGTTTGCAACACCCTTGTAGTAGAATCTGCAAGTGTATATTTTGACCACTTTGTAGCCTTCGTTTGAAACGTCTATATCTTCACATCAAACCTAGACAGAAGCATTCTCAGAAAGTTTTCTGCGATGACTGCATTCAACTCACAGAGTTGAACAATCCTTCTGATGGAGCAGTTTTGAAACCCTCTTTCTTTGGAATCTGCAAGGGGATATGTGGACCTCTTTGAAGATTTCACTGGAAACGGGATCATCTTCACATAAAAACTAAACAGAAGCATTCTCGGAAACTACTTTGTGATGTTTGTATTCAACTCCCAGAGTTGAACTTTCCTTTTGAAAGAGCAGCTATGAAACACTCTTTTTCGAGAATCTGCAAGTGGACGTTTGGAGGGCTTTGAGGCCTGTGGTGGAAAAGGAAATATCTTCACATAAAAACTAGATAGAAGCATTCTCAGAAACGACTTTGTGAGGATGGCATTCAACTCATGGAGTTGAACAATCCTATTGATAGAGCAGATTGGAATCACTCTTTTTGTAGAATCTGCAAATGGAGATTTGGACTGCTTTGAGGCCTACGGTCGTATAGGAAGGAACTTCATATAAAAGGCAAACGGAAGCATTCTCAGAATATTCTTTGTGATGATGGGGTTTCACTCACAGAGCTGAACATGCCTTTTGATGGAGCAGTTTCCAAATACACTTTTGGTAGAATCTGCAGGTGGATATTTGGACCTCTCTGAGGATTTCGTTGGAAACGGGAATAATTTCCCATAACTAAACACAAACACTCTGAGAAAGTTCTTCATGATGAATGCATTTAACTCGCAGAGATGAACCTGCCTTTGAGAGTTCAGGTTCGAAACACTCTTTCTGTAGAATCTGCAAGTGGATATTTGGACCACTGGGTGGCCTTCGTTCGAAACGGGTATATGTTCACGTAAAAACTAAAGAGAAGCATTCTCAGAAACTTCTGAGTGATGATTGCATTCAAGTCACACAGTTGAACCCTCCTTTTGATGGAGCAGTTTTGAAACTGTCTTTTTGTAGAATCTGTAAGTGGATACGTGGACCTCTTTGAAGATTTCTTTGGAAACGGGAATATTTCCACAGAAAAACTAAACTGAAGCATTCTCAGAAACCGCTTTGTGATGTTTGTGTTCGAGCCACAGAGTTTAACATTGCTTTTCACAAAGCAGTTTTGAAATATTCTTTTCGCAGAATCTGCAAGTGGACATTTGGAGCGCTTTCAGGCCTGTGGTGGCAAAGGCCTGAAAGCATTTATTTATCTTCACAGAAAGACGAGAGAGAAGCATTGTCAGAAACTTCTTTGTGATGATTGCATTCAACTCACAGAGTTGAAGATTCCTTTTGAAACAGCAGTTTCGAAACACTCTTTCTGTGGGATCCGCAAGGGGATATTTGGACTTCTTTGAAGGTTTCGTTGGAAACGGGATAATCTTCACCTAAAAGCTAAACGGAAGCACTCTCAGAAACTTCTTTGGGATGTTTGCATTCACCTCTCAGAGTTGAACTTTCCCTTTGATAGCCCAGCTTTGACACACTTTTTCTACAATGTGCAAGTGGCTATTTAGCGGACTTGGAGGACTGTGTTGGAAAAGGAAATATCTTCTCCTAAAAACGACATAGAAGCATTCTCAGAAACTGCTCTGTGATGATTGCATTCAACTCCCAGAGTTGAACATTCCTTTTGATAGAGCAGTTTGCAAACACTCTTTTTGTAGAATCTGCAAGTGGAGACTTGGACCGCTTTGAGGCCAGTGGTAGTGAAGGAAAGAACTTCATATAAAAACCAGACGGTAGCACTCTCAGAAAATTCTTTGTGACGATGGAGTTTAACTCAGGGAGCTGAACATTCGTTATGATGGAGCAGTTTCCAAACACACGTTTTGTAGAATCTGCAAGGGGATATTTGGACCTCTCTGAGGATTTCGTTGGAAACGGGATCAGCTTCCCATAACTGAACGGAAGCAAACTCAGAACATTCTTTGTGATGTTTGTATTCAACTCACAGAGTTGAACCTTCCTTTGATAGTTCAGGTTTGCAACACCCTTGTAGTAGAATCTGCAAGTGTATATTTTGACCACTTTGTAGCCTTCATTTGAAACGTCTATATCTTCACATCAAACCTAGACAGAAGCATTCTCAGAAAGTTTTCTGCGATGACTGCATTCAACTCACAGAGTTGAACAATCCTTCTGATGGAGCAGTTTTGAAACCCTCTTTCTTTGGAATCTTCAAGGGGATATGTGGACCTCTTTGAAGATTTCACTGGAAACGGGATCATCTTCACATAAAAACTAAACTGAAGCAATCTCGGAAACTACTTTGTGATGTTTGTATTCAACTCCCAGAGTTGAACTTTCCTTTTGAAAGAGCAGCTATGAAACACTCTTTTTCGAGAATCTGCAAGTGGACGTTTGGAGGGCTTTGAGGCCTGTGGTGGAAAAGGAAATATCTTCACATAAAAACTACATAGAAGCATTCTCAGAAACTACTTTGTGAGGATGGCATTCAACTCATGGAGTTGAACAATCCTATTGATAGAGCAGATTGGAATCACTCTTTTTGTAGAATCTGCAAATGGAGATTTGGACTGCTTTGAGGCCTACGGTAGTACAGGAAGGAACTTCATATAAAAGGCAAACGGAAGCATTCTCAGAATATTCTTTGTGATGATGGAGTTTCACTCACAGAGCTGAACTTGCCTTTTGATGGAGCAGTTTCCAAATACACTTTTGGTAGAATCTGCAGGTGGACATTTGGAGCTCTCTGAGGATTTCGTTGGAAACGGGAATAATTTCCCATAACTAAACACAAACACTCTGAGAAAGTTCTTCATGATGAATGCATTTAACTCGCAGAGATGAACCTGCCTTTGAGAGTTCAGGTTCGAAACACTCTTTCTGTAGAATCTGCAAGTGGATATTTGGACCACTGGCTGGCCTTCGTTCGAAACGGGTATATGTTCACGTAAAAACTAAAGAGAAGCATTCTCAGAAACTTCTGAGTGATGATTGCATTCAAGTCACACAGTTGAACCCTCCTTTTGATGGAGCAGTTTTGAAACTGTCTTTTTGTAGAATCTGTAAGTGGATACGTGGACCTCTTTGAAGATTTCTTTGGAAACGGGAATATTTCCACAGAAAAACTAAACTGAAGCATTCTCAGAAACCGCTTTGTGATGTTTGTGTTCGAGCCACAGAGTTTAACATTGCTTTTCATAGAGCAGTTTTGAAATATTCTTTTGGCAGAATCTGCAAGTGGACATTTGGAGCGCTTTCAGGCCTGTGGGTGGAAAAGGCCTGAAAGCCTTTTCCTTTACCTTCACAGAAAGACGAGAGAGAAGCATTGTCAGAAACTTCTTTTTGATGATTGCATTCAACTCACAGAGTTGAAGATTCCTTTTGAAACAGCAGTTTCGAAACACTCTTTCTGTGGGATCCGCAAGGGGATATTTGGACCTCTTTGAAGGTTTCGTTGGAAACGGGATAATCTTCACCTAAAAGCTAAACGGAAGCATTCTCAGAAACTTCTTTGGGATGTTTGCATTCACCTCACAGAGTTGAACTTTCCCTTTGATAGCGCAGCTTTGACACACTTTTTCTACAATGTGCAAGTGGCTATTTAGCGGGCTTGGAGGACTGTGTTGGAAAAGGAAATATCTTCTCCTAAAAACGACATAGAAGCATTCTCAGAAACTGCTCTGTGATGATTGCATTCAACTCCCAGAGTTGAACATTCCTTTTGATAGAGCAGTTTGCAAACACTCTTTTTGTAGAATCTGCAAGTGGAGATTTGGACCGCTTTGAGGCCTGTGGTAGTGAAGGAAAGAGCATCATATAAAAACCAGACGGTAGCACTCTGAGAAAATTCTTTGTGACGATGGAGTTTAACTCAGGGAGCTGAACATTCGTTATGATGGAGCAGTTTCCAAACACACGTTTTGTAGAATCTGCAAGGGGATATTTGGACCTCTCTGAGGATTTCGTTGGAAACGGGATCAACTTCCCATAACTGAACGGAAGCAAACTCAGAACATTCTTTGTGATGTTTGTATTCAACTCACAGAGTTGAACCTTCCTTTGATAGTTCAGGTTTGCAACACCCTTGTAGTAGAATCTGCAAGTGTATATTTTGACCACTTTGTAGCCTTCGTTTGAAACGTCTATATCTTCACATCAAACCTAGACAGAAGCATTCTCAGAAAGTTTTCTGCGATGACTGCATTCAACTCACAGAGTTGAACAATCCTTCTGATGGAGCAGTTTTGAAACCCTCTTTCTTTGGAATCTGCAAGGGGATATGTGGACCTCTTTGAAGATTTCACTGGAAACGGGATCATCTTCACATAAAAACTAAACAGAAGCATTCTCGGAAACTACTTTGTGATGTTTGTATTCAACTCCCAGAGTTGAACTTTCCTTTTGAAAGAGCAGCTATGAAACACTCTTTTTCGAGAATCTGCAAGTGGACGTTTGGAGGGCTTTGAGGCCTGTGGTGGAAAACGAAATATCTTCACATAAAAACTAGATAGAAGCATTCTCAGAAACTACTTTGTGAGGATGGCATTCAACTCATGGAGTTGAACAATCCTATTGATAGAGCAGATTGGAATCACTCTTTTTGTAGAATCTGCAAATGGAGATTTGGACTGCTTTGAGGCCTACGGTCGTATAGGAAGGAACTTCATATAAAAGGCAAACGGAAGCATTCTCAGAATGTTCTTTGTGATGATGGAGTTTCACTCACAGAGCTGAACATGCCTGTTGATGGAGCAGTTTCCAAATACACTTTTGGTAGAATCTGCAGGTGGATATTTGGAGCTCTCTGAGGATTTCATTGGAAACGGGAATAATTTCCCATAACTAAACACAAACACTCTGAGAAAGTTCTTCATGATGAATGCATTTAACTCGCAGAGATGAACCTGCCTTTGAGAGTTCAGGTTCGAAACACTCTTTCTGTAGAATCTGCAAGTGGATATTTGGACCACTGGGTGGCCTTCGTTCGAAACGGGTATATGTTCACGTAAAAACTAAAGAGAAGCATTCTCAGAAACTTCTGAGTGATGATTGCATTCAAGTCACACAGTTGAACCCTCCTTTTGATGGAGCAGTTTTGAAACTGTCTTTTTGTAGAATCTGTAAGTGGATACGTGGACCTCTTTGAAGATTTCTTTGGAAACGGGAATATTTCCACAGAAAAACTAAACTGAAGCATTCTCAGAAACCGCTTTGTGATGTTTGTGTTCGAGCCACAGAGTTTAACATTGCTTTTCATAGAGCAGTTTTGAAATATTCTTTTGGCAGAATCTGCAAGTGGACATTTGGAGCGCTTTCAGGCCTGTGGTGGAAAAGGCCTGAAAGCCTTTTCCTTTATCTTCACAGAAAGACGAGAGAGAAGCATTGTCAGAAACTTCTTTGTGATGATTGCATTCAACTCACAGAGTTGAAGATTCCTTTTGAAACAGCAGTTTCGAAACACTCTTTCTGTGGGATCCGCAAGGGGATATTTGGACCTCTTTGAAGGTTTCGTTGGAAACGGGATAATCTTCACCTAAAAGCTAAACGGAAGCATTCTCAGAAACTTCTTTGGGATGTTTGCATTCACCTCACAGAGTTGAACTTTCCCTTTGATAGCGCAGCTTCGACACACTTTTTCTACAATGTGCAAGTGGCTATTTAGCGGGCTTGGAGGACTGTGTTGGAAAAGGAAATATCTTCTCCTAAAAACGACATAGAAGCATTCTCAGAAACTGCTCTGTGATGATTGCATTCAACTCCCAGAGTTGAACATTCCTTTTGATAGAGCAGTTTGCAAACACTCTTTTTGTAGAATCTGCAAGTGGAGATTTGGACCGCTTTGAGGCCTGTGGTAGTAAAGGGAAGAACTTCATATAAAAACCAGACGGTAGCACTCTCAGAAAATTCTTTGTGACGATGGAGTTTAACTCAGAGAGCTGAACATTCGTTATGATGGAGCAGTTTCCAAACACACGTTTTGTAGAATCTGCAAGGGGATATTTGGTCCTCTCTGAGGATTTCGTTGGAAACGGGATCAACTTCCCATAACTGAACGGAAGCAAACTCAGAACATTCTTTGTGATGTTTGTATTCAACTCACAGAGTTGAACCTTCCTTTGATAGTTCAGGTTTGCAACACCCTTGTAGTAGAATCTGCAAGTGTATATTTTGACCACTTTGTAGCCTTCGTTTGAAACGTCTATATCTTCACCTCAAACCTAGACAGAAGCATTCTCAGAAAGTTTTCTGCGATGACTGCATTCAACTCACAGAGTTGAACAATCCTTTTGATGGAGCAGTTTTGACACCCTCTTTCTTTGGAATCTGCAAGGGGATATGTGGACCTCTTTGAAGATTTCACTGGAAACGGGATCATCTTCACATAAGAACTAAACAGAAGCATTCTCGGAAACTACTTTGTGATGTTTGTATTCAACTCCCAGAGTTGAACTTTCCTTTTGAAACAGCAGCTATGAAACACACTTTTTCGAGAATCTGCAAGTGGACGTTTGGAGGGCTTTGAGGCCTGTGGTGGAAAAGGAAATATCTTCACATAAAAACTAGATAGAAGCATTCTCAGAAACTACTTTGTGAGGATGGCATTCAACTCATGGAGTTGAACAATCCTATTGATAGAGCAGATTGGAATCACTCTTTTTATAGAATCTGCAAATGGAGATTTGGACTGCTTTGAGGCCTACGGTAGTACAGGAAGGAACTTCATATAAAAGGCAAACGGAAGCATTCTCAGAATATTCTTTGTGATGATGGAGTTTGACTCACAGAGCTGAACATGCCTTTTGATGGAGCAGTTTCCAAATACACTTTTGGTAGAATCTGCAGGTGGATATTTGGACCTCTCTGAGGATTTCGTTGGAAACGGGAATAATTTCCCATACCTAAACACAAACACTCTGAGAAAGTTCTTCATGATGAATGCATTGAACTCGCAGAGATGAACCTGCCTTTGAGAGTTCAGGTTCGAAACACTCTTTCTGTAGAATCTGCAAGTGGATATTTGGACCACTGGGTGGCCTTCGTTCAAAACGGGTATATGTTCACGTAAAAACTAAAGAGAAGCATTCTCAGAAACTTCTGAGTGATGATTGCATTCAAGTCACACAGTTGAACCCTCCTTTTGATGGAGCAGTTTTGAAACTGTCTTTTTGTAGAATCTGTAAGTGGATACGTGGACCTCTTTGAAGATTTCTTTGGAAACGGGAATATTTCCACAGAAAAACTAAACTGAAGCATTCTCAGAAACTGCTTTGTGATGTTTGTGTTCGAGCCACAGAGTTTAACATTGCTTTTCATAGAGCAGTTTTCAAATATTCTTTTCACAGAATCTGCAAGTGGACATTTGGAGCGCTTTCAGGCCTGTGGTGGAAAAGGCCTGAAAGCCTTTTCCTTTATCTTCACAGAAAGACGAGAGAGAAAGCATTGTCAGAAACTTCTTTGTGATGATTGCATTCAACTCACAGTAGTTGAAGATTCCTTTTGAAACAGCAGTTTCGAAACACTCTTTCTGTGGGATCCGCAAGGGGATATTTGGACCTCTTTGAAGGTTTCGTTGGAAACGGGATAATCTTCACCTAAAAGCTAAACGGAAGCATTCTCAGAAACTTCTTTGGGATGTTTGCATTCACCTCACAGAGTTGAACTTTCCCTTTGATAGCGCAGCTTCGACACACTTTTTCTACAATGTGCAAGTGGATATTTAGCGGGCTTGGAGGACTGTGTTGGAAAAGGAAATATCTTCTCCTAAAAACGACATAGAAGCATTCTCAGAAACTGCTCTGTGATGATTGCATTCAACTCCCAGAGTTGAACATTCCTTTTGATAGAGCAGTTTGCAAACACTCTTTTTGTAGAATCTGCAAGTGGAGATTTGGACCACTTTGAGGCCTGTGGTAGTAAAGGAACGAACTTCATATTAAAACTAGACGGTAGCACTCTCAGAAAATTCTTTGTGACGATGGAGTTTAACTCAGGGAGCTGAACATTCGTTATGATGGAGCAGTTTCCCAACACACGTTTTGTAGAATCTGCAAGGGGATATTTGGACCTCTCTGAGGATTTTGTTGGAAACGGGATCAACTTCCCATAACTGAACGGAAGCAAACTCAGAACATTCTTTGTGATGTTTGTATTCAACTCACAGAGTTGAACCTTCCTTTGATAGTTCAGGTTTGCAACACCCTTGTAGTAGAATCTGCAAGTGTATATTTTGACCACTTTGTAGCCTTCGTTTGAAACGTCTATATCTTCACATCAAACCTAGACAGAAGCATTCTCAGAAAGTTTTCTGCGATGACTGCATTCAACTCACAGAGTTGAACAATCCTTCTGATGGAGCAGTTTTGAAACCCTCTTTCTTTGGAATCTGCAAGGCGATATGTGGACCTCTTTGAAGATTTCACTGGAAACGGGATCATCTTCATATAAAAACTAAACAGAAGCATTCTCGGAAACTACTTTGTGATGTTTGTATTCAACTCCCAGAGTTGAACTTTCCTTTTGAAAGAGCAGCTATGAAACACTCTTTTTCGAGAATCTGCAAGTGGACGTTTGGAGGGCTTTGAGGCCTGTGGTGGAAAAGGAAATATCTTCACATAAAAACTAGATAGAAAGCATTCTCAGAAACTACTTTGTGAGGATGGCATTCAACTCATGGAGTTGAACAATCCTATTGATAGAGCAGATTGGAATCACTCTTTTTGTAGAATCTGCAAATGGAGATTTGGACTGCTTTGAGGCCTACGGTAGTACAGGAAGGAACTTCATATAAAAGGCAAACGGAAGCATTCTCAGAATATTCTTTGTGATGATGGAGTTTCACTCACAGAGCTGAACATGCCTTTTGATGGAGCAGTTTCCAAATACACTTTTGGTAGAATCTGCAGGTGGATATTTGGAGCTCTCTGAGGATTTCTTTGGAAACGGGAATAATTTCCCATAACTAAACACAAATACTCTGAGAAAGTTCTTCATGATGAATGCATTTAACTCGCAGAGATGAACCTGCCTTTGAGAGTTCAGGTTCGAAACACTCTTTCTGTAGAATCTGCAAGTGGATATTTGGACCACTGGGTGGCCTTCGTTCGAAACGGGTATATGTTCACGTAAAAACTAAAGAGAAGCATTCTCAGAAACTTCTGAGTGATGATTGCATTGAAGTCACACAGTTGAACCCTCCTTTTGATGGAGCAGTTTTGAAACTGTCTTTTTGTAGAATCTGTAAGTGGAATACGTGGACCTCTTTGAAGATTTCTTTGGAAACGGGAATATTTCCACAGAAAAACTAAACTGAAGCATTCTCAGAAACTGCTTTGTGATGTTTGTGTTCGAGCCACAGTAGTTTAACATTGCTTTTCATAGAGCAGTTTTGAAATATTCTTTTCGCAGAATCTGCAAGTGGACATTTGGAGCGCTTTCAGGCCTGTGGTGGAAAAGGCCTGAAAGCCTTTTCCTTTATCTTCACAGAAAGACGAGAGAGAAGCATTGTCAGAAACTTCTTTGTGATGATTGCATTCAACTCACAGAGTTGAAGATTCCTTTTGAAACAGCTGTTTCGAAACACTCTTTCTGTGGGATCCCCAAGGGGATATTTGGACCTCTTTGAAGGTTTCGTTGGAAACGGGATAATCTTCACCTAAAAGCTAAACGGAAGCATTCTCAGAAACTTCTTTGGGATGTTTGCATTCACCTCACAGAGTTGAACTTTCCCTTTGATAGCGCAGCTTTGACACACTTTTTCTACAATGTGCAAGTGGCTATTTAGCGGGCTTGGAGGACTGTGTTGGAAAAGGAAATATCTTCTCCTAAAAACGACATAGAAGCATTCTCAGAAACTGCTCTGTGATGATTGCATTCAACTCCCAGAGTTGAACATTCCTTTTGATAGAGCAGTTTGCAAACACTCTTTTTGTAGAATCTGGAAGTGGAGATTTGGACCGCTTTGAGGCCTGTGGTAGTGAAGGAAAGAGCTTCATATAAAAACCACACGGTAGCACTCTCAGAAAATTCTTTGTGACGATGGAGTTTAACTCAGGGAGCTGAACATTCGTTATGATGGAGCAGTTTCCAAACACACGTTTTGTAGAATCTGCAAGGGGATATTTGGACCTCTCTGAGGATTTCGTTGGAAACGGGATCAACTTCCCATAACTGAACGGAAGCAAACTCAGAACATTCTTTGTGATGTTTGTATTCAACTCACAGAGTTGAACCTTCCTTTGATAGTTCAGGTTTGCAACACCCTTGTAGTAGAATCTGCAAGTGTATATTTTGACCACTTTGTAGCCTTCGTTTGAAATATCTATATCTTCACATCAAACCTAGACAGAAGCATTCTCAGAAAGTTTTCTGCGATGACTGCATTCAACTCACAGAGTTGAACAATCCTTCTGATGGAGCAGTTTTGAAACCCTCTTTCTTTGGAATCTGCAAGGGGATATGTGGACCTCTTTGAAGATTTCACTGGAAACCGGATCATCTTCACATAAAAACTAAACAGAAGCATTCTCGGGAAACTACTTTGTGATGTTTGTATTCAACTCCCAGAGTTGAACTTTCCTTTTGAAAGAGCAGCTATGAAACACTCTTTTTCGAGAATCTGCAAGTGGACGTTTGGAGGGCTTTGAGGCCTGTGGTGGAAAAGGAAATATCTTCACATAAAAACTAGATAGAAGCATTCTCAGAAACGACTTTGTGAGGATGGCATTCAACTCATGGAGTTGAACAATCCTATTGATAGAGCAGATTGGAATCACTCTTTTTGTAGAATCTGCAAATGGAGATTTGCACTGCTTTGAGGCCTACGGTCGTATAGGAAGGAACTTCATATAAAAGGCAAACGGAAGCATTCTCAGAATATTCTTTGTGATGATGGAGTTTCACTCACAGAGCTGAACATGCCTTTTGAGATGGGAGCAGTTTCCAAATACACTTTTGGTAGAATCTGCAGGTGGATATTTGGAGCTCTCTGAGGATTTCGTTGGAAACGGGAATAATTTCCCATAACTAAACACAAACACTCTGAGAAAGTTCTTCATGATGAATGCATTTAACTCGCAGAGATGAACCTGCCTTTGAGAGTTCAGGTTCGAAACACTCTTTCTGTAGAATCTGCAAGTGGATATTTGGACCACTGGGTGGCCTTCGTTCGAAACGGGTATATGTTCACGTAAAAACTAAAGAGAAGCGTTCTCAGAAACTTCTGAGTGATGATTGCATTCAAGTCACACAGTTGAACCCTCCTTTTGATTGAGCAGTTTTGAAACTGTCTTTTTGTAGAATCTGTAAGTGGATGCGTGGACCTCTTTGAAGATTTCTTTGGAAACGGGAATATTTCCACAGAAAAACTAAACTGAAGCATTCTCAGAAACTGCTTTGTGATGTTTGTGTTCGAGCCACAGAGTTTAACATTGCTTTTCATAGAGCAGTTTTGAAATATTCTTTTGGCAGAATCTGCAAGTGGACATTTGGAGCGCTTTCAGGCCTGTGGTTGGGAAAAGGCCTGAAAGCCTTTTCCTTTATCTTCACAGAAAGACGAGAGAGAAGCATTGTCAGAAACTTCTTTGTGATGATTGCATTCAACTCACAGAGTTGAAGATTCCTTTTGAAACAGCAGTTTCGAAACACTCTTTCTGTGGGATCCGCAAGGGGATATTTGGACCTCTTTGAAGATTTCGTTGGAAACGGGATAATCTTCACCTAAAAGCTAAACGGAAGCATTCTCAGAAACTTCTTTGGGATGTTTGCATTCACCTCACAGAGTTGAACTTTCCCTTTGATAGCGCAGCTTCGACACCCTTTTTCTACAATGTGCAAGTGGATATTTAGCGGGCTTGGAGGACTGTGTTGGAAAAGGAAATATCTTCTCCTAAAAACGACATAGAAGCATTCTCAGAAACTGCTCTGTGATGATTGCATTCAACTCCCAGAGTTGAACATTCCTTTTGATAGAGCAGTTTGCAAACACTCTTTTTGTAGAATCTGCAAGTGGAGATTTGGACCGCTTTGAGGCCTGTGGTAGTGAAGGAAAGAACTTCATATAAAAACCAGACGGTAGCACTCTCAGAAAATTCTTTGTGACGATGGAGTTTAACTCAGGGAGCTGAACATTCGTTATGATGGAGCAGTTTCCAAACACACGTTTTGTAGAATCTGCAAGGGGATATTTGGACCTCTCTGAGGATTTCGTTGGAAACGGGATCAACTTCCCATAACTGAACGGAAGCAAACTCAGAACATTCTTTGTGATGTTTGTATTCAACTCACAGAGTTGAACCTTCCTTTGATAGTTCAGGTTTGCAACACCCTTGTAGTAGAATCTGCAAGTGTATATTTTGACCACTTTGTAGCCTTCGTTTGAAACGTCTATATCTTCACATCAAACCTAGACAGAAGCATTCTCAGAAAGTTTTCTGCGATGACTGCATTCAACTCACAGAGTTGAACAATCCTTCTGATGGAGCAGTTTTGAAACCCTCTTTCTTTGGAATCTGCAAGGGGATATGTGGACCTCTTTGAAGATTTCACTGGAAACGGGATCATCTTCACATAAAAACTAAACAGAAGCATTCTCGGAAACTACTTTGTGATGTTTGTATTCAACTCCCAGAGTTGAACTTTCCTTTTGAAAGAGCAGCTATGAAACACTCTTTTTCGAGAATCTGCAAGTGGACGTTTGGAGGGCTTTGAGGCCTGTGGTGGAAAAGGAAATATCTTCACATAAAAACTAGATAGAAGCATTCTCAGAAACTACTTTGTGAGGATGGCATTCAACTCATGGAGTTGAACAATCCTATTGATAGAGCAGATTGGAATCACTCTTTTTGTAGAATCTGCAAATGGAGATTTGGACTGCTTTGAGGCCTACGGTCGTATAGGAAGGAACTTCATATAAAAGGCAAACGGAAGCATTCTCAGAATATTCTTTGTGATGATGGAGTTTCACTCACAGAGCTGAACATGCCTTTTGATGGAGCAGTTTCCAAATACACTTTTGGTAGAATCTGCAGGTGGATATTTGGAGGTCTTTGAGGATTTCGTTGGAAACGGGAATAATTTCCCATAACTAAACACAAACACGCTGAGAAAGTTCTTCATGATGAATGCATTTAACTCGCAGAGATGAACCTGCCTTTGAGAGTTCAGGTTCGAAACACTCTTTCTGTAGAATCTGCAAGTGGATATTTGGACCACTGGGTGGCCTTCGTTCGAAACGGGTATATGTTCACGTAAAAACTAAAGAGAAGCATTCTCAGAAACTTCTGAGTGATGATTGCATTCAAGTCACACAGTTGAACCCTCCTTTTGATGGAGCAGTTTTGAAACTGTCTTTTTGTAGAATCTGTAAGTGGATACGTGGACCTCTTTGAAGATTTCTTTGGAAACGGGAATATTTCCACAGAAAAACTAAACTGAAACATTCTCAGAAACCACTTTGTGATGTTTGTGTTCCAGCCACAGAGTTTAACATTGCTTTTCATAGAGCAGTTTTGAAATATTCTTTTGGCAGAATCTGCAAGTGGACATTTGGAGCGCTTTCAGGCCTGTGGTGGAAAAGGCCTGAAAGCCTTTTCCTTTATCTTCACAGAAAGACGAGAGAGAAGCATTGTCAGAAACTTCTTTGTGATGATTGCATTCAACTCACAGAGTTGAAGATTCCTTTTGAAACAGCAGTTTCGAAACACTCTTTCTGTGGGATCCGCAAGGGGATATTTGGACCTCTTTGAAGGTTTCGTTGGAAACGGGATAATCTTCACCTAAAAGCTAAACGGAAGCATTCTCAGAAACTTCTTTGGGATGTTTGCATTCACCTCACAGAGTTGAACTTTCCCTTTGATAGCGCAGCTTTGACACACTTTTTCTACAATGTGCAAGTGGCTATTTAGCGGGCTTGGAGGACTGTGTTGGAAAAGGAAATATCTTCTCCTAAAAACGACATAGAAGCATTCTCAGAAACTGCTCTGTGATGATTGCATTCAACTCCCAGAGTTGAACGTTCCTTTTGATAGAGCAGTTTGCAAACTCTCTTTTTGTAGAATCTGCAAGTGGAGATTTGGACCGCTTTGAGGCCTGTGGTAGTGAAGGAAAGAACTTCATATAAAAACCAGACGGTAGCACTCTCAGAAAATTCTTTGTGACGATGGAGTTTAACTCAGGGAGCTGAACATTCGTTATGATGGAGCAGTTTCCAAACACACGTTTTGTAGAATCTGCAAGGGGATATTTGGACCTCTCTGAGGATTTCGTTGGAAACGGGATCAACTTCCCATAACTGAACGGAAGCAAACTCAGAACATTCTTTGTGATGTTTGTATTCAACTCACAGAGTTGAACCTTCCTTTGATAGTTCAGGTTTGCAACACCCTTGTAGTAGAATCTGCAAGTGTATATTTTGACCACTTTGTAGCCTTCGTTTGAAACGTCTATATCTTCACATCAAACCTAGACAGAAGCATTCTCAGAAAGTTTTCTGGGATGACTGCATTCAACTCACAGAGTTGAACAATCCTTCTGATGGAGCAGTTTTGAAACCCTCTTTCTTTGGAATCTGCAAGGGGATATGTGGACCTCTTTGAAGATTTCACTGGAAACGGGATCATCTTCACATAAAAACTAAACAGAAGCATTCTCGGAAACTACTTTGTGATGTTTGTATTCAACTCCGAGAGTTGAACTTTCCTTTTGAAAGAGCAGCTATGAAACACTCTTTTTCGAGAATCTGCAAGTGGACGTTTGGAGGGCTTTGAGGCCTGTGGTGGAAAAGGAAATATCTTCACATAAAAACTAGATAGAAGCATTCTCACAAACGACTTTGTGAGGATGGCATTCAACTCATGGAGTTGAACAATCCTATTGATAGAGCAGATTGGAATCACTCTTTTTGTAGAATCTGCAAATGGAGATTTGGACTGCTTTGAGGCCTACGGTAGTATAGGAAGGAACTTCATTTAAAAGGCAAACGGAAGCATTCTCATTATATTCTTTGTGATGATGGAGTTTCACTCACAGAGCTGAACATGCCTTTTGATGGAGCAGTTTCCAAATACACTTTTGGTAGAATCTGCAGGTGGATATTTGGACCTCTCTGAGGCTTTCGTTGGAAACGGGAATAATTTCCCATAACTAAACACAAACACGCTGAGAAAGTTCTTCATGATGAATGCATTGAACTCGCAGAGATGAACCTGCCTTTGAGAGTTCAGGTTCGAAACACTCTTTCTGTAGAATCTGCAAGTGGATATTTGGACCAATGGCTGGCCTTCGTTCGAAACGGGTATATGTTCACGTAAAAACTAAAGAGAAGCGTTCTCAGAAACTTCTGAGTGATGATTGCATTCAAGTCACACAGTTGAACCCTCCTTTTGATTGAGCAGTTTTGAAACTGTCTTTTTGTAGAATCTGTAAGTGGATGCGTGGACCTCTTTGAAGATTTCTTTGGAAACGGGAATATTTCCACAGAAAAACTAAACTGAAGCATTCTCAGAAACTGCTTTGTGATGTTTGTGTTCAAGCCACAGAGTTTAACATTGCTTTTCATAGAGCAGTTTTGAAATATTCTTTTGGCAGAATCTGCAAGTGGACATTTGGAGCGCTTTCAGGCCTGTGGTGGAAAAGGCCTGAAAGCCTTTTCCTTTATCTTCACAGAAAGACGAGAGAGAAGCATTGTCAGAAACTTCTTTGTGATGATTGCATTCAACTCACAGAGTTGAAGATTCCTTTTGAAACAGCAGTTTCGAAACACTCTTTCTGTGGGATCCGCAAGGGGATATTTGGACCTCTTTGAAGATTTCGTTGGAAACGGGATAATCTTCACCTAAAAGCTAAACGGAAGCATTCTCAGAAACTTCTTTGGGATGTTTGCATTCACCTCACAGAGTTGAACTTTCCCTTTGATAGCGCAGCTTCGACACACTTTTTCTACAATGCGCAAGTGGATATTTAGCGGGCTTGGAGGACTGTGTTGGAAAAGGAAATATCTTCTCCTAAAAACGACATAGAAGGATTCTCAGAAACTGCTCTGTGATGATTGCATTCAACTCCCAGAGTTGAACATTCCTTTTGATAGAGCAGTTTGCAAACACTCTTTTTGTAGAATCTGCAAGTGGAGATTTGGACCGCTTTGAGGCCTGTGGTAGTAAAGGAAAGAACTTCATATAAAAAGTAGATGGTAGCACTCTCAGAAAATTCTTTGTGACGATGGAGTTTAACTCAGAGAGCTGAACATTCGTTATGATGGAGCAGTTTCCAAACACACGTTTTGCAGAATCTGCAAGGGGATATTTGGACCTCTCTGAGGATTTCGTTGGAAACGGGATCAACTTCCCATAACTGAACGGAAGCAAACTCAGAACATTCTTTGTGATGTTTGTATTCAACTCACAGAGTTGAACCTTCCTTTGATAGTTCAGGTTTGCAACACCCTTGTAGTAGAATCTGCAAGTGTATATTTTGACCACTTTGTAGCCTTCGTTTGAAACGTCTATATCTTCACATCAAACCTAGAAAGAAGCATTCTCAGAAAGTTTGCTGTGATGACTGCATTCAACTCACAGAGTTGAACAATCCTTTTGATGGAGCAGTTTTGAAACCATCTTTCTTTGGAATCTGCAAGGGGATATGTGGACCTCTTTGAAGAATTCACTGGAAACGGGATCATCTTCACATAAAAACTAAACAGAAGCATTCTCGGAAACTATTTTGTGATGTTTGTATTCAACTCCCAGAGTTGAACTTTCCTTTTGAAAGAGCAGCTATGAAACACTCTTTTTCGAGAATCTGCAAGTGGACGTTTGGAGGGCTTTGAGGCCTGTGGTGGAAAAGGAAATATCTTCACACAAAAACCAGATAGAAGCATTCTCAGAAACGACTTTGTGAGGATGGCATTCAACTCATGGAGTTGAACAATCCTATTGATACAGCAGATTGGAATCACTCTTTTTGTAGAATCTGCAAATGGAGATTTGGACTGCTTTGAGGCCTACGGTAGTACAGGAAGGAACATCATATAAAAGGCAAACGGAAGCATTCTCAGAATATTCTTTGTGATGATGGAGTTTCACTCACAGAGCTGAACATGCCTTTTGATGGAGCAGTTTCCAAATACACTTTTGGTAGAATCTGCAGGTGGATATTTGGAGCTCTCTGAGGATTTCGTTGGAAACGGGAATAATTTCCCATAACTAAACACAAACACGCTGAGAAAGTTCTTCATGATGAATGCATTGAACTCGCAGAGATGAACCTGCCTTTGAGAGTTCAGGTTCGAAACACTCTTTCTGTAGAATCTGCAAGTGGATATTTGGACCACTGGCTGGCCTTCTTTCGAAACGGGTATATGTTCACGTAAAAACTAAAGAGAAGCGTTCTCAGAAACTTCTGAGTGATGATTGCATTCAAGTCACACAGTTGAACCCTCCTTTTGATTGAGCAGTTTTGAAACTGTCTTTTTGTAGAATCTGTAAGTGGATGCGTGGACCTCTTTGAAGATTTCTTTGGAAACGGGAATATTTCCACAGAAAAACTAAACTGAAGCATTCTCAGAAACGGCTTTGTGATGTTTGTGTTCGAGCCACAGAGTTTAACATTGCTTTTCGTAGAGCAGTTTTGAAATATTCTTTTGGCAGAATCTGCAAGTGGACATTTGGAGCACGTTCAGGCCTGTGGTGGAAAAGGCCTGAAAGCCTTTTCCTTTATCTTCACAGAAAGACGAGAGAGAAGCATTGTCAGAAACTTCTTTGTGATGATTGCATTCAACTCACAGAGTTGAAGATTCCTTTTGAAACAGCAGTTTCGAAACACTCTTTCTGTGGGATCCGCAAGGGGATATTTGGACCTCTTTGAAGGTTTCGTTGGAAACGGGATAATCTTCACCTAAAAGCTAAACGGAAGCACTCTCAGAAACTTCTTTGGGATGTTTGCATTCACCTCTCAGAGTTGAACTTTCCCTTTGATAGCGCAGCTCTGACACACTTTTTCTACAATGTGCAAGTGGCTATTTAGCGGGCTTGGAGGACTGTGTTGGAAAAGGAAATATCTTCTCCTAAAAACGACATAGAAGCATTCTCAGAAACTGCTCTGTGATGATTGCATTCAACTCCCAGAGTTGAACATTCCTTTTGATAGAGCAGTTTGCAAACACTCTTTTTGTAGAATCTGCAAGTGGAGATTTGGACCGCTTTGAGGCCTGTGGTAGTGAAGGAAAGAACTTCATATAAAAACCAGACGGTAGCACTCTCAGAAAATTCTTTGTGACGATGGAGTTTAACTCAGGGAGCTGAACATTCGTTATGATGGAGCAGTTTCCAAACACAAGTTTTGTAGAATCTGTGAGGGGATATTTGGACCTCTCTGAGGATTTCGTTGGAAACGGGATCAACTTCCCATAACTGAACGGAAGCAAACTCAGAACATTCTTTGTGATGTTTGTATTCAACTCACAGAGTTGAACCTTCCTTTGATAGTTCAGGTTTGCAACACCCTTGTAGTAGAATCTGCAAGTGTATATTTTGACCACTTTGTAGCCTTCGTTTGAAACGTCTATATCTTCACATCAAACCTAGAAAGAAGCATTCTCAGAAAGTTTTCTGCGATGACTGCATTCAACTCACAGAGTTGAACAATCCTTCTGATGGAGCAGTTTTGAAACCCTCTTTCTTTGGAATCTGCAAGGGGATATGTGGACCTCTTTGATGATTTCACTGGAAACGGGGTCATCTTCACATAAAAACTAAACAGAAGCATTCTCGGAAACTATTTTGTGATGTTTGTATTCAACTCCCAGAGTTGAACTTTCCTTTTGAAAGAGCAGCTATGAAACACTCTTTTTCGAGAATCTGCAAGTGGACGTTTGGAGGGCTTTGAGGCCTGTGGTGGAAAAGGAAATATCTTCACACAAAAACCAGATAGAAGCATTCTCAGAAACTACTTTGTGAGGATGGCATTCAACTCATGGAGTTGAACAATCCTATTGATAGAGCAGATTGGAATCACTCTTTTTGTAGAATCTGCAAATGGAGATTTGGACTGCTTTGAGGCCTACAGTAGTACAGGAAGGAACTTCATATAAAAGGCAAACGGAAGCATTCTCAGAATATTCTTTGTGATGATGGAGTTTCACTCACAGAGCTGAACATGCCTTTTGATGGAGCAGTTTCCAAATACACTTTTGGTAGAATCTGCAGGTGGATATTTGGAGCTCTCTGAGGATTTCGTTGGAAACGGGAATAATTTCCCATAACTAAACACAAACACTCTGAGAAAGTTCTTCATGATGAATGCATTTAACTCGCAGAGATGAACCTGCCTTTGAGAGTTCAGGTTCGAAACACTCTTTCTGTAGAATCTGCAAGTGGATATTTGGACCACTGGCTGGCCTTCGTTCGAAACGGGTATATGTTCACGTAAAAACTAAAGAGAAGCATTCTCAGAAACTTCTGAGTGATGATTGCATTCAAGTCACACAGTTGAACCCTCCTTTTGATGGAGCAGTTTTGAAACTGTCTTTTTGTAGAATCTGTAAGTGGATACGTGGACCTCTTTGAAGATTTCTTTGGAAACGGGAATATTTCCACAGAAAAACTAAACTGAAGCATTCTCAGAAACCGCTTTTTGATGTTTGTGTTCGAGCCACAGAGTTTAACATTGCTTTTCATAGAGCAGTTTTGAAATATTCTTTTCGCAGAATCTGCAAGTGGACATTTGGAGCGCTTTCAGGCCTGTGGTGGAAAAGGCCTGAAAGCCTTTTCCTTTATCTTCACAGAAAGACGAGAGAGAAGCATTGTCAGAAACTTCTTTGTGATGATTGCATTCAACTCACAGAGTTGAAGATTCCTTTTGAAACAGCAGTTTCGAAACACTCTTTCTGTGGGATCCGCAAGGGGATATTTGGACCTCTTTGAAGGTTTCGTTGGAAACGGGATAATCTTCACCTAAAAGCTAAACGGAAGCATTCTCAGAAACTTCTTTGGGATGTTTGCATTCACCTCACAGAGTTGAACTTTCCCTTTGATAGCGCAGCTTTGACACACTTTTTCTACAATGTGCAAGTGGCTATTTAGCGGGCTTGGAGGACTGTGTTGGAAAAGGAAATATCTTCTCCTAAAAACGACATAGAAGCATTCTCAGAAACTGCTCTGTGATGATTGCATTCAACTCCCAGAGTTGAACATTCCTTTTGATAGAGCAGTTTGCAAACACTCTTTTTGTAGAATCTGCAAGTGGAGATTTGGACCGCTTTGAGGCCTGTGGTAGTGAAGGAAAGAACTTCATATAAAAAACAGACGGTAGCACTCTCAGAAAATTCTTTGTGACGATGGAGTTTAACTCAGGGAGCTGAACATTCGTTATGATGGAGCAGTTTCCAAACACACGTTTTGTAGAATCTGCAAGGGGATATTTGGACCTCTCTGAGGATTTCGTTGGAAACGGGATCAACTTCCCATAACTGAACGGAAGCAAACTCAGAACATTCTTTGTGATGTTTGTATTCAACTCACAGAGTTGAACCTTCCTTTGATAGTTCAGGTTTGCAACACCCTTGTAGTAGAATCTGCAAGTGTATATTTTGACCACTTTGTAGCCTTCGTTTGAAACGTCTATATCTTCACATCAAACCTAGACAGAAGCATTCTCAGAAAGTTTTCTGCGATGACTGCATTCAACTCACAGAGTTGAACAATCCTTCTGATGGAGCAGTTTTGAAACCCTCTTTCTTTGGAATCTGCAAGGGGATATGTGGACCTCTTTGAAGATTTCACTGGAAACGGGATCATCTTCACATAAAAACTAAACAGAAGCATTCTCGGAAACTACTTTGTGATGTTTGTATTCAACTGCCAGAGTTGAACTTTCCTTTTGAAAGAGCAGCTATGAAACACTCTTTTTCGAGAATCTGCAAGTGGACGTTTGGAGGGCTTTGAGGCCTGTGGTGGAAAAGGAAATATCTTCACACAAAAACCAGATAGAAGCATTCTCAGAAACTGCTTTGTGAGGATGGCATTCAACTCATGGAGTTGAACAATCCTATTGATAGAGCAGATTGGAATCACTCTTTTTGTAGAATCTGCAAATGGAGATTTGGACTGCTTTGAGGCCTACGGTAGTACAGGAAGGAACTTCATATAAAAGGCAAACGGAAGCATTCTCAGAATATTCTTTGTGATGATGGAGTTTCACTCACAGAGCTGAACATGCCTTTTGATGGAGCAGTTTCCAAATACACTTTTGGTAGAATCTGCAGGTGGATATTTGGAGCTCTCTGAGGATTTCGTTGGAAAGGGGAATAATTTCCCATAACTAAACACAAACACTCTGAGAAAGTTCTTCATGATGAATGCATTTAACTCGCAGAGATGAACCTGCCTTTGAGAGTTCAGGTTCGAAACACTCTTTCTGTATAATCTGCAAGTGGATATTTGGACCACTGGGTGGCCTTCGTTCGAAACGGGTATATGTTCACGTAAAAACTAAAGAGAAGCATTCTCAGAAATTTCTGAGTGATGATTGCATTCAAGTCACACGGTTGAACCCTCCTTTTGATGGAGCAGTTTGAAACTGTCTTTTTGTAGAATCTGTAAGTGGATACGTGGACCTCTTTGAAGATTTCTTTCGAAACGGGAATATTTCCACAGAAAAACTAAACTGAAGCATTCTCAGAAACCGCTTTGTGATGTTTGTGTTCGAGCCACAGAGTTTAACATTGCTTTTCATAGAGCAGTTTTGAAATATTCTTTTCGCAGAATCTGCAAGTGGACATTTGGAGCGCTTTCAGGCCTGTGGTGGCAAAGGCCTGAAAGCCTTTTCCTTTATCTTCACAGAAAGACGAGAGAGAAGCATTGTCAGAAACTTCTTTGTGATGATTGCATTCAACTCACAGAGTTGAAGATTCCTTTTGAAACAGCAGTTTCGAAACACTCTTTCTGTGGGATCCGCAAGGGGATATTTGGACCTCTTTGAAGGTTTCGTTGGAAACGGGATAATCTTCACCTAAAAGCTAAACGGAAGCATTCTCAGAAACTTCTTTGGGATGTTTGCATTCACCTCACAGAGTTGAACTTTCCCTTTGATAGCGCAGCTTTGACACACTTTTTCTACAATGTGCAAGTGGATATTTAGCGGGCTTGGAGGACTGTGTTGGAAAAGGAAATATCTTCTAAAAACGACATAGAAGCATTCTCAGAAACTGCTCTGTGATGATTGCATTCAACTCCCAGAGTTGAACATTCCTTTTGATAGAGCAGTTTGCAAACACTCTTTTTGTAGAATCTGGAAGTGGAGATTTGGACCGCTTTGAGGCCTGGGGTAGTGAAGGAAAGAGCTTCATATAAAAACCAGACGGTAGCACTCTCAGAAAATTCTTTGTGACGATGGAGTTTAACTCAGGGAGCTGAACATTCGTTATGATGGAGCAGTTTCCAAACACACGTTTTGTAGAATCTGCAAGGGGATATTTGGACCTCTCTGAGGATTTCGTTGGAAACGGGATCAACTTCCCATAACTGAACGGAAGCAAACTCAGAACATTCTTTGTGATGTTTGTATTCAACTCACAGAGTTGAACCTTCCTTTGATAGTTCAGGTTTGCAACACCCTTGTAGTAGAATCTGCAAGTGTATATTTTGACCACTTTGTAGCCTTCGTTTGAAACGTCTATATCTTCACATCAAACCTAGACAGAAGCATTCTCAGAAAGTTTTCTGCGATGACTGCATTCAACTCACAGAGTTGAACAATCCTTCTGATGGAGCAGTTTTGAAACCCTCTTTCTTTGGAATCTGCAAGGGGATATGTGGACCTCTTTGAAGATTTCACTGGAAACCGGATCATCTTCACATAAAAACTAAACAGAAGCATTCTCGGAAACTACTTTGGGATGTTTGTATTCAACTCCCAGAGTTGAACTTTCCTTTTGAAAGAGCAGCTATGAAACACTCTTTTTCGAGAATCTGCAAGTGGACGTTTGGAGGGCTTTGAGGCCTGTGGTGGAAAAGGAAATATCTTCACATAAAAACTAGATAGAAGCATTCTCAGAAACTACTTTGTGAGGATGGCATTCAACTCATGGAGTTGAACAATCCTATTGATAGAGCAGATTGGAATCACTCTTTTTGTAGAATCTGCAAATGGAGATTTGGACTGCTTTGAGGCCTATGGTAGTATAGGAAGGAACTTCATATAAAAGGCAAACGGAAGCATTCTCAGAATATTCTTTGTGATGATGGAGTTTCACTCACAGAGCTGAACATGCCTTTTGATGGAGCAGTTTCCAAATACACTTTTGGTAGAATCTGCAGGTGGATATTTGGAGCTCTCTGAGGATTTCGTTGGAAACGGGAATAATTTCCCATAACTAAACACAAACACTCTGAGAAAGTTCTTCATGATGAATGCATTTAACTCGCAGAGATGAACCTGCCTTTGAGAGTTCAGGTTCGAAACACTCTTTCTGTAGAATCTGCAAGTGGATATTTGGACCACTGGGTGGCCTTCGTTCGAAACGGGTATATGTTCACGTAAAAACTAAAGAGAAGCATTCTCAGAAACTTCTGAGTGATGATTGCATTCAAGTCACACAGTTGAACCCTCCTTTTGATGGAGCAGTTTTGAAACTGTCTTTTTGTAGAATCTGTAAGTGGATACGTGGACCTCTTTGAAGATTTCTTTGGAAACGGGAATATTTCCACAGAAAAACTAAACTGAAACATTCTCAGAAACCGCTTTGTGATGTTTGTGTTCCAGCCACAGAGTTTAACATTGCTTTTCATAGAGCAGTTTTGAAATATTCTTTTCGCAGAATCTGCAAGTGGACATTTGGAGTGCTTTCAGGCCTGTGGTGGAACAGGCCTGAAAGCCTTTTCCTTTATCTTCACAGAAAGACGAGAGAGAAGCATTGTCAGAAACTTCTTTGTGATGATTGCATTCAACTCACAGAGTTGAAGATTCCTTTTGAAACAGCAGTTTCGAAACACTCTTTCTGTGGGATCCGCAAGGGGATATTTGGACCTCTTTGAAGGTTTCGTTGGAAACGGGATAATCTTCACCTAAAAGCTAAACGGAAGCATTCTCAGAAACTTCTTTGGGATGTTTGCATTCACCTCACAGAGTTGAACTTTCCCTTTGATAGCGCAGCTTCGACACACTTTTTCTACAATGTGCAAGTGGCTATTTAGCGGGCTTGGAGGACTGTGTTGGAAAAGGAAATATCTTCTCCTAAAAACGACATAGAAGCATTCTCAGAAACTGCTCTGTGATGATTGCATTCAACTCCCAGAGTTGAACATTCCTTTTGATAGAGCAGTTTGCAAACACTCTTTTTGTAGAATCTGCAAGTGGGGATTTGGACCGCTTTGAGGCCTGTGGTAGTGAAGGAAAGAACTTCATATAAAAACCAGACGGTAGCACTCTCAGAAAATTCTTTGTGACGATGGAGTTTAACTCAGGGAGCTGAACATTCGTTATGATGGAGCAGTTTCCAAACAAACGTTTTGTAGAATCTGCGAGGGGATATTTGGACCTCTCTGAGGATTTCGTTGGAAACGGGATCAACTTCCCATAACTGAACGGAAGCAAACTCAGAACATTCTTTGTGATGTTTGTATTCAACTCACAGAGTTGAACCTTCCTTTGATAGTTCAGGTTTCCAACACCCTTGTAGTAGAATCTGCAAGTGTATATTTTGACCACGTTGTAGCCTTCGTTTGAAACGTCTATATCTTCACATCAAACCTAGACAGAAGCATTCTCAGAAAGTTTTCTGCGATGACTGCATTCAACACACAGAGTTGAACAATCCTTTTGATGGAGCAGTTTTGAAACCCTCTTTCTTTGGAATCTGCAAGGGGATATGTGGACCTCTTTGAAGATTTCACTGGAAACGGGATCATCTTCACATAAAAACTAAACAGAAGCATTCTCGGAAACTATTTTGTGATGTTTGTATTCAACTCCCAGAGTTGAACTTTCCTTTTGAAAGAGAAGCTATGAAACACTCTTTTTCGAGAATCTGCAAGTGGACGTTTGGGGGGCTTTGAGGCCTGTGGTGGAAAAGGAAATATCTTCACACAAAAACCAGATAGAAGCATTCTCAGAAACTACTTTGTGAGGATGGCATTCAACTCATGGAGTTGAACAATCCTATTGATAGAGAAGATTGGAATCACTCTTTTTGTAGAATCTGCAAATGGAGATTTGGACTGCTTTGAGGCCTACGGTAGTACAGGAAGGAAGTTCATATAAAAGGCAAACGGAAGCATTCTCAGAATATTCTTTGTGATGATGGAGTTTCACTCACAGAGCTGAACATGCCTTTTGATGGAGCAGTTTCCAAATACACTTTTGGTAGAATCTGCAGGTGGATATTTGGAGCTCTCTGAGGATTTCGTTGGAAACGGGAATAATTTCCCATAACTAAACACAAACACGCTGAGAAAGTTCTTCATGATGAATGCATTTAACTCGCAGAGATGAACCTGCCTTTGAGAGTTCAGGTTCGAAACACTCCTTCTGTAGAATCTGCAAGTGGATATTTGGACCACTGGCTGGCCTTCGTTCGAAACGGGTATATGTTCACGTAAAAACTAAAGAGAAGCATTCTCAGAAACTTCTGAGTGATGATTGCATTCAAGTCACACAGTTGAACCCTCCTTTTGATGGAGCAGTTTTGAAACTGTCTTTTTGTAGAATCTGTAAGTGGATACGTGGACCTCTTTGAAGATTTCTTTGGAAACGGGAATATTTCCACAGAAAAACTAAACTGAAGCATTCTCAGAAACCGCTTTGTGATGTTTGTGTTCGAGCCACAGAGTTTAACATTGCTTTTCACAAAGCAGTTTTGAAATATTCTTTTCGCAGAATCTGCAAGTGGACATTTGGAGCGCTTTCAGGCCTGTGGTGGCAAAGGCCTGAAAGCATTTATTTATCTTCACAGAAAGACGAGAGAGAAGCATTGTCAGAAACTTCTTTGTGATGATTGCATTCAACTCACAGAGTTGAAGATTCCTTTTGAAACAGCAGTTTCGAAACACTCTTTCTGTGGGATCCGCAAGGGGATATTTGGACTTCTTTGAAGGTTTCGTTGGAAACGGGATAATCTTCACCTAAAAGCTAAACGGAAGCATTCTCAGAAACTTCTTTAGGATGTTTGCATTCACCTCACAGAGTTGAACTTTCCCTTTGATAGCGCAGCTTTGACACACTTTTTCTACAATGTGCAAGTGGCTATTTAGCGGGCTTGGAGGACTGTGTTGGAAAAGGAAATATCTTCTCCTAAAAACGACATAGAAGCATTCTCAGAAACTGCTCTGTGATGATTGCATTCAACTCCCAGAGTTGAACATTCCTTTTGATAGAGCAGTTTGCAAACACTCTTTTTGTAGAATCTGCAAGTGGAGATTTGGACCGCTTTGAGGCCTGTGGTAGTGAAGGAAAGAACTTCATATAAAAACCAGACGGTAGCACTCTCAGAAAATTCTTTGTGACGATGGAGTTTAACTCAGGGAGCTGAACATTCGTTATGATGGAGCAGTTTCCAAACACACGTTTTGTAGAATCTGCAAGGGGATATTTGGACCTCTCTGAGGATTTCGTTGGAAACGGGATCAACTTCCCATAACTGAACGGAAGCAAACTCAGAACATTCTTTGTGATGTTTGTATTCAACTCACAGAGTTGAACCTTCCTTTGATAGTTCAGGTTTGCAACACCCTTGTAGTAGAATCTGCAAGTGTATATTTTGACCACTTTGTAGCCTTCGTTTGAAACGTCTATATCTTCACATCAAACCTAGACAGAAGCATTCTCAGAAAGTTTTCTGCGATGACTGCATTCAACTCACAGAGTTGAACAATCCTTCTGATGGAGCAGTTTTGAAACCCTCTTTCTTTGGAATCTGCAAGGGGATATGTGGACCTCTTTGAAGATTTCACTGGAAACGGGATCATCTTCACATAAAAACTAAACAGAAGCATTCTCGGAAACTATTTTGTGATGTTTGTATTCAACTCCCAGAGTTGAACTTTCCTTTTGAAAGAGTAGCTATGAAACACTCTTTTTCGAGAAACTGCAAGTGGACGTTTGGAGGGCTTTGAGGCCTGTGGTGGAAAAGGAAATATCTTCACACAAAAACCAGATAGAAGCATTCTCAGAAACGACTTTGTGAGGATGGCATTCAACTCATGGAGTTGAACAATCCTATTGATAGAGCAGATTGGAATCACTCTTTTTGTAGAATCTGCAAATGGAGATTTGGACTGCTTTGAGGCCTACGGTCGTATAGGAAGGAACTTCATATAAAAGGCAAACGGAAGCATTCTCAGAATATTCTTTGTGATGATGGAGTTTCACTCACAGAGCTGAACATGCCTTTTGATGGAGCAGTTTCCAAATACACTTTTTGTAGAATCTGCAGGTGGATATTTGGAGCTCTCTGAGGATTTCTTTGGAAACGGGAATAATTTCCCATAACTAAACACACACTCTGAGAAAGTTCTTCATGATGAATGCATTTAACTCGCAGAGATGAACCTGCCTTTGAGAGTTCAGGTTCGAAACACTCTTTCTGTAGAATCTGCAAGTGGATATTTGGACCACTGGGTGGCCTTCGTTCGAAACGGGTATATGTTCACGTAAAAACTAAAGAGAAGCATTCTCAGAAACTTCTGAGTGATGATTGCATTCAAGTCACACAGTTGAACCCTCCTTTTGATGGAGCAGTTTTGAAACTGTCTTTTTGTAGAATCTGTAAGTGGATACGTGGACCTCTTTGAAGATTTCTTTGGAAACGGGAATATTTCCACAGAAAAACTAAACTGAAGCATTCTCAGAAACCGCTTTGTGATGTTTGTGTTCGAGCCACAGAGTTTAACATTGCTTTTCATAGAGCAGTTTTGAAATATTCTTTTCGCAGAATCTGCAAGTGGACATTTGGAGCGCTTTCAGGCCTGTGGTGGAAAAGGCCTGAAAGCCTTTTCCTTTATCTTCACAGAAAGACGAGAGAGAAGCATTGTCAGAAACTTCTTTGTGATGATTGCATTCAACTCACAGAGTTGAAGATTCCTTTTGAAACAGCAGTTTCGAAACACTCTTTCTGTGGGATCCGCAAGGGGATATTTGGACCTCTTTGAAGGTTTCGTTGGAAACGGGATAATCTTCACCTAAAAGCTAAACGGAAGCATTCTCAGAAACTTCTTTGGGATGTTTGCATTCACCTCACAGAGCTGAACTTTCCCTTTGATAGCGCAGCTTTGACACACTTTTTCTACAATGTGCAAGTGGCTATTTAGCGGGCTTGGAGGACTGTGTTGGAAAAGGAAATATCTTCTCCTAAAAACGACATAGAAGCATTCTCAGAAACTGCTCTGTGATGATTGCATTCAACTCCCAGAGTTGAACATTCCTTTTGATAGAGCAGTTTGCAAACACTCTTTTTGTAGAATCTGCAAGTGGAGATTTGGACCGCTTTGAGGCCTGTGGTAGTGAAGGAAAGAACTTCATATAAAAACCAGACGGTAGCACTCTCAGAAAATTCTTTGTGACGATGGAGTTTAACTCAGGGAGCTGAACATTCGTTATGATGGAGCAGTTTCCAAACACACGTATTGTAGAATCTGCGAGGGGATATTTGGACCTCTCTGAGGATTTCGTTGGAAACGGGATCAACTTCCCATAACTGAACGGAAGCAAACTCAGAACATTCTTTGTGATGTTTGTATTCAACTCACAGAGTTGAACCTTCCTTTGATAGTTCAGGTTTGCAACACCCTTGTAGTAGAATCTGCAAGTGTATATTTTGACCACTTTGTAGCCTTCGTTTGAAACGTCTATATCTTCACATCAAACCTAGACAGAAGCATTCTCAGAAAGTTTTCTGCGATGACTGCATTCAACTCACAGAGTTGAACAATCCTTCTGATGGAGCAGTTTTGAAACCCTCTTTCTTTGGAATCTGCAAGGGGATATGTGGACCTCTTTGAAGATTTCACTGGAAACGGGATCATCTTCACATAAAAACTAAACAGAAGCATTCTCGGAAACTACTTTGTGATGTTTGTATTCAACTCCCAGAGTTGAACTTTCCTTTTGAAAGAGCAGCTATGAAACACTCTTTTTCGAGAATCTGCAAGTGGACGTTTGGAGGGCTTTGAGGCCTGTGGTGGAAAAGGAAATATCTTCACATAAAAACTAGATAGAAGCATTCTCAGAAACGACTTTGTGAGGATGGCATTCAACTCATGGAGTTGAACAATCCTATTGATAGAGCAGATTGGAATCACTCTTTTTGTAGAATCTGCAAATGGAGATTTGGACTGCTTTGAGGCCTACGGTCGTATAGGAAGGAACTTCATATAAAAGGCAAACGGAAGCATTCTCAGAATATTCTTTGTGATGATGGAGTTTCACTCACAGAGCTGAACATGCCTGTTGATGGAGCAGTTTCCAAATACACTTTTGGTAGAATCTGCAGGTGGACATTTGGACCTCTCTGAGGATTTCGTTGGGAACGGGAATAATTTCCCATAACTAAACACAAACACGCTGAGAAAGTTCTTCATGATGAATGCATTTAACGCGCAGAGATGAACCTGCCTTTGAGAGTTCAGGTTCGAAACACTCTTTCTGTAGAATCTGCAAGTGGATATTTGGACCACTGGCTGGCCTTCGTTCGAAACGGGTATATGTTCACGTAAAAACTAAAGAGAAGCATTCTCAGAAACTTCTGAGTGATGATTGCATTCAAGTCACACGGTTGAACCCTCCTTTTGATGGAGCAGTTTTGAAACTGTCTTTTTGTAGAATCTGTAAGTGGATACGTGGACCTCTTTGAAGATTTCTTTGGAAACGGGAATATTTCCACAGAAAAACTAAACTGAAGCATTCTCAGAAACCTCTTTGTGATGTTTGTGTTCGAGCCACAGAGTTTAACATTGCTTTTCATAGAGCAGTTTTGAAATATTCTTTTCGCAGAATCTGCAAGTGGACACTTGGAGCGCTTTCAGGCCTGTGGTGGCAAAGGCCTGAAAGCCTTTTCCTTTATCTTCACAGAAAGACGAGAGAGAAGCATTGTCAGAAACTTCTTTGTGATGATTGCATTCAACTCACAGAGTTGAAGATTCCTTTTGAAACAGCAGTTTCGAAACACTCTTTCTGTGGGATCCGCAAGGGGATATTTGGACCTCTTTGAAGGTTTCGTTGGAAACGGGATAATCTTCACCTAAAAGCTAAACGGAAGCATTCTCAGAAACTTCTTTGGGATGTTTGCATTCACCTCACAGAGTTGAACTTTCCCTTTGATAGCGCAGCTTTGACACACTTTTTCTACAATGTGCAAGTGGCTATTTAGCGGGCTTGGAGGACTGTGTTGGAAAAGGAAATATCTTCTCCTAAAAACGACATAGAAGCATTCTCAGAAACTGCTCTGTGATGATTGCATTCAACTCCCAGAGTTGAACATTCCTTTTGATAGAGCAGTTTGCAAACACTCTTTTTGTAGAATCTGCAAGTGGAGATTTGGACCGCTTTGAGGACTGGGGTAGTAAAGGAAAGAGCTTCATATAAAAACCAGACGGTAGCACTCTCAGAAAATTCTTTGTGACGATGGAGTTTAACTCAGGGAGCTGAACATTCGTTATGATGGAGCAGTTTCCAAACACACGTTTTGTAGAATCTGCAAGGGGATATTTGGACCTCTCTGAGGATTTCGCTGGAAACGGGATCAACTTCCCATAACTGAACGGAAGCAAACTCAGAACATTCTTTGTGATGTTTGTATTCAATTCACAGAGTTGAACCTTCCTTTGATAGTTCAGGTTTGCAACACCCTTGTAGTAGAATCTGCAAGTGTATATTTTGACCACTTTGTAGCCTTCGTTTGAAACGTCTATATCTTCACATCAAACCTAGACAGAAGCATTCTCAGAAAGTTTTCTGCGATGACTGCATTCAACTCACAGAGTTGAACAATCCTTCTGATGGAGCAGTTTTGAAACCCTCTTTCTTTGGAATCTGCAAGGGGATATGTGGACCTCTTTGAAGATTTCACTGGAAACGGGATCATCTTCACATAAAAACTAAACAGAAGCATTCTCGGAAACTATTTTGTGATGTTTGTATTCAACTCCCAGAGTTGAACTTTCCTTTTGAAAGAGCAGCTATAAAACACTCTTTTTCGAGAATCTGCAAGTGGACGTTTGGAGGGCTTTGAGGCCTGTGGTGGAAAAGGAAATATCTTCACACAAAAACCAGATAGAAGCATTCTCAGAAACGACTTTGTGAGGATGGCATTCAACTCATGGAGTTGAACAATCCTATTGATAGAGCAGATTGGAATCACTCTTTTTGTAGAATCTGCAAATGGAGATTTGGACTGCTTTGAGGCCTACGGTAGTATAGGAAGGAACTTCATATAAAAGGCAAACGGAAGCATTCTCAGAATATTCTTTGTGATGATGGAGTTTGACTCACAGAGCTGAACATGCCTTTTGATGGAGCAGTTTCCAAATACACTTTTGGTAGAATCTGCAGGTGGATATTTGGACCTCTCTGAGGATTTCGTTGGAAACGGGAATAATTTCCCATACCTAAACACAAACACTCTGAGAAAGTTCTTCATGATGAATGCATTGAACTCGCAGAGATGAACCTGCCTTTGAGAGTTCAGATTCGAAACACTCTTTCTGTAGAATCTGCAAGTGGATATTTGGACCACTGGGTGGCCTTCGTTCAAATCGGGTATATGTTCACGTAAAAACTAAAGAGAAGCATTCTCAGAAACTTCTGCGTGATGATTGCATTCAAGTCACACGTTTGAACCCTCCTTTTGATTGAGCAGTTTTGAAACTGTCTTTTTGTAGAATCTGTAAGTGGATACGTGGACCTCTTTGAAGATTTCTTTGGAAACGGGAATATTTCCACAGAAAAACTAAACTGAAGCATTCTCAGAAACTGCTTTGTGATGTTTGTGTTCGAGCCGCAGAGTTTAACATTGCTTTTCATAAAGCAGTTTTGAAATATTCTTTTGGCAGAATCTGCAAGTGGACATTTGGAGCGCTTTCAGGCCTGTGGTGGAAAAGGCCTGAAAGCCTTTTCCTTTATCTTCACAGAAAGACGAGAGAGAAGCATTGTCAGAAACTTCTTTGTGATGATTGCATTCAACTCACAGAGTTGAAGATTCCTTTTGAAACAGCAGTTTCGAAACACTCTTTCTGTGGGATCCGCAAGGGGATATTTGGACCTCTTTGAAGATTTCGTTGGAAACGGGATAATCTTCACCTAAAAGCTAAACGGAAGCATTCTCAGAAACTTCTTTGGGATGTTTGCATTCACCTCACAGAGTTGAACTTTCCCTTTGATAGCACAGCTTCGACACACTTTTTCTACAATGTGCAAGTGGATATTTAGCGGGCTTGGAGGACTGTGTTGGAAAAGGAAATATCTTCTCCTAAAAACGACATAGAAGCATTCTCAGAAACTGCTCTGTGATGATTGCATTCAACTCCCAGAGTTGAACATTCCTTTTGATAGAGCAGTTTGCAAACACTCTTTTTGTAGAATCTGCAAGTGGAGATTTGGACCGCTTTGAGGCCTGTGGTAGTAAAGGAAAGAACTTCATATAAAAACCAGACGGTAGCACTCTCAGAAAATTCTTTGTGACGATGGAGTTTAACTCAGAGAGCTGAACATTCGTTATGATGGAGCAGTTTCCAAACACACGTTTTGTAGAATCTGCAAGGGGATATTTGGACCTCTCTGAGGATTTCGTTGGAAACGGTATCAATTTCCCATAACTAAACGGAAGCAAACTCAGAACATTTTTTGTGATGGTTGCATTCATCTCACAGAGTTGAACCTTCCTTTGATAGTTGAGGTTTGCATCACCCTTGTAGTAGAATCTGCAAGTGTATATTTTGACCACTTTGTAGCCTTCGTTTGAAACGTCTATATCTTCACATCAAACCTAGACAGAAGCATTCTCAGAAAGTTTTCTGCGATGACTGCATTCAACTCACAGAGTTGAACAATCCTTTTGATGGAGCAGTTTTGAAACCCTCTTTCTTTGGAATCTGCAAGGGGATATGTGGGACCTCTTTGAAGATTTCACTGGAAACGGGATCATCTTCACATAAAAACTAAACAGAAGCATTCTCGGAAACTACTTTGTGATGTTTGTATTCAACTCCCAGAGTTGAACTTTCCTTTTGAAACAGCGGCTATGAAACACTCTTTTTCGAGAATCTGCAAGTGGACGTTTGGAGGGCTTTGAGGCCTGTGGTGGAAAAGGAAATATCTTCACATAAAAACTAGATAGAAGCATTCTCAGAAACGACTTTGTGAGGATGGCATTCAACTCATGGAGTTGAACAATCCTATTGATAGAGCAGATTGGAATCACTCTTTTGGTAGAATCTGCAAATGGAGATTTGGACTGCTTTGAGGCCTACGGTAGTATAGGAAGGAACTTCATATAAAAGGCAAACGGAAGCATTCTCAGAATATTCTTTGTGATGATGGAGTTTGACTCACAGAGCTGAACATGCCTTTTGATGGAGCAGTTTCCAAATACACTTTTGGTAGAATCTGCAGGTGGATATTTGGACCTCTCTGAGGATTTCGTTGGAAACGGGAATAATTTCCCATACCTAAACACAAACACTCTGAGAAAGTTCTTCATGATGAATGCATTGAACTCGCAGAGATGAACCTGCCTTTGAGAGTTCAGATTCGAAACACTCTTTCTGTAGAATCTGCAAGTGGATATTTGGACCACTGGGTGGCCTTCGTTCAAATCGGGTATATGTTCACGTAAAAACTAAAGAGAAGCATTCTCAGAAACTTCTGCGTGATGATTGCATTCAAGTCACACGTTTGAACCCTCCTTTTGATTGAGCAGTTTTGAAACTGTCTTTTTGTAGAATCTGTAAGTGGATACGTGGACCTCTTTGAAGATTTCTTTGGAAACGGGAATATTTCCACAGAAAAACTAAACTGAAGCATTCTCAGAAACTGCTTTGTGATGTTTGTGTTCGAGCCGCAGAGTTTAACATTGCTTTTCATAAAGCAGTTTTGAAATATTCTTTTGGCAGAATCTGCAAGTGGACATTTGGAGCGCTTTCAGGCCTGTGGTGGAAAAGGCCTGAAAGCCTTTTCCTTTATCTTCACAGAAAGACGAGAGAGAAGCATTGTCAGAAACTTCTTTGTGATGATTGCATTCAACTCACAGAGTTGAAGATTCCTTTTGAAACAGCAGTTTCGAAACACTCTTTCTGTGGGATCCGCAAGGGGATATTTGGACCTCTTTGAAGGTTTCGTTGGAAACGGGATAATCTTCACCTAAAAGCTAAACGGAAGCATTCTCAGAAACTTCTTTGGGATGTTTGCATTCACCTCACAGAGTTGAACTTTCCCTTTGATAGCGCAGCTTTGACACACTTTTTCTACAATGTGCAAGTGGCTATTTAGCGGGCTTGGAGGACTGTGTTGGAAAAGGAAATATCTTCTCCTAAAAACGACATAGAAGCATTCTCAGAAACTGCTCTGTGATGATTGCATTCAACTCCCAGAGTTGAACATTCCTTTTGATAGAGCAGTTTGCAAACACTCTTTTTGTAGAATCTGCAAGTGGAGATTTGGACCGCTTTGAGGCCTGTGGTAGTGAAGGAAAGAGCTTCATATAAAAACCAGACGGTAGCACTCTCAGAAAATTCTTTGTGACGATGGAGTTTAACTCAGGGAGCTGAACATTCGTTATGATGGAGCAGTTTCCAAACACACGTTTTGTAGAATCTGCAAGGGGATATTTGGACCTCTCTGAGGATTTCGTTGGAAACGGGATCAACTTCCCATAACTGAACGGAAGCAAACTCAGAACATTTTTTGTGATGTTTGTATTCAACTCACAGAGTTGAACCTTCCTTTGATAGTTCAGGTTTGCAACACCCTTGTAGTAGAATCTGCAAGTGTATATTTTGACCACTTTGTAGCCTTCGTTTGAAACGTCTATATCTTCACATCAAACCTAGACAGAAGCATTCTCAGAAAGTTTTCTGCGATGACTGCATTCAACTCACAGAGTTGAACAATCCTTCTGATGGAGCAGTTTTGAAACCCTCTTTCTTTGGAATCTGCAAGGGGATATGTGGACCTCTTTGAAGATTTCACTGGAAACGGGATCATCTTCACATAAAAACTAAACAGAAGCATTCTCGGAAACTACTTTGTGATGTTTGTATTCAACTCCCAGAGTTGAACTTTCCTTTTGAAAGAGCAGCTATGAAACACTCTTTTTCGAGAATCTGCAAGTGGACGTTTGGAGGGCTTTGAGGCCTGTGGTGGAAAAGGAAATATCTTCACATAAAAACTAGATAGAAGCATTCTCAGAAACTACTTTGTGAGGATGGCATTCAACTCATGGAGTTGAACAATCCTATTGATAGAGCAGATTGGAATCACTCTTTTTATAGAATCTGCAAATGGAGATTTGGACTGCTTTGAGGCCTACGGTAGTACAGGAAGGAACTTCATATAAAAGGCAAACGGGAAGCATTCTCAGAATATTCTTTGTGATGATGGAGTTTCACTCACAGAGCTGAACATGCCTTTTGATGGAGCAGTTTCCAAATACACTTTTGGTAGAATCTGCAGGTGGATATTTGGAGCTCTCTGAGGATTTCGTTGGAAACGGGAATAATTTCCCATAACTAAACACAAACACGCTGAGAAAGTTCTTCATGATGAATGCATTTAACTCGCAGAGATGAACCTGCCTTTTAGAGTTCAGGTTCGAAACACTCTTTCTGTAGAATCTGCAAGTGGATATTTGGACCACTGGCTGGCTTTCGTTCGAAACGGGTATATGTTCACGTAAAAACTAAAGAGAAGCGTTCTCAGAAACTTCTGAGTGATGATTGCATTCAAGTCACACAGTTGAACCCTCCTTTTGATTGAGCAGTTTTGAAACTGTCTTTTTGTAGAATCTGTAAGTGGATGCGTGGACCTCTTTGAAGATTTCTTTGGAAACGGGAATATTTCCACAGAAAAACTAAACTGAAGCATTCTCAGAAACTGCTTTGTGATGTTTGTGTTCGAGCCACAGAGTTTAACCTTGCTTTTCATAGAGCAGTTTTGAAATATTCTTTTGGCAGAATCTGCAAGTGGACAATTGGAGCGCTTTCAGGCCTGTGGTGGAAAAGGCCTGAAAGCCTTTTCCTTTATCTTCACAGAAAGACGAGAGAGAAGCATTGTCAGAAACTTCTTTGTGATGATTGCATTCAACTCACAGAGTTGAAGATTCCTTTTGAAACAGCAGTTTCGAAACACTCTTTCTGTGGGATCCGCAAGGGGATATTTGGACCTCTTTGAAGATTTCGTTGGAAACGGGATAATCTTCACCTAAAAGCTAAACGGAAGCATTCTCAGAAACTTCTTTGGGATGTTTGCATTCACCTCACAGAGTTGAACTTTCCCTTTGATAGCGCAGCTTTGACACACGTTTTCTACAATGTGCAAGTGGCTATTTAGCGGGCTTGGAGGACTGTGTTGGAAAAGGAAATATCTTCTCCTAAAAACGACATAGAAGCATTCTCAGAAACTGCTCTGTGATGATTGCATTCAACTCCCAGAGTTGAACATTCCTTTTGATAGAGCAGTTTGCAAACACTCTTTTTGTAGAATCTGGAAGTGGAGATTTGGACCGCTTTGAGGCCTATGGTAGTGAAGGAAAGAGCTTCATATAAAAACCAGACGGTAGCACTCTCAGAAAATTCTTTGTGACGATGGAGTTTAACTCAGGGAGCTGAACATTCGTTATGATGGAGCAGTTTCCGAACACACGTTTTGTAGAATCTGCAAGGGGATATTTGGACCTCTCTGAGGATTTCATTGGAAACGGGATCAACTTCCCATAACTGAACGGAAGCAAACTCAGAACATTCTTTGTGATGTTTGTATTCAACTCCCAGAGTTGAAATTTCCTTTTGAAAGAGCAGCTATGAAACACTCTTTTTCGAGAATCTGCAAGTGGACGTTTGGAGGGCTTTGAGGCCTGTGGTGGAAAAGGAAATATCTTCACATAAAAACTAGATAGAAGCATTCTCAGAAACTACTTTGTGAGGATGGCATTCAACTCATGGAGTTGAACAATCCTATTGATAGAGCAGATTGGAATCACTCTTTTTGTAGAATCTGCAAATGGAGATTTGGACTGCTTTGAGGCCTACGGTAGTATAGGAAGGAACTTCATATAAAAGGCAAACGGAAGCATTCTCAGAATATTCTTTGTGATGATGGAGTTTCACTCACAGAGCTGAACATGCCTTTTGATGGAGCAGTTTCCAAATACACTTTTGGTAGAATCTGCCGGTGGATATTTGGACCTCTCTGAGGATTTCGTTGGAAACGGGAATAATTTCCCATAACTAAACACAAACACTCTGAGAAAGTTCTTCATGATGAATGCATTGAACTCGCAGAGATGAACCTGCCTTTGAGAGTTCAGGTTCGAAACACTCTTTCTGTAGAATCTGCAAGTGGATATTTGGACCACTGGGTGGCCTTCGTTCGAAACGGGTATATGTTCACGTAAAAACTAAAGAGAAGCATTCTCAGAAACTTCTGAGTGATGATTGCATTCAAGTCACACGGTTGAACCCTCCTTTTGATGGAGCAGTTTTGAAACTGTCTTTTTGTAGAATCTGTAAGTGGATACGTGGACCTCTTTGAAGATTTCTTTGGAAACGGGAATATTTCCACAGAAAAACTAAACTGAAGCATTCTCAGAAACTGCTTTGTGATGTTTGTGTTCGAGCCACAGAGTTTAACATTGCTTTTCATAGAGCAGTTTTGAAATATTCTTTTGGCAGAATCTGCAAGTGGACATTTGGAGCGCTTTCAGGCCTGTGGTGGAAAAGGCCTGAAAGCCTTTTCCTTTATCTTCACAGGAAGACGAGAGAGAAGCATTGTCAGAAACTTCTTTTTGATGATTGCATTCAACTCACAGAGTTGAAGATTCCTTTTGAAACAGCAGTTTCGAAACACTCTTTCTGTGGGATCCGCAAGGGGATATTTGGACCTCTTTGAAGGTTTCGTTGGAAACGGGATAATCTTCACCTAAAAGCTAAACGGAAGCATTCTCAGAAACTTCTTTGGGATGTTTGCATTCACCTCACAGAGTTGAACTTTCCCTTTGATAGCGCAGCTTTGACACACTTTTTCTACAATGTGCAAGTGGCTATTTAGCGGGCTAGGAGGACTGTGTTGGAAAAGGAAATATCTTCTCCTAAAAACGACATAGAAGCATTCTCAGAAACTGCTCTGTGATGATTGCATTCAACTCCCAGAGTTGAACATTCCTTTTGATAGAGCAGTTTGCAAACACTCTTTTTGTAGAATCTGCAAGTGGAGATTTGGACCGCTTTGAGGCCTGTGGTAGTGAAGGAAAGAACTTCATATAAAAACCAGACGGTAGCACTCTCAGAAAATTCTTTGTGACGATGGAGTTTAACTCAGGGAGCTGAACATTCGTTATGATGGAGCAGTTTCCAAACACACGTTTTGTAGAATCTGCAAGGGGATATTTGGACCTCTCTGAGGATTTCGTTGGAAACGGGATCAACTTCCCATAACTGAACGGAAGCAAACTCAGAACATTCTTTGTGATGTTTGTATTCAACTCACAGAGTTGAACCTTCCTTTGATAGTTCAGGTTTGCAACACCCTTGTAGTAGAATCTGCAAGTGTATATTTTGACCACTTTGTAGCCTTCGTTTGAAACGTCTATATCTTCACATCAAACCTAGACAGAAGCATTCTCAGAAAGTTTTCTGCCATGACTGCATTCAACTCACAGAGTTGAACAATCCTTCTGATGGAGCAGTTTTGAAACCCTCTTTCTTTGGAATCTGCAAGGGGATATGTGGACCTCTTTGAAGATTTCACTGGAAACGGGATCATCTTCACATAAAAACTAAACAGAAGCATTCTCGGAAACTACTTTGTGATGTTTGTATTCAACTCCCAGAGTTGAACTTTCCTTTTGAAAGAGCAGCTATGAAACACTCTTTTTCGAGAATCTGCAAGTGGACGTTTGGAGGGCTTTGAGGACTGTGGTGGAAAAGGAAATATCTTCACACAAAAACCAGATAGAAGCATTCTCAGAAACTACTTTGTGAGGATGGCATTCAACTCATGGAGTTGAACAATCCTATTGATAGAGCAGATTGGAATCACTCTTTTTATAGAATCTGCAAATGGAGATTTGGACTGCTTTGAGGCTTACGGTAGTACAGGAAGGAACTTCATATAAAAGGCAAACGGAAGCATTCTCAGAATATTCTTTGTGATGATGGAGTTTCACTCACAGAGCTGAACATGCCTTTTGATGGAGCAGTTTCCAAATACACTTTTGGTAGAATCTGCAGGTGGATATTTGGAGCTCTCTGAGGATTTCGTTGGAAACGGGAATAATTTCCCATAACTAAACACAAACACTCTGAGAAAGTTCTTCATGATGAATGCATTTAACTCGCAGAGATGAACCTGCCTTTGAGAGTTCAGGTTCGAAACACTCTTTCTGTAGAATCTGCAAGTGGATATTTGGACCACTGGGTGGCCTTCGTTCGAAACGGGTATATGTTCACGTAAAAACTAAAGAGAAGCATTCTCAGAAACTTCTGAGTGATGATTGCATTCAAGTCACACGGTTGAACCCTCCTTTTGATGGAGCAGTTTTGAAACTGTCTTTTTGTAGAATCTGTAAGTGGATGCGTGGACCTCTTTGAAGATTTCTTTGGAAACGGGAATATTTCCACAGAAAAACTAAACTGAAACATTATCAGAAACCGCTTTGTGATGTTTGTGTTCCAGCCACAGAGTTTAACATTGCTTTTCATAGAGCAGTTTTGAAATATTCTTTTGGCAGAATCTGCAAGTGGACATTTGGAGCGCTTTCAGGCCTGTGGTGGCAAAGGCCTGAAAGCCTTTTCCTTTATCTTCACAGAAAGACGAGAGAGAAGCATTGTCAGAAACTTCTTTGTGATGATTGCATTCAACTCACAGAGTTGAAGATTCCTTTTGAAACAGCAGTTTCGAAACACTCTTTCTGTGGGATCCGCAAGGGGATATTTGGACCTCTTTGAAGGTTTCGTTGGAAACGGGATAATCTTCACCTAAAAGCTAAACGGAAGCATTCTCAGAAACTTCTTTGGGATGTTTGCATTCACCTCACAGAGTTGAACTTTCCCTTTGATAGCGCAGCTTTGACACACTTTTTCTACAATGTGCAAGTGGCTATTTAGCGGGCTTGGAGGACTGTGTTGGAAAAGGTAATATCTTCTCCTAAAAACGACATAGAAGCATTCTCAGCAAACTGCTCTGTGATGATTGCATTCAACTCCCAGGAGTTGAACATTCCTTTTGATAGAGCAGTTTGCAAACACTCTTTTTGTAGAATCTGCAAGTGGAGATTTGGACCGCTTTGAGGCCTGTGGTAGTAAAGGAAAGAACTTCATATAAAAACTAGACGGTAGCACTCTCAGAAAATTCTTTGTGACGATGGAGTTTAACTCAGAGAGCTGAACATTCGTTATGATGGAGCAGTTTCCAAACACACGTTTTGTAGAATCTGCAAGGGGATATTTGGACCTCTCTGAGGATTTTGTTGGAAACGGGATCAACTTCCCATAACTGAACAGAAGCAAACTCAGAACATTCTTTGTGATGTTTGTATTCAACTCACAGAGTTGAACCTTCCTTTGATAGTTGAAGTTTGCAACACCCTTGTAGTAGAATCTGCAAGTGTATATTTTGACCACTTTGTAGCCTTCGTTTGAAACGTCTATATCTTCACCTCAAACCTAGACAGAAGCATTCTCAGAAAGTTTTCTGCGATGACTGCATTCAACTCACAGAGTTGAACAATCCTTTTGATGGAGCAGTTTTGAAACCCTCTTTCTTTGGAATCTGCAAGGGGATATGTGGACCTCTTTGAAGATTTCACTGGAAACGGGATCATCTTCACATAAGAACTAAACAGAAGCATTCTCGGAAACTACTTTGTGATGTTTGTATTCAACTCCCAGAGTTGAACTTTCCTTTTGAAAGAGCAGCTATGAAACAGTCTTTTTCGAGAATGTGCAAGTGGACGTTTGGAGGGCTTTGAGGCCTGTGGTGGAAAAGGAAATATCTTCACATAAAAACTAGATAGAAGCATTCTCAGAAACGACTTTGTGAGGATGGCATTCAACTCATGGAGTTGAACAATCCTATTGATAGAGCAGATTGGAATCACTCTTTTTGTAGAATCTGCAAATGGAGATTTGGACTGCTTTGAGGCCTACGGTCGTATAGGAAGGAACTTCATATAAAAGGCAAACGGAAGCATTCTCAGAATATTCTTTGTGATGATGGAGTTTCACTCACAGAGCTGAACATGCCTTTTGATGGAGCAGTTTCCAAATACACTTTTGGTAGAATCTGCAGGTGGATATTTGGACCACTCTGAGGATTTCGTTGGAAACGGGAATAATTTCCCATAACTAAACACAAACACTCTGAGAAAGTTCTTCATGATGAATGCATTTAACTCGCAGAGATGAACCTGCCTTTGAGAGTTCAGGTTCGAAACACTCTTTCTGTATAATCTGCAAGTGGATATTTGGACCACTGGGTGGCCTTCGTTCGAAACGGGTATATGTTCACGTAAAAACTAAAGAGAAGCATTCTCAGAAACTTCTGAGTGATGATTGCATTCAAGTCACACAGTTGAACCCTCCTTTTGATGGAGCAGTTTTGAAACTGTCTTTTTGTAGAATCTGTAAGTGGATACGTGGACCTCTTTGAAGATTTCTTTGGAAACGGGAATATTTCCACAGAAAAACTAAACTGAAACATTCTCAGAAACCGCTTTGTGATGTTTGTGTTCCAGCCACAGAGTTTAACATTGCTTTTCATAGAGCAGTTTTGAAATATTCTTTTCGCAGAATCTGCAAGTGGACATTTGGAGCGCTTTCAGGCCTGTGGTGGAACAGGCCTGAAAGCCTTTTCCTTTATCTTCACAGAAAGACGAGAGAGAAGCATTGTCAGAAACTTCTTTGTGATGATTGCATTCAACTCACAGAGTTGAAGATTCCTTTTGAAACAGCAGTTTCGAAACACTCTTTCTGTGGGATCCGCAAGGGGATATTTGGACCTCTTTGAAGGTTTCGTTGGAAACGGGATAATCTTCACCTAAAAGCTAAACGGAAGCATTCTCAGAAACTTCTTTGGGATGTTTGCATTCACCTCACAGAGTTGAACTTTCCCTTTGATAGCGCAGCTTTGACACACTTTTTCTACAATGTGCAAGTGGCTATTTAGCGGGCTTGGAGGACTGTGTTGGAAAAGGAAATATCTTCTCCTAAAAACGACATAGAAGCATTCTCAGAAACTGCTCTGTGATGATTGCATTCAACTCCCAGAGTTGAACATTCCTTTTGATAGAGCAGTTTGCAAACACTCTTTTTGTAGAATCTGCAAGTGGAGATTTCGACCTCTTTGAGGCCTGTGATAGTGAAGGAAAGAACTTCATATAAAAACCAGACGGTAGCACTCTCAGAAAATTCTTTGTGACGATGGAGTTTAACTCAGGGAGCTGAACATTCGTTATGATGGAGCAGTTTCCAAACACACGTTTTGTAGAATCTGCAAGGGGATATTTGGACCTCTCTGAGGATTTCGTTGGAAACGGGATCAACTTCCCATAACTGAACGGAAGCAAACTCAGAACATTCTTTGTGATGTTTGTATTCAACTCACAGAGTTGAACCTTCCTTTGATAGTTCAGGTTTGCAACACCCTTGTAGTAGAATCTGCAAGTGTATATTTTGACCACTTTGTAGCCTTCGTTTGAAACGTCTATATCTTCACATCAAACCTAGACAGAAGCATTCTCAGAAAGTTTTCTGCGATGACTGCATTCAACTCACAGAGTTGAACAATCCTTCTGATGGAGCAGTTTTGAAACCCTCTTTCTTTGGAATCTGCAAGGGGATATGTGGACCTCTTTGAAGATTTCACTGGAAACGGGATCATCTTCACATAAAAACTAAACAGAAGCATTCTCGGAAACTATTTTGTGATGTTTGTATTCAACTCCCAGAGTTGAACTTTCCTTTTGAAAGAGCAGCTATGAAACACTCTTTTTCGAGAATCTGCAAGTGGACGTTTGGAGGGCTTTGAGGCCTGTGGTGGAAAAGGAAATATCTTCACACAAAAACCAGATAGAAGCATTCTCAGAAACTACTTTGTGAGGATGGCATTCAACTCATGGAGTTGAACAATCCTATTGATAGAGCAGATTGGAATCACTCTTTTTGTAGAATCTGCAAATGGAGATTTGGACTGCTTTGAGGCCTACGGTAGTACAGGAAGGAACTTCATATAAAAGGCAAACGGAAGCATTCTCAGAATATTCTTTGTGATGATGGAGTTTCACTCACAGAGCTGAACATGCCTTTTGATGGAGCAGTTTCCAAATACACTTTTGGTAGAATCTGCAGGTGGATATTTGGAGCTCTCTGAGGATTTCGTTGGAAACGGGAATAATTTCCCATAACTAAACACAAACACTCTGAGAAAGTTCTTCATGATGAATGCATTTAACTCGCAGAGATGAACCTGCCTTTGAGAGTTCAGGTTCGAAACACTCTTTCTGTAGAATCTGCAAGTGGATATTTGGACCACTGGGTGGCGTTCGTTCGAAACGGGTATATGTTCACGTAAAAACTAAAGAGAAGCATTCTCAGAAACTTCTGAGTGATGATTGCATTCAAGTCACACAGTTGAACCCTCCTTTTGATGGAGCAGTTTTGAAACTGTCTTTTTGTAGAATCTGTAAGTGGATACGTGGACCTCTTTGAAGATTTCTTTGGAAACGGGAATATTTCCACAGAAAAACTAAACTGAAGCATTCTCAGAAACCGCTTTGTGATGTTTGTGTTCGAGCCACAGAGTTTAACATTGCTTTTCATAGAGCAGTTTTGAAATATTCTTTTTGCAGAATCTGCAAGTGGACATTTGGAGCGCTTTCAGGCCTGTGGTGGAAAAGGCCTGAAAGCCTTTTCCTTTATCTTCACAGAAAGACGAGAGAGAAGCATTGTCAGAAACTTCTTTGTGATGATTGCATTCAACTCACAGAGTTGAAGATTCCTTTTGAAACAGCAGTTTCGAAACACTCTTTCTGTGGGATCCGCAAGGGGATATTTGGACCTCTTTGAAGGTTTCGTTGGAAACGGGATAATCTTCACCTAAAAGCTAAACGGAAGCATTCTCAGAAACTTCTTTGGGATGTTTGCATTCACCTCACAGAGTTGAACTTTCCCTTTGATAGCGCAGCTTTGACACACTTTTTCTACAATGTGCAAGTGGCTATTTAGCGGGCTTGGAGGACTGTGTTGGAAAAGGAAATATCTTCTCCTAAAAACGACATAGAAGCATTCTCAGAAACTGCTCTGTGATGATTGCATTCAACTCCCAGAGTTGAACATTCCTTTTGATAGAGCAGTTTGCAAACACTCTTTTTGTAGAATCTGCAAGTGGAGATTTGGACCGCTTTGAGGCCTGTGGTAGTGAAGGAAAGAACTTCATATAAAAACCAGACGGTAGCACTCTCAGAAAATTCTTTGTGACGATGGAGTTTAACTCAGGGAGCTGAACATTCGTTATGATGGAGCAGTTTCCAAACACACGTTTTGTAGAATCTGCGAGGGGATATTTGGACCTCTCTGAGGATTTCGTTGGAAACGGGATCAACTTCCCATAACTGAACGGAAGCAAACTCAGAACATTCTTTGTGATGTTTGTATTCAACTCACAGAGTTGAACCTTCCTTTGATAGTTCAGGTTTGCAACACCCTTGTAGTAGAATCTGCAAGTGTATATTTTGACCACTTTGTAGCCTTCGTTTGAAACGTCTATATCTTCACATCAAACCTAGACAGAAGCATTCTCAGAAAGTTTTCTGCGATGACTGCATTCAACTCACAGAGCTGAACAATCCTTCTGATGGAGCAGTTTTGAAACCCTCTTTCTTTGGAATCTGCAAGGGGATATGTGGACCTCTTTGAAGATTTCACTGGAAACGGGATCATCTTCACATAAAAACTAAACAGAAGCATTCTCGGAAACTACTTTGTGATGTTTGTATTCAACTCCCAGAGTTGAACTTTCCTTTTGAAAGAGCAGCTATGAAACACTCTTTTTCGAGAATCTGCAAGTGGACGTTTGGAGGGCTTTGAGGCCTGTGGTGGAAAAGGAAATATCTTCACATAAAAACTAGATAGAAGCATTCTCACAAACGACATTGTGAGGATGGAATTCAACTCATGGAGTTGAACAATCCTATTGATAGAGCAGATTGGAATCACTCTTTTTGTAGAATCTGCAAATGGAGATTTGGACTGCTTTGAGGCCTACGGTAGTATAGGAAGGAACTTCATATAAAAGGCAAACGGAAGCATTCTCAGAATATTCTTTGTGATGATGGAGTTTCACTGACAGAGCTGAACATGCCTTTTGATGGAGCAGTTTCCAAATACACTTTTGGTAGAATCTGCAGGTGGATATTTGGAGCTCTCTGAGGATTTCGTTGGAAACGGGAATAATTTCCCATAACTAAACACAAACACTCTGAAGAAAGTTCTTCATGATGAATGCATTTAACTCGCAGAGATGAACCTGCCTTTGAGAGTTCAGGTTCGAAACACTCTTTCTGTAGAATCTGCAAGTGGATATTTGGACCACTGGGTGGCCTTCGTTCGAAACGGGTATATGTTCACGTAAAAACTAAAGAGAAGCATTCTCAGAAACTTCTGAGTGATGATTGCATTCAAGTCACACAGTTGAACCCTCCTTTTGATGGAGCAGTTTTGAAACTGTCTTTTTGTAGAATCTGTAAGTGGATACGTGGACCTCTTTGAAGATTTCTTTGGAAACGGGAATATTTCCACAGAAAAACTAAACTGAAACATTCTCAGAAACCGCTTTGTGATGTTTGTGTTCGAGCCACAGAGTTTAACATTGCTTTTCATAGAGCAGTTTTGAAATATTCTTTTCGCAGAATCTGCAAGTGGACATTTGGAGCGCTTTCAGGCCTGTGGTGGAAAAGGCCTGAAAGCCTTTTCCTTTATCTTCACAGAAAGACGAGAGAGAAGCATTGTCAGAAACTTCTTTGTGATGATTGCATTCAACTCACAGAGTTGAAGATTCCTTTTGAAACAGCAGTTTCGAAACACTCTTTCTGTGGGATCCGCAAGGGGATATTTGGACCTCTTTGAAGGTTTCGTTGGAAACGGGATAATCTTCACCTAAAAGCTAAACGGAAGCATTCTCAGAAACTTCTTTGGGATGTTTGCATTCACCTCACAGAGTTGAACTTTCCCTTTGATAGCGCAGCTTTGACACACTTTTTCTACAATGTGCAAGTGGCTATTTAGCGGGCTTGGAGGACTGTGTTGGAAAAGGAAATATCTTCTCCTAAAAACGACATAGAAGCATTCTCAGAAACTGCTCTGTGATGATTGCATTCAACTCCCAGAGTTGAACATTCCTTTTGATAGAGCAGTTTGCAAACACTCTTTTTGTAGAATCTGCAAGTGGAGATTAGGACCGCTTTGAGGCCTGTGGTAGTGAAGGAAAGAGCATCATATAAAAACCAGACGGTAGCACTCTCAGAAAATTCTTTGTGACGATGGAGTTTAACTCAGGGAGCTGAACATTCGTTATGATGGAGCAGTTTCCAAACACACGTTTTGTAGAATCTGCAAGGGGATATTTGGACCTCTCTGAGGATTTCGTTGGAAACGGGATCAACTTCCCATAACTGAACGGAAGCAAACTCAGAACATTCTTTGTGATGTTTGTATTCAACTCACAGAGTTGAACCTTCCTTTGATAGTTCAGGTTTGCAACACCCTTGTAGTAGAATCTGCAAGTGTATATTTTGACCACTTTGTAGCCTTCGTTTGAAACGTCTATATCTTCACATCAAACCTAGACAGAAGCATTCTCAGAAAGTTTTCTGCGATGACTGCATTCAACTCACAGAGTTGAACAATCCTTCTGATGGAGCAGTTTTGAAACCCTCTTTCTTTGGAATCTGCAAGGGGATATGTGGACCTCTTTGAAGCTTTCACTGGAAACGGGATCATCTTCACATAAAAACTAAACAGAAGCATTCTCGGAAACTATTTTGTGATGTTTGTATTCAACTCCCAGAGTTGAACTTTCCTTTTGAAAGAGCAGCTATGAAACACTCTTTTTCGAGAATCTGCAAGTGGACGTTTGGAGGGCTTTGAGGCCTGTGGTGGAAAAGGAAATATCTTCACACAAAAACCAGATAGAAGCATTCTCAGAAACTACTTTGTGAGGATGGCATTCAACTCATGGAGTTGAACAATCCTATTGATAGAGCAGATTGGAATCACTCTTTTTATAGAATCTGCAAATGGAGATTTGGACTGCTTTGAGGCCTACGGTAGTACAGGAAGGAACTTCAGATAAAAGGCAAACGGAAGCATTCTCAGAATATTCTTTGTGATGATGGAGTTTCACTCACAGAGCTGAACATGCCTTTTGATGGAGCAGTTTCCAAATACACTTTTGGTAGAATCTGCAGGTGGATATTTGGAGCTCTCTGAGGATTTCGTTGGAAACGGGAATAATTTCCCATAACTAAACACAAACACTCTGAGAAAGTTCTTCATGATGAATGCATTTAACTCGCAGAGATGAACCTGCCTTTGAGAGTTCAGGTTCGAAACACTCTTTCTGTAGAATCTGCAAGTGGATATTTGGACCACTGGGTGGCCTTCGTTCGAAACGGGTATATGTTCACGTAAAAACTAAAGAGAAGCATTCTCAGAAACTTCTGAGTGATGATTGCATTCAAGTCACACAGTTGAACCCTCCTTTTGATGGAGCAGTTTTGAAACTGTCTTTTTGTAGAATCTGTAAGTGGATACGTGGACCTCTTTGAAGATTTCTTTGGAAACGGGAATATTTCCACAGAAAAACTAAACTGAAACATTCTCAAAAACCGCTTTGTGATGTTTGTGTTCGAGCCACAGAGTTTAACATTGCTTTTCATAGAGCAGTTTTGAAATATTCTTTTCGCAGAATCTGCAAGTGGACATTTGGAGCGCTTTCAGGCCTGTGGTGGCAAAGGCCTGAAAGCCTTTTCCTTTATCTTCACAGAAAGACGAGAGAGAAGCATTGTCAGAAACTTCTTTGTGATGATTGCATTCAACTCACAGAGTTGAAGATTCCTTTTGAAACAGCTGTTTCGAAACACTCTTTCTGTGGGATCCGCAAGGGGATATTTGGACCTCTTTGAAGGTTTCGTTGGAAACGGGATAATCTTCACCTAAAAGCTAAACGGAAGCATTCTCAGAAACTTCTTTGGGATGTTTGCATTCACCTCACAGAGTTGAACTTTCCCTTTGATAGCGCAGCTTTGACACACTTTTTCTACAATGTGCAAGTGGCTATTTAGCGGGCTTGGAGGACTGTGTTGGAAAAGGAAATATCTTCTCCTAAAAACGACATAGAAGCATTCTCAGAAACTGCTCTGTGATGATTGCATTCAACTCCCAGAGTTGAACATTCCTTTTGATAGAGCAGTTTGCAAACACTCTTTTTGTAGAATCTGCAAGTGGAGATTTGGACCGCTTTCAGGCCTGTGGTAGTGAAGGAAAGAGCTTCATATAAAAACCAGACGGTAGCACTCTCAGAAAATTCTTTGTGACGATGGAGTTTAACTCAGGGAGCTGAACATTCGTTATGATGGAGCAGTTTCCAAACACACGTTTTGTAGAATCTGCAAGGGGATATTTGGACCTCTCTGAGGATTTCGTTGGAAACGGGATCAACTTCCCATAACTGAACGGAAGCAAACTCAGAACATTCTTTGTGATGTTTGTATTCAACTCACAGAGTTGAACCTTCCTTTGATAGTTCAGGTTTGCAACACCCTTGTAGTAGAATCTGCAAGTGTATATTTTGACCACTTTGTAGCCTTCGTTTGAAACGTCTATATCTTCACATCAAACCTAGACAGAAGCATTCTCAGAAAGTTTTCTGCGATGACTGCATTCAACTCACAGAGTTGAACAATCCTTCTGATGGAGCAGTTTTGAAACCCTCTTTCTTTGCAATATGCAAGGGGATATGTGGACCTCTTTGAAGATTTCACTGGAAACGGGATCATCTTCACATAAAAACTAAACAGAAGCATTCTCGGAAACTATTTTGTGATGTTTGTATTCAACTCCCAGAGTTGAACTTTCCTTTTGAAAGAGCAGCTATGAAACACTCTTTTTCGAGAATCTGCAAGTGGACGTTTGGAGGGCTTTGAGGCCTGTGGTGGAAAAGGAAATATCTTCACACAAAAACCAGATAGAAGCATTCTCAGAAACTACTTTGTGAGGATGGCATTCAACTCATGGAGTTGAACAATCCTATTGATAGAGCAGATTGGAATCACTCTTTTTGTAGAATCTGCAAATGGAGATTTGGACTGCTTTGAGGCCTACGGTAGTACAGGAAGGAACTTCATATAAAAGGCGAACGGAAGCATTCTCAGAATATTCTTTGTGATGATGGAGTTTCACTCACAGAGCTGAACATGCCTTTTGATGGAGCAGATTCCAAGTACACTTTTGGTAGAATCTGCAGGTGGATATTTGGTCCACTCTGAGGATTTCGTTGGAAACGGGAATAATTTCCCATAACTAAACACAAACACTCTGAGAAAGTTCTTCATGATGAATGCATTTAACTCGCAGAGATGAACCTGCCTTTGAGAGTTCAGGTTCGAAACACTCTTTCTGTAGAATCTGCAAGTGGATATTTGGACCACTGGGTGGCCTTCGTTCGAAACGGGTATATGTTCACGTAAAAACTAAAGAGAAGCATTCTCAGAAACTTCTGAGTGATGATTGCATTCAAGTCACACAGTTGAACCCTCCTTTTGATGGAGCAGTTTTGAAACTGTCTTTTTGTAGAATCTGTAAGTGGATACGTGGACCTCTTTGAAGATTTCTTTGGAAACGGGAATATTTCCACAGAAAAACTAAACTGAAGCATTCTCAGAAACCGCTTTGTGATGTTTGTGTTCGAGCCACAGAGTTTAACATTGCTTTTCATAGATCAGTTTTGAAATATTCTTTTCGCAGAATCTGCAAGTGGACATTTGGAGCGCTTTCAGGCCTGTGGTGGAAAAGGCCTGAAAGCCTTTTCCTTTATCTTCACAGAAAGACGAGAGAGAAGCATTGTCAGAAACTTCTTTGTGATGATTGCATTCAACTCACAGAGTTGAAGATTCCTTTTGAAACAGCAGTTTCGAAACACTCTTTCTGTGGGATCCGCAAGGGGATATTTGGACCTCTTTGAAGGTTTCGTTGGAAACGGGATAATCTTCACCTAAAAGCTAAACGGAAGCATTCTCAGAAACTTTTTGGGATGTTTGCATTCACCTCACAGAGTTGAACTTTCCCTTTGATAGCGCAGCTTTGACACACTTTTTCTACAATGTGCAAGTGGCTATTTAGCGGGCTTGGAGGACTGTGTTGGAAAAGGAAATATCTTCTCCTAAAAACGACATAGAAGCATTCTCAGAAACTGCTCTGTGATGATTGCATTCAACTCCCAGAGTTGAACATTCCTTTTGATAGAGCAGTTTGCAAACACTCTTTTTGTAGAATCTGCAAGTGGAGATTTGGACCGCTTTGAGGCCTGTGGTAGTGAAGGAAAGAGCTTCATATAAAAACCAGACGGTAGCACTCTCAGAAAATTCTTTGTGACGATGGAGTTTAACTCAGGGAGCTGAACATTCGTTATGATGGAGCAGTTTCCAAACACACGTTTTGTAGAATCTGCAAGGGGATATTTGGACCTCTCTGAGGATTTCGTTGGAAACGGGATCAACTTCCCATAACTGAACGGAAGCAAACTCAGAACATTCTTTGTGATGTTTGTATTCAACTCACAGAGTTGAACCTTCCTTTGATAGTTCAGGTTTGCAACACCCTTGTAGTAGAATCTGCAAGTGTATATTTTGACCACTTTGTAGCCTTCGTTTGAAACGTCTATATCTTCACATCAAACCTAGAAAGAAGCATTCTCAGAAAGTTTTCTGCGATGACTGCATTCAACTCACAGAGTTGAACAATCCTTTTGATGGAGCAGTTTTGAAACCCTCTTTCTTTGGAATCTGCAAGGGGATATGTGGACCTCTTTGAAGATTTCACTGGAAACGGGATCATCTTCACATAAAAACTAAACAGAAGCATTCTCGGAAACTATTTTGTGATGTTTGTATTCAACTCCCAGAGTTGAACTTTCCTTTTGAAAGAGCAGCTATGAAACACTCTTTTTCGAGAATCTGCAAGTGGACGTTTGGAGGGCTTTGAGGCCTGTGGTGGAAAAGGAAATATCTTCACACAAAAACCAGATAGAAGCATTCTCAGAAACTGCTTTGTGAGGATGGCATTCAACTCATGGAGTTGAACAATCCTATTGATAGAGCAGATTGGAATCACTCTTTTTGTAGAATCTGCAAATGGAGATTTGGACTGCTTTGAGGCCTACGGTAGTACAGGAAGGAACTTCATATAAAAGGCAAACGGAAGCATTCTCAGAATATTCTTTGTGATGATGGAGTTTCACTCACAGAGCTGAACATGCCTTTTGATGGAGCAGTTTCCAAATACACTTTTGGTAGAATCTGCAGGTGGATATTTGGAGCTCTCTGAGGATTTCTTTGGAAACGGGAATAATTTCCCATAACTAAACACAAACACTCTGAGAAAGTTCTTCATGATGAATGCATTTAACTCGCAGAGATGAACCTGCCTTTGAGAGTTCGGGTTCGAAACACTCTTTCTGTAGAATCTGCAAGTGGATATTTGGACCACTGGGTGGCCTTCGTTCGAAACGGGTATATGTTCACGTAAAAACTAAAGAGAAGCATTCTCAGAAACTTCTGAGTGATGATTGCATTCAAGTCACACAGTTGAACCCTCCTTTTGATGGAGCAGTTTTGAAACTGTCTTTTTGTAGAATCTGTAAGTGGATACGTGGACCTCTTTGAAGATTTCTTTGGAAACGGGAATATTTCCACAGAAAAACTAAACTGAAGCATTCTCAGAAACTGCTTTGTGATGTTTGTGTTCGAGCCACAGAGTTTAACATTGCTTTTCATAGAGCAGTTTTGAAATATTCTTTTCGCAGAATCTACAAGTGGACATTTGGAGCGCTTTCAGGCCTGTGGTGGAAAAGGCCTGAAAGCCTTTTCCTTTATCTTCACAGAAAGACGAGAGAGAAGCATTGTCAGAAACTTCTTTGTGATGATTGCATTCAACTCACAGAGTTGAAGATTCCTTTTGAAACAGCAGTTTCGAAACACTCTTTCTGTGGGATCCGCAAGGGGATATTTGGACCTCTTTGAAGGTTTCGTTGGAAACGGGATAATCTTCACCTAAAAGCTAAACGGAAGCATTCTCAGAAACTTCTTTGGGATGTTTGCATTCACCTCACAGAGTTGAACTTTCCCTTTGATAGCGCAGCTTCGACACACTTTTTCTACAATGTGCAAGTGGATATTTAGCGGGCTTGGAGGACTGTGTTGGAAAAGGAAATATCTTCTCCTAAAAACGACATAGAAGCATTCTCAGAAACTGCTCTGTGATGATTGCATTCAACTCCCAGAGTTGAACACTCCTTTTGATAGAGCAGTTTGCAAACACTCTTTTTGTAGAATCTGCAAGTGGAGATTTGGACCGCTTTGAGGCCTGTGGTAGTAAAGGAAAGAACTTCATATAAAAACTAGACGGTAGCACTCTCAGAAAATTCTTTGTGACGATTGAGTTTAACTCAGGGAGCTGAACATTCGTTATGATGGAGCAGTTTCCAAACACACGTTTTGTAGAATCTGCAAGGGGATATTTGGACCTCTCTGAGGATTTCGTTGGAAACGGCATCAACTTCCCATAACTGAACGGAAGCAAACTCAGAACATTCTTTGTGATGTTTGTATTCAACTCACAGTGTTGAACCTTCCTTTGATAGTTCAGGTTTGCAACACCCTTGTAGTAGAATCTGCAAGTGTATATTTTGACCAGTTTGTAGCCTTCGTTTGAAACGTCTATATCTTCACATCAAACCTAGACAGAAGCATTCTCAGAAAGATTTCTGCGATGACTGCATTCAACTCACAGAGTTGAACAATCCTTTTGATGGAGCAGTTTTGAAACCCTCTTTCTTTGGAATCTGCAAGGGGATAAGTGGACCTCTTTGAAGATTTCACTGGAAACGGGATCATCTTCACATAAAAACTAAACAGAAGCATTCTCGGAAACTACTTTGTGATGTTTGTATTCAACTCCCAGAGTTGAACTTTCCTTTTGAAAGAGCAGCTATGAAACACTCTTTTTCGAGAATCTGCAAGTGGACGTTTGGAGGGCTTTGAGGCCTGTGGTGGAAAAGGAAATATCTTCACATAAAAACTAGATAGAAGCATTCTCAGAAACGACTTTGTGAGGATGGCATTCAACTCATGGAGTTGTACAGTCCTATTGATAGAGGAGATTGGAATCACTCTTTTTGTAGAATCTGCAAATGGAGATTTGGACTGCTTTGAGGCCTACGGTAGTATAGGAAGGAACTTCATATAAAAGGCAAACGGAAGCATTCTCAGAATATTCTTTGTGATGATGGAGTTTCACTGACAGAGCTGAACATGCCTTTTGATGGAGCAGTTTCCAAATACACTTTTGGTAGAATCTGCAGGTGGATATTTGGAGCTCTTTGAGGATTTCGTTGGAAACGGGAATAATTTCCCATAACTAAACACAAACACGCTGAGAAAGTTCTTCATGATGAATGCATTTAACTCGCAGAGATGAACCTGCCTTTGAGAGTTCAGTTTCGAAACACTCTTTCTGTAGAATCTGCAAGTGGATATTTGGACCACTGGGTGGCCTTCGTTCGAAACGGGTATATGTTCACGTAAAAACTAAAGAGAAGCATTCTCAGAAACTTCTGAGTGATGATTGCATTCAAGTCACACAGTTGAACCCTCCATTTGATGGAGCAGTTTTGAAACTGTCTTTTTGTAGAATCTGTAAGTGGATACGTGGACCTCTTTGAAGATTTCTTTGGAAACGGGAATATTTCCACAGAAAAACTAAACTGAAGCATTCTCAGAAACCGCTTTGTGATGTTTGTGTTCGAGCCGCAGAGTTTAACATTGCTTTTCATAGAGCAGTTTTGAAATATTCTTTTGGCAGAATCTGCAAGTGGACATTTGGAGCGCTTTCAGGCCTGTGGTGGCAAAGGCCTGAAAGCCTTTTCCTTTATCTTCACAGAAAGACGAGAGAGAAGCATTGTCAGAAACTTCTTTGTGATGATTGCATTCAACTCACAGAGTTGAAGATTCCTTTTGAAACAGCAGTTTCGAAACACTCTTTCTGTGGGATCCGCAAGGGGATATTTGGACCTCTTTGAAGGTTTCGTTGGAAACGGGATAATCTTCACCTAAAAGCTAAACGGAAGCATTCTCAGAAACTTCTTTGGGATGTTTGCATTCACCTCACAGAGTTGAACTTTCCCTTTGATAGCGCAGCTTTGACACACTTTTTCTACAATGTGCAAGTGGCTATTTAGCGGGCTTGGAGGACTGTGTTGGAAAAGGAAATATCTTCTCCTAAAAACGACATAGAAGCATTCTCAGAAACTGCTCTGTGATGATTGCATTCAACTCCCAGAGTTGAACATTCCTTTTGATAGAGCAGTTTGCAAACACTCTTTTTGTAGAATCTGCAAGTGGAGATTTGCACCGCTTTGAGGTCCTGTGGTAGTGAAGGAAAGAACTTCATATAAAAACCAGACGGTTAGCACTCTCAGCAAAATTCTTTGTGACGATGGAGTTTAACTCAGGGAGCTGAACATTCGTTATGATGGAGCAGTTTCCAAACACACGTTTTGTAGAATCTGCGAGGGGATATTTGGACCTCTCTGAGGATTTCGTTGGAAACGGGATCAACTTCCCATAACTGAACGGAAGCAAACTCAGAACATTCTTTGTGATGTTTGTATTCAACTCACAGAGTTGAACCTTCCTTTGATAGTTCAGGTTTGCAACACCCTTGTAGTAGAATCTGCAAGTGTATATTTTGACCACTTTGTAGCCTTCGTTTGAAACGTCTATATCTTCACATCAAACCTAGACAGAAGCATTCTCAGAAAGTTTTCTGCGATGACTGCATTCAACTCACAGAGTTGAACAATCCTCTGATGGAGCAGTTTTGAAACCCTCTTTCTTTGGAATCTGCAAGGGGATATGTGGACCTCTTTGAAGATTTCACTGGAAACGGGATCATCTTCACATAAAAACTAAACAGAAGCATTCTCGGAAACTACTTTGTGATGTTTGTATTCAACTCCCAGAGTTGAACTTTCCTTTTGAAAGAGCAGCTATGAAACACTCTTTTTCGAAAATCTGCAAGTGGACGTTTGGAGGGCTTTGAGGCCTGTGGTGGAAAAGGAAATATCTTCACACAAAAACCAGATAGAAGCATTCTCAGAAACTACTTTGTGAGGATGGCATTCAACTCATGGAGTTGAACAATCCTATTGATAGAGCAGATTGGAATCACTCTTTTTATAGAATCTGCAAATGGAGATTTGGACTGCTTTGAGGCCTACGGTAGTACAGGAAGGAACTTCATATAAAAGGCAAACGGAAGCATTCTCAGAATATTCTTTGTGATGATGGAGTTTCACTCACAGAGCTGAACATGCCTTTTGATGGAGCAGTTTCCAAATACACTTTTGGTAGAATCTGCAGGTGGATATTTGGAGCTCTCTGAGGATTTCGTTGGAAACGGGAATAATTTCCCATAACTAAACACAAACACTCTGAGAAAGTTCTTCATGATGAATGCATTTAACTCGCAGAGATGAACCTGCCTTTGAGAGTTCAGGTTCGAAACACTCTTTCTGTAGAATCTGCAAGTGGATATTTGGACCACTGGGTGGCCTTCGTTCGAAACGGGTATATGTTCACGTAAAAACTAAAGAGAAGCATTCTCAGAAACTTCTGAGTGATGATTGCATTCAAGTCACACGGTTGAACCCTCCTTTTGATGGAGCAGTTTTGAAACTGTCTTTTTGTAGAATCTGTAAGTGGATACGTGGACCTCTTTGAAGATTTCTTTGGAAACGGGAATATTTCCACAGAAAAACTAAACTGAAGCATTCTCAGAAACCGCTTTGTGATGTTTGTGTTCGAGCCACAGAGTTTAACATTGCTTTTCATAGAGCAGTTTTGAAATATTCTTTTCGCAGAATCTGCAAGTGGACATTTGGAGCGCTTTCAGGCCTGTGGTGGCAAAGGCCTGAAAGCCTTTTCCTTTATCTTCACAGAAAGACGAGAGAGAAGCATTGTCAGAAACTTCTTTGTGATGATTGCATTCAACTCACAGAGTTGAAGATTCCTTTTGAAACAGCAGTTTCGAAACACTCTTTCTGTGGGATCCGCAAGGGGATATTTGGACCTCTTTGAAGGTTTCGTTGGAAACGGGATAATCTTCACCTAAAAGCTAAACGGAAGCATTCTCAGAAACTTCTTTGGGATGTTTGCATTCACCTCACAGAGTTGAACTTTCCCTTTGATAGCGCAGCTTTGACACACTTTTTCTACAATGTGCAAGTGGCTATTTAGCGGGCTTGGAGGACTGTGTTGGAAAAGGAAATATCTTCTCCTAAAAACGACATAGAAGCATTCTCAGAAACTGCTCTGTGATGATTGCATTCAACTCCCAGAGTTGAACATTCCTTTTGATAGAGCAGTTTGCAAACACTCTTTTTGTAGAATCTGCAAGTGGAGATTTGCACCGCTTTGAGGTCTGTGGTAGTGAAGGAAAGAACTTCATATAAAAACCAGACGGTAGCACTCTCAGAAAATTCTTTGTGACCATGGAGTTTAACTCAGGGAGCTGAACATTCGTTATGATGGAGCAATTTCCAAACACACGTTTTGTAGAATCTGCAAGGGGATATTTGGACCTCTCTGAGGATTTCGTTGGAAACGGGATCAACTTCCCATAACTGAACGGAAGCAAACTCAGAACATTCTTTGTGATGTTTGTATTCAACTCACAGAGTTGAACCTTCCTTTGATAGTTCAGGTTTGCAACACCCTTGTAGTAGAATCTGCAAGTGTATATTTTGACCACTTTGTAGCCTTCGTTTGAAACGTCTATATCTTCACATCAAACCTAGACAGAAGCATTCTCAGAAAGTTTTCTGCGATGACTGCATTCAACTCACAGAGTTGAACAATCCTTCTGATGGAGCAGTTTTGAAACCCTCTTTCTTTGGAATCTGCAAGGGGATATGTGGACCTCTTTGAAGATTTCACTGGAAACGGGATCATCTTCACATAAAAACTAAACAGAAGCATTCTCGGAAACTACTTTGTGATGTTTGTATTCAACTCCCAGAGTTGAACGTTCCTTTTGAAAGAGCAGCTATGAAACACTCTTTTTCGAGAATCTGCAAGTGGACGTTTGGAGGGCTTTGAGGCCTGTGGTGGAAAAGGAAATATCTTCACATAAAAACTAGATAGAAGCATTCTCAGAAACGACTTTGTGAGGATGGCATTCAACTCATGGAGTTGAACAATCCTATTGATAGAGCAGATTGGAATCACTCTTTTTGTAGAATCTGCAAATGGAGATTTGGACTGCTTTGAGGCCTACGGTCGTATAGGAAGGAACTTCAGATAAAAGGCAAACGGAAGCATTCTCAGAATATTCTTTGTGATGATGGAGTTTCACTCACAGAGCTGAACATGCCTTTTGATGGAGCAGTTTCCAAATACACTTTTGGTAGAATCTGCAGGTGGATATTTGGAGCTCTCTGAGGATTTCTTTGGAAACGGGAATAATTTCCCATAACTAAACACAAACACTCTGAGAAAGTTCTTCATGATGAATGCATTTAACTCGCAGAGATGAACCTGCCTTTGAGAGTTCGGGTTCGAAACACTCTTTCTGTAGAATCTGCAAGTGGATATTTGGACCACTGGGTGGCCTTCGTTCGAAACGGGTATATGTTCACGTAAAAACTAAAGAGAAGCATTCTCAGAAACTTCTGAGTGATGATTGCATTCAAGTCACACAGTTGAACCCTCCTTTTGATGGAGCAGTTTTGAAACTGTCTTTTTGTAGAATCTGTAAGTGGATACGTGGACCTCTTTGAAGATTTCTTTGGAAACGGGAATATTTCCACAGAAAAACTAAACTGAAGCATTCTCAGAAACTGCTTTGTGATGTTTGTGTTCGAGCCACAGAGTTTAACATTGCTTTTCATAGAGCAGTTTTGAAATATTCTTTTCGCAGAATCTACAAGTGGACATTTGGAGCGCTTTCAGGCCTGTGGTGGAAAAGGCCTGAAAGCCTTTTCCTTTATCTTCACAGAAAGACGAGAGAGAAGCATTGTCAGAAACTTCTTTGTGATGATTGCATTCAACTCACAGAGTTGAAGATTCCTTTTGAAACAGCAGTTTCGAAACACTCTTTCTGTGGGATCCGCAAGGGGATATTTGGACCTCTTTGAAGGTTTCGTTGGAAACGGGATAATCTTCACCTAAAAGCTAAACGGAAGCATTCTCAGAAACTTCTTTGGGATGTTTGCATTCACCTCACAGAGTTGAACTTTCCCTTTGATAGCGCAGCTTTGACACACTTTTTCTACAATGTGCAAGTGGCTATTTAGCGGGCTTGGAGGACTGTGTTGGAAAAGGAAATATCTTCTCCTAAAAACGACATAGAAGCATTCTCAGAAACTGCTCTGTGATGATTGCATTCAACTCCCAGAGTTGAACATTCCTTTGGATAGAGCAGTTTGCAAACACTCTTTTTGTAGAATCTGCAAGTGGAGATTTGGACCGCTTTGAGGCCTGTGGTAGTGAAGGAAAGAACTTCATATAAAAACCAGACGGTAGCACTCTCAGAAAATTCTTTGTGACGATGGAGTTTAACTCAGGGAGCTGAACATTCGTTATGATGGAGCAGTTTCCAAACACACGTTTTGTAGAATCTGCAAGGGGATATTTGGACCTCTCTGAGGATTTCGTTGGAAACGGGATCAACTTCCCATAACTGAACGGAAGCAAACTCAGAACATTCTTTGTGATGTTTGTATTCAACTCACAGAGTTGAACCTTCCTTTGATAGTTCAGGTTTGCATCACCCTTGTAGTAGAATCTGCAAGTGTATATTTTGACCACTTTGTAGCCTTCGTTTGAAACGTCTATATCTTCACATCTAACCTAGACAGAAGCATTCTCAGAAAGTTTTCTGCGATGACTGCATTCAACTCACAGAGTTGAACAATCCTTTTGATGGAGCAGTTTTGAAACCCTCTTTCTTTGGAATCTGCAAGGGGATATGTGGACCTCTTTGAAGATTTCACTGGAAACGGGATCATCTTCACATAAGAACTAAACAGAAGCATTCTCGGAAACTACTTTGTGATGTTTGTATTCAACTCCCAGAGTTGAACTTTCCTTTTGAAAGAGCAGCTATGAAACACTCTTTTTCGAGAATCTGCAAGTGGACGTTTGGAAGGCTTTGAGGCCTGTGGTGGAAAAGGAAATATCTTCACATAAAAACTAGATAGAAGCATTCTCAGAAACGACTTTGTGAGGATGGCATTCAACTCATGGAGTTGAACAATCCTATTGATAGAGCAGATTGGAATCACTCTTTTTGTAGAATCTGCAAATGGAGATTTGGACTGCTTTGAGGCCTACGGTCGTATAGGAAGGAACTTCATATAAAAGGCAAATGGAAGCATTCTCAGAATATTCTTTGTGATGATGGAGTTTCACTCACAGAGCTGAACATGCCTTTTGATGGAGCAGTTTCCAAATACACTTTTGGTAGAATCTGCAGGTGGATATTTGGAGCTCTCTGAGGATTTCGTTGGAAACGGGAATAATTTCCCATAACTAAACACAAACACTCTGAGAAAGTTCTTCATGATGAATGCATTTAACTCGCAGAGATGAACCTGCCTTTGAGAGTTCAGGTTCGAAACACTCTTTCTGTAGAATCTGCAAGTGGATATTTGGACCACTGGCTGGCCTTCGTTCGAAACGGGTATATGTTCACGTAAAAACTAAAGAGAAGCGTTCTCAGAAACTTCTGAGTGATGATTGCTTTCAAGTCACACAGTTGAACCCTCCTTTTGATTGAGCAGTTTTGAAACTGTCTTTTTGTAGAATCTGTAAGTGGATGCGTGGACCTCTTTGAAGATTTCTTTGGAAACGGGAATATTTCCACAGAAAAACTAAACTGAAGCATTCTCAGAAACTGCTTTGTGATGTTTGTGTTCGAGCCGCAGAGTTTAACATTGCTTTTCATAGAGCAGTTTTGAAATATTCTTTTGGCAGAATCTGCAAGTGGACATTTGGAGCGCTTTCAGGCCTGTGATGGAAAAGACCTGAAAGCCTTTTCCTATATCTTCACAGAAAGACGAGAGAGAAGAAGCATTGTCAGAAACTTCTTTGTGATGATTGCATTCAACTCACAGAGTTGAAGATTCCTTTTGAAACAGCAGTTTCGAAACACTCTTTCTGTGGGATCCGCAAGGGGATATTTGGACCTCTTTGAAGGTTTCGTTGGAAACGGGATAATCTTCACCTAAAAGCTAAACGGAAGCATTCTCAGAAACTTCTTTGGGATGTTTGCATTCACCTCACAGAGTTGAACTTTCCCTTTGATAGCGCAGCTTTGACACACTTTTTCTACAATGTGCAAGTGGCTATTTAGCGGGCTTGGAGGACTGTGTTGGAAAAGGAAATATCTTCTCCTAAAAACGACATAGAAGCATTCTCAGAAACTGCTCTGTGATGATTGCATTCAACTCCCAGAGTTGAACATTCCTTTTGATAGAGCAGTTTGCAAACACTCTTTTTGTAGAATCTGCAAGTGGAGATTTGGACCGCTTTGAGGCCTGTGGTAGTGAAGGAAAGAACTTCATATAAAAACCAGACGGTAGCACTCTCAGAAAATTCTTTGTGACGATGGAGTTTAACTCAGGGAGCTGAACATTCGTTATGATGGAGCAGTTTCCAAACACACGTTTTGTAGTATCTGCAAGGGGATATTTGGACCTCTCTGAGGATTTCGTTGGAAACGGGATCAACTTCCCATAACTGAACGGAAGCAAACTCAGAACATTCTTTGTGATGTTTGTATTCAACTCACAGAGTTGAACCTTCCTTTGATAGTTCAGGTTTGCAACACCCTTGTAGTAGAATCTGCAAGTGTATATTTTGACCACTTTGTAGCCTTCGTTTGAAACGTCTATATCTTCACATCAAACCTAGAAAGAAGCATTCTCAGAAAGTTTTCTGCGATGACTGCATACAACTCATAGAGTTGAGTAATCCTTTTGATGGAGCAGTTTTGAAACCCTCTTTCTTTGGAATCTGCAAGGGGATATGTGGACCTCTTTCAAGATTTCACTGGAAACGGGATCATCTTCACATAAGAACTAAACAGAAGCATTCTCGGAAACTACTTTGTGATGTTTGTATTCAACTCCCAGAGTTGAACTTTCCTTTTGAAAGAGCAGCTATAAAACACTCTTTTTCGAGAATCTGCAAGTGGACGTTTGGAGGGCTTTGAGGCCTGTGGTGGAAAAGGAAATATCTTCACATAAAAACTAGATAGAAGCATTCTCAGAAACGACTTTGTGAGGATGGCATTCAACTCATGGAGTTGAACAATCCTATTGATAGAGCAGATTGGAATCACTCTTTTTGTAGAATCTGCAAATGGAGATTTGGACTGCTTTGAGGCCTACGGTCGTATAGGAAGGAACTTCATATAAAAGGCAAACGGAAGCATTCTCAGAATATTCTTTATGATGATGGAGTTTCACTCACAGAGCTGAACATGCCTTTTGATGGAGCAGTTTCCAAATACACTTTTGGTAGAATCTGCAGGTGGATATTTGGAGCTCTCTGAGGATTTCGTTGGAAACGGGAATAATTTCCCATAACTAAACACAACACTCTGAGAAAGTTCTTCATGATGAATGCATTTAACTCGCAGAGATGAACCTGCCTTTGAGAGTTCAGGTTCGAAACACTCTTTCTGTAGAATCTGCAAGTGGATATTTGGACCACTGGGTGGCCTTCGTTCGAAACGGGTATATGTTCACGTAAAAACTAAAGAGAAGCATTCTCAGAAACTTCTGAGTGATGATTGCATTCAAGTCACACAGTTGAACCCTCCTTTTGATGGAGCAGTTTTGAAACTGTCTTTTTGTAGAATCTGTAAGTGGATACGTGGACCTCTTTGAAGATTTCTTTGGAAACGGGAATATTTCCACAGAAAAACTAAACTGAAGCATTCTCAGAAACCGCTTTGTGATGTTTGTGTTCGAGCCACAGAGTTTAACATTGCTTTTCATAGAGCAGTTTTGAAATATTCTTTTCGCAGAATCTGCAAGTGGACATTTGGAGCGCTTTCAGGCCTGTGGTGGAAAAGGCCTGAAAGCCTTTTCCTTTATCTTCACAGAAAGACGAGAGAGAAGCATTGTCAGAAACTTCTTTGTGATGATTGCATTCAACTCACAGAGTTGAAGATTCCTTTTGAAACAGCAGTTTCGAAACACTCTTTCTGTGGGATCCGCAAGGGGATATTTGGACCTCTTTGAAGGTTTCATTGGAAACGGGATAATCTTCACCTAAAAGCTAAACGGAAGCATTCTCAGAAACTTCTTTGGGATGTTTGCATTCACCTCACAGAGTTGAACTTTCCCTTTGATAGCGCAGCTTTGACACACTTTTTCTACAATGTGCAAGTGGCTATTTAGCGGGCTAGGAGGACTGTGTTGGAAAAGGAAATATCTTCTCCTAAAAACGACATAGAAGCATTCTCAGAAACTGCTCTGTGATGATTGCATTCAACTCCCAGAGTTGAACATTCCTTTTGATAGAGCAGTTTGCAAACACTCTTTTTGTAGAATCTGCAAGTGGAGATTTGGACCGCTTTGAGGCCTGTGGTAGTGAAGGAAAGAACTTCATATAAAAACCAGACGGTAGCACTCTCAGAAAATTCTTTGTGACGATGGAGTTTAACTCAGGGAGCTGAACATTCGTTATGATGGAGCAGTTTCCAAACACACGTTTTGTAGAATCTGCAAGGGGATATTTGGACCTCTCTGAGGATTTCGTTGGAAACGGGATCAACTTCCCATAACTGAACGGAAGCAAACTCAGAACATTCTTTGTGATGTTTGTATTCAACTCACAGAGTTGAACCTTCCTTTGATAGTTCAGGTTTGCAACACCCTTGTAGTAGAATCTGCAAGTGTATATTTTGACCACTTTGTAGCCTTCGTTTGAAACGTCTATATCTTCACATCAAACCTAGACAGAAGCATTCTCAGAAAGTTTTCTGCGATGACTGCATTCAACTCACAGAGTTGAACAATCCTTCTGATGGAGCAGTTTTGAAACCCTCTTTCTTTGGAATCTGCAAGGGGATATGTGGACCTCTTTGAAGATTTCACTGGAAACGGGATCATCTTCACATAAAAACTAAACAGAAGCATTCTCGGAAACTACTTTGTGATGTTTGTATTCAACTCCCAGAGTTGAACTTTCCTTTTGAAAGAGCAGCTATGAAACACTCTTTTTCGAGAATCTGCAAGTGGACGTTTGGAGGGCTTTGAGGCCTGTGGTGGAAAAGGAAATATCTTCACATAAAACTAGATAGAAGCATTCTCAGAAACTACTTTGTGAGGATGGCATTCAACTCATGGAGTTGAACAATCCTATTGATAGAGCAGATTGGAATCACTCTTTTTGTGGAATCTGCAAATGGAGATTTGGACTGCTTTGAGGCCTACGGTCGTATAGGAAGGAACTTCATATAAAAGGCAAACGGAAGCATTCTCAGAATATTCTTTGTGATGATGGAGTTTCACTCACAGAGCTGAACATGCCTTTTGATGGAGCAGTTTCCAAATACACTTTTGGTAGAATCAGCAGGTGGATATTTGGAGCTCTCTGAGGATTTCGTTGGAAACGGGAATAATTTCCCATAACTAAACACAAACACTCTGAGAAAGTTCTTCATGATGAATGCATTTAACTTGCAGAGATGAACCTGCCTTTGAGAGTTCAGGTTCGAAACACTCTTTCTGTATAATCTGCAAGTGGATATTTGGACCACTGGGTGGCCTTCGTTCGAAACGGGTATATGTTCACGTAAAAACTAAAGAGAAGCATTCTCAGAAACTTCTGAGTGATGATTGCATTCAAGTCACACAGTTGAACCCTCCTTTTGATGGAGCAGTTTTGAAACTGTCTTTTTGTAGAATCTGTAAGTGGATACGTGGACCCCCTTTGAAGATTTCTTTGGAAACGGGAATATTTCCACAGAAAAACTAAACTGAAGCATTCTCAGAAACCGCTTTGTGATGTTTGTGTTCGAGCCACAGTAGTTTAACATTGCTTTTCATAGCAGCAGTTTTGAAATATTCTTTTCGCAGAATCTGCAAGTGGACATTTGGAGCGCTTTCAGGCCTGTGGTGGCAAAGGCCTGAAAGCCTTTTCCTTTATCTTCACAGAAAGACGAGAGAGAAGCATTGTCAGAAACTTCTTTGTGATGATTGCATTCAACTCACAGAGTTGAAGATTCCTTTTGAAACAGCAGTTTCGAAACACTCTTTCTGTGGGATCCGCAAGGGGATATTTGGACTTCTTTGAAGATTTCGTTGGAAACGGGATAATCTTCACCTAAAAGCTAAACGGAAGCATTCTCAGAAACTTCTTTGGGATGTTTGCATTCACCTCACAGAGTTGAACTTTCCCTTTGATAGCGCAGCTTCGACACACTTTTTCTACAATGTGCAAGTGGATATTTAGCGGGCTTGGAGGACTGTGTTGGAAAAGGAAATATCTTCTCCTAAAAACGACATAGAAGCATTCTCAGAAACTGCTCTGTGATGATTGCATTCAACTCCCAGAGTTGAACATTCCTTTTGATAGAGCAGTTTGCAAACACTCTTTTTGTAGAATCTGCAAGTGGAGATTTGGACCGCTTTGAGGCCGGTGGTAGTAAAGGAAAGAACTTCATATAAAACTAGACGGTAGCACTCTCAGAAAATTCTTTGTGACGATGGAGTTTAACTCAGAGAGCTGAACATTCGTTATGATGGAGCAGTTTCCAAACACACGTTTTGCAGAATCTGCAAGGGGATATTTGGACCTCTCTGAGGATTTCGTTGGAAACGGGATCAACTTCCCATAACTGAACGGAAGCAAACTCAGAACATTCTTTGTGATGTTTGCATTCATCTCACAGAGTTGAACCTTCCTTTGATAGTTGAGGTTTGCATCACCCTTGTAGTAGAATCTGCAAGTGTATATTTTGACCACTTTGTAGCCTTCGTTTGAAACGTCTATATCTTCACATCAAACCTAGACAGAAGCATTCTCAGAAAGTTTTCTGCGATGACTGCATTCAACTCACAGAGTTGAACAATCCTTTTGATGGAGCAGTTTTGAAACCCTCTTTCTTTGGAATCTGCAAGGGGATATGTGGACCTCTTTGAAGATTTCACTGGAAACGGGATCATCTTCACATAAGAACTAAACAGAAGCATTCTCGGAAACTACTTTGTGATGTTTGTATTCAACTCCCAGAGTTGAACTTTCCTTTTGAAAGAGCAGCTATGAAACACTCTTTTTCGAGAATCTGCAAGTGGCCGTTTGGAGGGCTTTGAGGCCTGTGGTGGAAAAGGAAATATCTTCACATAAAAACTAGATAGAAGCATTCTCAGAAACGACTTTGTGAGGATGGCATTCAACTCATGGAGTTGAACAATCCTATTGATAGAGCAGATTGGAATCACTCTTTTTGTAGAATCTGCAAATGGAGATTTGGACTGCTTTGAGGCCTACGGTAGTATAGGAAGGAACTTCATATAAAAGGCAAACGGAAGCATTCTCAGAATATTCTTTGTGATGATGGAGTTTCACTCACAGAGCTGAACATGCCTTTTGATGGAGCAGTTTCCAAATACACTTTTGGTAGAATCTGCAGGTGGATATTTGGACCTCTCTGAGGATTTCGTTGGAAACGGGAATAATTTCCTATACCTAAACACAAACACTCTGAGAAAGTTCTTCATGATGAATGCATTGAACTCGCAGAGATGAACCTGCCTTTGAGAGTTCAGGTTCGAAACACTCTTTCTGTAGAATCTGCAAGTGGATATTTGGACCACTGTGTGGCCTTCGTTCGAAACGGGTATATGTTCACGTAAAAACTAAAGAGAAGCGTTCTCAGAAACTTCTGAGTGATGATTGCATTCAAGTCACACGGTTGAACCCTCCTTTTGATTGAGCAGTTTTGAAACTGTCTTTTTGTAGAATCTGTAAGTGGATGCGTGGACCTCTTTGAAGATTTCTTTTGAAACGGGAATATTTCCACAGAAAAACTAAACTGAAGCATTCTCAGAAACTGCTTTGTGATGTTTGTGTTCGAGCCACAGAGTTTAACATTGCTTTTCATAGAGCAGTTTTGAAATATTCTTTTGGCAGAATCTGCAAGTGGACATTTGGAGCGCTTTCAGGCCTGTGGTGGAAAAGGCCTGAAAGCCTTTTCCTTTATCTTCACAGAAAGACGAGAGAGAAGCATTGTCAGAAACTTCTTTGTGATGATTGCATTCAACTCACAGAGTTGAAGATTCCTTTTGAAACAGCAGTTTCGAAACACTCTTTCTGTGGGATCCGCAAGGGGATATTTGGACCTCTTTGAAGATTTCGTTGGAAACGGGATAATCTTCACCTAAAAGCTAAACGGAAGCATTCTCAGAAACTTCTTTGGGATGTTTGCATTCACCTCAGAGAGTTGAACTTTCCCTTTGATAGCGCAGCTTCGACACACTTTTTCTACAATGTGCAAGTGGATATTTAGCGGGCTTGGAGGACTGTGTTGGAAAAGGAAATATCTTCTCCTAAAAACGACATAGAAGCATTCTCAGAAACTGCTCTGTGATGATTGCATTCAACTCCCAGAGTTGAACATTCCTTTTGATAGAGCAGTTTGCAAACACTCTTTTTGTAGAATCTGCAAGTGGAGATTTGGACCGCTTTGAGGACTGAGGTAGTAAAGGAAAGAACTTCATATAAAAACTAGACGGTAGCACTCTCAGAAAATTCTTTGTGACGATGGAGTTTAACTCAGAGAGCTGAACATTCGTTATGATGGAGCAGTTTCCAAACACACGTTTTGTAGAATCTGCAAGGGGATATTTGGACCTCTCTGAGGATTTCGTTGGAAACGGGATCAATTTCCCATAACTGAACGGAAGCAAACTCAGAACATTCTTTGTGATGTTTGTATTCAACTCACAGAGTTGAACCTTCCTTTGATAGTTCAGGTTTGCATCACCCTTGTAGTAGAATCTGCAAGTGTATATTTTGACCACTTTGTAGCCTTCGTTTGAAACGTCTATATCTTCACATCAAACCTAGACAGAAGCATTCTCAGAAAGTTTTCTGCGATGACTGCATTCAACTCACAGAGTTGAACAATCCTTTTGATGGAGCAGTTTTGAAACCCTCTTTCTTTGGAATCTGCAAGGGGATATGTGGACCTCTTTCAAGATTTCACTGGAAACGGGATCATCTTCACATAAGAAATAAACAGAAGCATTCTCAGAAACTACTTTGTGATGATTGTATTCAACTCCCAGAGTTGAACTTTCCTTTTGAAAGAGCAGCTATGAAACACTCTTTTTCGAGAATCTGCAAGTGGACGTTTGGAGGGCTTTGAGGCCTGTGGTGGAAAAGGAAATATCTTCACATAAAAACTAGATAGAAGCATTCTCAGAAACGACTTTGTGAGGATGGCATTCAACTCATGGAGTTGAACAATCCTATTGATAGAGCAGATTGGAATCACTCTTTTTGTAGAATCTGCAAATGGAGATTTGGACTGCTTTGAGGCCTACGGTAGTATAGGAAGGAACTTCATATAAAAGGCAAACGGAAGCATTCTCAGAATATTCTTTGTGATGATGGAGTTTCACTCACAGAGCTGAACATGCCTTTTGATGGAGCAGTTTCCAAATACACTTTTGGTAGAATCTGCAGGTGGATATTTGGACCTCTCTGAGGATTTCGTTGGAAACGGCAATAATTTCCCATAACTAAACACAAACACGCTGAGAAAGTTCTTCATGTTGAATGCATTGAACTCGCAGAGATGAACCTGCCTTTGAGAGTTCAGGTTCGAAACACTCTTTCTGTAGAATCTGCAAGTGGATATTTGGACCACTGGGTGGCCTTCGTTCGAAACGGGTATATGTTCACGTAAAAACTAAAGAGAAGCATTCTCAGAAACTTCTGACTGATGATTGCATTCAAGTCACACGGTTGAACCCTCCTTTTGATTGAGCAGTTTTGAAACTGTCTTTTTGTAGAATCTGTAAATGGATACGTGGACCTCTTTGAAGATTTCTTTGGAAACGGGAATATTTCCACAGAAAAACTAAACTGAAGCATTCTCAGAAACTGCTTTGTGATGTTTGTGTTCGAGCCACAGAGTTTAACATTGCTTTTCATAGAGCAGTTTTGAAATATTCTTTTCGCAGAATCTGCAAGTGGACATTTGGAGCGCTTTCAGGCCTGTGGTGGAAAAGGCCTGAAAGCCTTTTCCTTTATCTTCACAGAAAGACGAGAGAGAAGCATTGTCAGAAACTTCTTTGTGATGATTGCATTCAACTCACAGAGTTGAAGATTCCTTCTGAAACAGCAGTTTCGAAACACTCTTTCTGTGGGATCCGCAAGGGGATATTTGGACCTCTTTGAAGGTTTCGTTGGAAACGGGATAATCTTCACCTAAAAGCTAAACGGAAGCATTCTCAGAAACTTCTTTGGGATGTTTGCATTCACCTCACAGAGTTGAACTTTCCCTTTGATAGCGCAGCTTTGACACACTTTTTCTACAATGTGCAAGTGGCTATTTAGCGGGCTTGGAGGACTGTGTTGGAAAAGGAAATATCTTCTCCTAAAAACGACATAGAAGCATTCTCAGAAACTGCTCTGTGATGATTGCATTCAACTCCCAGAGTTGAACGTTCCTTTTGATAGAGCAGTTTGCAAACTCTCTTTTTGTAGAATCTGCAAGTGGAGATTTGGACCGCTTTGAGGCCTGTGGTAGTGAAGGAAAGAACTTCATATAAAAACCAGACGGTAGCACTCTCAGAAAATTCTTTGTGACGATGGAGTTTAACTCAGGGAGCTGAACATTCGTTATGATGGAGCAGTTTCCAAACACACGTTTTGTAGAATCTGCAAGGGGATATTTGGACCTCTCTGAGGATTTCGTTGGAAACGGGATCAACTTCCCATAACTGAACGGAAGCAAACTCAGAACATTCTTTGTGATGTTTGTATTCAACTCACGGAGTTGAACCTTCCTTTGATAGTTCAGGTTTGCAACACCCTTGTAGTAGAATCTGCAAGTGTATATTTTGAACACTTTGTAGCCTTCGTTTGAAACGTCTATATCTTCACATCAAACCTAGACAGAAGCATTCTCAGAAAGTTTTCTGCGATGACTGCATTCAACTCACAGAGTTGAACAATCCTTCTGATGGAGCAGTTTTGAAACCCTCTTTCTTTGGAATCTGCAAGGGGATATGTGGACTTCTTTGAAGATTTCACTGGAAACGGGATCATCTTCACATAAAAACTAAACAGAAGCATTCTCGGAAACTACTTTGTGATGTTTGTATTCAACTCCCAGAGTTGAACTTTCCTTTTGAAAGAGCAGCTATGAAACACTCTTTTTCGAGAATCTGCAAGTGGACGTTTGGAGGGCTTTGAGGCCTGTGGTGGAAAAGGAAATATCTTCACATAAAAACTAGATAGAAGCATTCTCAGAAACGACTTTGTGAGGATGGCATTCAACTCATGGAGTTGAACAGTCCTATTGATAGAGCAGATTGGAATCACTCTTTTTGTAGAATCTGCAAATGGAGATTTGGACTGCTTTGAGGCCTACGGTAGTATAGGAAGGAACTTCATATAAAAGGCAAACGGAGGCATTCTCAGAATATTCTTTGTGATGATGGAGTTTCACACACAGAGCTGAACATGCCTTTTGATGGAGCAGTTTCCAAATACACTTTTGGTAGAATCTGCAGGTGGATATTTGAACCTCTCTGAGGATTTCGTTGGAAACGGGAATAATTTCCCATAACTAAACACAAACACGCTGAGAAAGTTCTTCATGATGAATGCATTTAACTCGCAGAGATGAACCTGCCTTTGAGAGTTCAGGTTCGAAACACTCTTTCTGTAGAATCTGCAAGTGGATATTTGGACCACTGGGTGGCCTTCGTTCGAAACGGGTATATGTTCACGTAAAAACTAAAGAGAAGCATTCTCAGAAACTTCTGAGTGATGATTGCATTCAAGTCACACAGTTGAACCCTCGTTTTGATTGAGCAGTTTTGAAACTGTGTTTTTGTAGAATCTGTAAGTGGATGCGTGGACCTCTTTGAAGATTTCTTTGGAAACGGGAATATTTCCACAGAAAAACTAAACTGAAGCATTCTCAGAAACTGCTTTGTGATGTTTGTGTTCGAGCCGCAGAGTTTAACATTGCTTTTCATAGAGCAGTTTTGAAATATTCTTTTGGCAGAATCTGCAAGTGGACATTTGGAGCGCTTTCAGGCCTGTGGGTGGAAAAGGCCTGAAAGCCTTTTCCTTTATCTTCACAGAAAGACGAGAGAGAAGCATTGTCAGAAACTTCTTTGTGATGATTGCATTCAACTCACAGAGTTGAAGATTCCTTTTGAAACAGCAGTTTCGAAACACTCTTTCTGTGGGAACCGCAAGGGGATATTTGGATCTATTTGAAGGTTTCGTTGGAAACTGGATAATCTTCACCTAAAAGCTAAACGGAAGCATTCTCAGAAACTTCTTTGGGATGTTTGCATTCACCTCACAGAGTTGAACTTTCCCTTTGATAGCGCAGCTTCGACACACTTTTTCTACAATGTGCAAGTGGATATTTAGCGGGCTTGGAGGACTGTGTTGGAAAAGGAAATATCTTCTCCTAAAAACGACATAGAAGCATTCTCAGAAACTGCTCTGTGATGATTGCATTCAACTCCCAGAGTTGAACATTCCTTTTGATAGAGCAGTTTGCAAACACTCTTTTTGTAGAATCTGCAAGTGGAGATTTGGACCGCTTTGAGGCCTGTGGTAGTAAAGGAAAGAACTTCATATAAAAAGCAGACGGTAGCACTCTCAGAAAATTCTTTGTGACGATGGAGTTTAACTCAGAGAGCTGAACATTCGTTATGATGGAGCAGTTTCCAAACACACGTTTTGTAGAATCTGCAAGGGGATATTTGGACCTCTCTGAGGATTTCGTTGGAAACCCGATCAACTTCCCATAACTGAACAGAAGCAAACTGAGAACATTCTTTGTGATGTTTGTATTCAACTCACAGAGTTGAACCTTCCTTTGATAGTTGAGGTTTGCAACACCCTTGTAGTAGAATCTGCAAGTGTATATTTTGACCACTTTGTAGCCTTCGTTTGAAACGTCTATATCTTCACCTCAAACCTAGACAGAAGCATTCTCAGAAAGTTTTCTGCGATGACTGCATTCAACTCACAGAGTTGAACAATCCTTCTGATGGAGCAGTTTTTAAACCCTCTTTCTTTGGAATCTGCAAGGGGATATGTGGACCTCTTTGAAGATTTCACTGGAAACGGGATCATCTTCACATAAAAACTAAACAGAAGCATTCTCGGAAACTATTTTGTGATGTTTGTATTCAACTCCCAGAGTTGAACTTTCCTTTTGAAAGAGCAGCTATGAAACACTCTTTTTCGAGAATCTGCAAGTGGACGTTTGGAGGGCTTTGAGGCCTGTGGTGGAAAAGGAAATATCTTCACACAAAAACCAGATAGAAGCATTCTCAGAAACTACTTTGTGAGGATGGCATTCAACTCATGGAGTTGAACAATCCTATTGATAGAGCAGATTGGAATCACTCTTTTTGTAGAATCTGCAAATGGAGATTTGGTCTGCTTTGAGGCCTACGGTAGTACAGGAAGGAACTTCATATAAAAGGCAAACGGAAGCATTCTCAGAATATTCTTTGTGATGATGGAGTTTTACTCACAGAGCTGAACATGCCTTTTGATGGAGCAGTTTCCAAATACACTTTTGGTAGAATCTGCAGGTGGATATTTGGAGCTCTCTGAGGATTTCGTTGGAAACGGGAATAATTTCCCATAACTAAACACAAACACTCTGAGAAAGTTCTTCATGATGAATGCATTTAACTCGCAGAGATGAACCTGCCTTTGAGAGTTCAGGTTCGAAACACTCTTTCTGTAGAATCTGCAAGTGGATATTTGGAACACTGGCTGGCCTTCGTTTGAAACGGGTATATGTTCACGTAAAAACTAAAGAGAAGCATTCTCAGAAACTTCTGAGTGATGATTGCATTCAAGTCACACAGTTGAACCCTCCTTTTGATGGAGCAGTTTTGAAACTGTCTTTTTGTAGAATCTGTAAGTGGATACGTGGACCTCTTTGAAGATTTCTTTGGAAACGGGAATATTTCCACAGAAAAACTAAACTGAAACATTCTCAGAAACCGCTTTGTGATGTTTGTGTTCCAGCCACAGAGTTTAACATTGCTTTTCATAGAGCAGTTTTGAAATATTCTTTTGGCAGAATCTGCAAGTGGACATTTGGAGCGCTTTCAGGCCTGTGGTGGAAAAGGCCTGAAAGCCTTTTCCTTTATCTTCACAGAAAGACGAGAGAGAAGCATTGTCAGAAACTTCTTTGTGATGATTGCATTCAACTCACAGAGTTGAAGATTCCTTTTGAAACAGCAGTTTCGAAACACTCTTTCTGTGGGATCCGCAAGGGGATATTTGGACCTCTTTGAAGGTTTCGTTGGAAACGGGATAATCTTCACCTAAAAGCTAAACGGAAGCATTCTCAGAAACTTCTTTGGGATGTTTGCATTCACCTCACAGAGTTGAACTTTCCCTTTGATAGCGCAGCTTTGACACACTTTTTCTACAATGTGCAAGTGGCTATTTAGCGGGCTTGGAGGACTGTGTTGGAAAAGGAAATATCTTCTCCTAAAAACGACATAGAAGCATTCTCAGAAACTGCTCTGTGATGATTGCATTCAACTCCCAGAGTTGAACATTCCTTTTGATAGAGCAGTTTGCAAACACTCTTTTTGTAGAATCTGCAAGTGGAGATTTGGACCGCTTTGAGGCCTGTGGTAGTGAAGGAAAGAACTTCATATAAAAACCTAGACGGTAGCACTCTCAGAAAATTCTTTGTGACGATGTAGTTTAACTCAGGGAGCTGAACATTCGTTATGATGGAGCAGTTTCCAAACACACGTTTTGTAGAATCTGCAAGGGGATATTTGGACCTCTCTGAGGATTTCGTTGGAAACGGGATCAACTTCCCATAACTGAACGGAAGCAAACTCAGAACATTCTTTGTGATGTTTGTATTCAATTCACAGAGTTGAACCTTCCTTTGATAGTTCAGGTTTGCAACACCCTTGTAGTAGAATCTGCAAGTGTATATTTTGACCACTTTGTAGCCTTCGTTTGAAACGTCTATATCTTCACATCAAACCTAGACAGAAGCATTCTCAGAAAGTTTTCTGCGATGACTGCATTCAACTCACAGAGTTGAACAATCCTTCTGATGGAGCAGGTTTGAAACCCTCTTTCTTTGGAATCTGCAAGGGGATATGTGGACCTCTTTGAAGATTTCACTGGAAACGGGATCATCTTCACATAAAAACTAAACAGAAGCATTCTCGGAAACTACTTTGTGATGTTTGTATTCAACTCCTAGAGTTGAACTTTCCTTTTGAAAGAGCAGCTATGAAACACTCTTTTTCGAGAATCTGCAAGTGGACGTTTGGAGGGCTTTGAGGCCTGTGGTGGAAAAGGAAATATCTTCACACAAAAACCAGATAGAAGCATTCTCAGAAACTACTTTGTGAGGATGGCATTCAACTCATGGAGTTGAACAATCCTATTGATAGAGCAGATTGGAATCACTCTTTTTATAGAATCTGCAAATGGAGATTTGGACTGCTTTGAGGCCTACGGTAGTACAGGAAGGAACTTCATATAAAAGGCAAACGGAAGCATTCTCAGAATATTCTTTGTGATGATGGAGTTTCACTCACAGAGCTGAACATGCCTTTTGATGGAGCAGTTTCCAAATACACTTTTGGTAGAATCTGCAGGTGGATATTTGGAGCTCTCTGAGGATTTCTTTGGAAACGGGAATAATTTCCCATAACTAAACACAAACACTCTGAGAAAGTTCTTCATGATGAATGCATTTAACTCGCAGAGATGAACCTGCCTTTGAGAGTTCAGGTTCGAAACACTCTTTCTGTATAATCTGCAAGTGGATATTTGGACCACTGGGTGGCCTTCGTTCGAAACGGGTATATGTTCACGTAAAAACTAAAGAGAAGCATTCTCAGAAACTTCTGAGTGATGATTGCATTCAAGTCACACGGTTGAACCCTCCTTTTGATGGAGCAGTTTTGAAACTGTCTTTTTGTAGAATCTGTAAGTGGATACGTGGACCTCTTTGAAGATTTCTTTGGAAACGGGAATATTTCCACAGAAAAACTAAACTGAAGCATTCTCAGAAACCGCTTTGTGATGTTTGTGTTCGAGCCGCAGAGTTTAACATTGCTTTTCATAGAGCAGTTTTGAAATATTCTTTTGGCAGAATCTGCAAGTGGACATTTGGAGCGCTTTCAGGCCTGTGGTGGAAAAGGCCTGAAAGCCTTTTCCTTTATCTTCACAGAAAGACGAGAGAGAAGCATTGTCAGAAACTTCTTTGTGATGATTGCATTCAACTCACAGAGTTGAAGATTCCTTTTGAAACAGCAGTTTCGAAACACTCTTTCTGTGGGATCCGCAAGGGGATATTTGGACCTCTTTGAAGGTTTCGTTGGAAACGGGATAATCTTCACCTAAAAGCTAAACGGAAGCATTCTCAGAAACTTCTTTGGGATGTTTGCATTCACCTCACAGAGTTGAACTTTCCCTTTGATAGCGCAGCTTTGACACACTTTTTCTACAATGTGCAAGTGGCTATTTAGCGGACTTGGAGGACTGTGTTGGAAAAGGAAATATCTTCTCCTAAAAACGACATAGAAGCATTCTCAGAAACTGCTCTGTGATGATTGCATTCAACTCCCAGAGTTGAACATTCCTTTTGATAGAGCAGTTTGCAAACACTCTTTTTGTAGAATCTGCAAGTGGAGATTTGGACCGCTTTGAGGCCTGTGGTAGTGAAGGGAAGAACTTCATATAAAAACCAGACGGTAGCACTCTCAGAAAATTCTTTGTGACGATGGAGTTTAACTCAGGGAGCTGAACATTCGTTATGATGGAGCAGTTTCCAAACACACGTTTTGTAGAATCTGCAAGGGGATATTTGGACCTCTCTGAGGATTTCGATGGAAACGGGATCAACTTCCCATAACTGAACGGAAGCAAACTCAGAACATTCTTTGTGATGTTTGTATTCAACTCACAGAGTTGAACCTTCCTTTGATAGTTCAGGTTTGCAACACCCTTGTAGTAGAATCTGCAAGTGTATATTTTGACCACTTTGTAGCCTTCGTTTGAAACGTCTATATCTTCACATCAAACCTAGACAGAAGCATTCTCAGAAAGTTTTCTGCGATGACTGCATTCAACTCACAGAGTTGAACAATCCTTCTGATGGAGCAGTTTTGAAACCCTCTTTCTTTGGAATCTGCAAGGGGATATGTGGACCTCTTTGAAGATTTCACTGGAAACGGGATCATCTTCACATAAAAACTAAACAGAAGCATTCTCGGAAACTACTTTGTGATGTTTGTATTCAACTCCCAGAGTTGAACTTTCCTTTTGAAAGAGCAGCTATGAAACACTGTTTTTCGAGAATCTGCAGGTGGACGTTTGGAGGGCTTTGAGGCCTGTGGTGGAAAAGGAAATATCTTCACATAAAAACTAGATAGAAGCATTCTCAGAAACGACTTTGTGAGGATGGCATTCAACTCATGGAGTTGAACAATCCTATTGATAGAGCAGATTGGAATCACTCTTTTTGTAGAATCTGCAAATGGAGATTTGGACTGCTTTGAGGCCTACGGTCGTATAGGAAGGAACTTCAGATAAAAGGCAAACGGAAGCATTCTCAGAATATTCTTTGTGATGATGGAGTTTCACTCACAGAGCTGAACATGCCTTTTGATGGAGCAGTTTCCAAATACACTTTTGGTAGAATCTGCAGGTGGATATTTGGAGCTCTCTGAGGATTTCGTTGGAAACGGGAATAATTTCCCATAACTAAACACAAACACTCTGAGAAAGTTCTTCATGATGAATGCATTTAACTCGCAGAGATGAACCTGCCTTTGAGAGTTCAGGTTCGAAACACTCTTTCTGTAGAATCTGCAAGTGGATATTTGGACCACTGGGTGGCCTTCGTTCGAAACGGGTATATGTTCACGTAAAAACTAAAGAGAAGCATTCTCAGAAACTTCTGAGTGATGATTGCATTCAAGTCACACAGTTGAACCCTCCTTTTGATGGAGCAGTTTTGAAACTGTCTTTTTGTAGAATCTGTAAGTGGATACGTGGACCTCTTTGAAGATTTCTTTGGAAACGGGAATATTTCCACAGAAAAACTAAACTGAAGCATTCTCAGAAACCGCTTTGTGATGTTTGTGTTCGAGCCGCAGAGTTTAACATTGCTTTTCATAGAGCAGTTTTGAAATATTCTTTTCGCAGAATCTGCAAGTGGACATTTGGAGCGCTTTCAGGCCTGTGGTGGCAAAGGCCTGAAAGCCTTTTCCTTTATCTTCACAGAAAGACGAGAGAGAAGCATTGTCAGAAACTTCTTTGTGATGATTGCATTCAACTCACAGAGTTGAAGATTCCTTTTGAAACAGCAGTTTCGAAACACTCTTTCTGTGGGATCCGCAAGGGGATATTTGGACCTCTTTGAAGGTTTCGTTGGAAACGGGATAATCTTCACCTAAAAGCTAAACGGAAGCATTCTCAGAAACTTCTTTGGGATGTTTGCATTCACCTCACAGAGTTGAACTTTCCCTTTGATAGCGCAGCTTTGACACACTTTTTCTACAATGTGCAAGTGGCTATTTAGCGGGCTTGGAGGACTGTGTTGGAAAAGGAAATATCTTCTCCTAAAAACGACATAGAAGCATTCTCAGAAACTGCTCTGTGATGATTGCATTCAACTCCCAGAGTTGAACATTCCTTTTGATAGAGCAGTTTGCAAACACTCTTTTTGTAGAATCTGCAAGTGGAGATTTAGACCGCTTTGAGGCCTGTGGTAGTGAAGGAAAGAACTTCATATAAAAACCAGACGGTAGCACTCTCAGAAAATTCTTTGTGACGATGTAGTTTAACTCAGGGAGCTGAACATTCGTTATGATGGAGCAGTTTCCAAACACACGTTTTGTAGAATCTGCGAGGGGATATTTGGACCTCTCTGAGGATTTCGTTGGAAACGGGATCAACTTCCCATAACTGAACGGAAGCAAACTCAGAACATTCTTTGTGATGTTTGTATTCAACTCACAGAGTTGAACCTTCCTTTGATAGTTCAGGTTTGCAACACCCTTGTAGTAGAATCTGCAAGTGTATATTTTGACCACTTTGTAGCCTTCGTTTGAAACGTCTATATCTTCACATCAAACCTAGACAGAAGCATTCTCAGAAAGTTTTCTGCGATGACTGCATTCAACTCACAGAGTTGAACAATCCTTTTGATGGAGCAGTTTTGAAACCCTCTTTCTTTGGAATCTGCAAGGGGATATGTGGACCTCTTTGAAGATTTCACTGGAAACGGGATCATCTTCACATAAGAACTAAACAGAAGCATTCTCGGAAACTACTTTGTGATGTTTGTATTCAACTCCCAGAGTTGAACTTTCCTTTTGAAAGAGCAGCTATGAAACAGTCTTTTTCGAGAATGTGCAAGTGGACGTTTGGAGGGCTTTGAGGCCTGTGGTGGAAAAGGAAATATCTTCACATAAAAACTAGATAGAAGCATTCTCAGAAACGACTTTGTGAGGATGGCATTCAACTCATGGAGTTGAACAATCCTATTGATAGAGCAGATTGGAATCACTCTTTTTGTAGAATCTGCAAATGGAGATTTGGACTGCTTTGAGGCCTACGGTCGTATAGGAAGGAACTTCATATAAAAGGCAAACGGAAGCATTCTCAGAATATTCTTTGTGATGATGGAGTTTCACTCACAGAGCTGAACATGCCTTTTGATGGAGCAGTTTCCAAATACACTTTTGGTAGAATCTGCAGGTGGATATTTGGACCTCTCTGAGGATTTCGTTGGAAACGGGAATAATTTCCCATAACTAAACACAAAACACTCTGAGAAAGTTCTTCATGATGAATGCATTTAACTCGCAGAGATGAACCTGCCTTTGAGAGTTCAGGTTCGAAACACTCTTTCTGTATAATCTGCAAGTGGATATTTGGACCACTGGGTGGCCTTCGTTCGAAACGGGTATATGTTCACGTAAAAACTAAAGAGAAGCATTCTCAGAAACTTCTGAGTGATGATTGCATTCAAGTCACACGGTTGAACCCTCCTTTTGATGGAGCAGTTTGGAAACTGTCTTTTTGTAGAATCTGTAAGTGGATACGTGGACCTCTTTGAAGATTTCTTTGGAAACGGGAAAATTTCCACAGAAAAACTAAACTGAAGCATTCTCAGAAACCGCTTTGTGATGTTTGTGTTCGAGCCGCAGAGTTTAACATTGCTTTTCATAGAGCAGTTTTGAAATATTCTTTTCGCAGAATCTGCAAGTGGACATTTGGAGCGCTTTCAGGCCTGTGGGTGGAAAAGGCCTGAAAGCCTTTTCCTTTATCTTCACAGAAAGACGAGAGAGAAGCATTGTCAGAAACTTCTTTGTGATGATTGCATTCAACTCACAGAGTTGAAGATTCCTTTTGAAACAGCAGTTTCGAAACACTCTTTCTGTGGGATCCGCAGGGGGATATTTGGACCTCTTTGAAGATTTCGTTGGAAACGGGATAATCTTCACCTAAAAGCTAAACGGAAGTATTCTCAGAAACTTCTTTGGGATGTTTGCATTCACCTCACAGAGTTGAACTTTCCCTTTGATAGCGCAGCTTCGACACACTTTTTCTACAATGTGCAAGTGGATATTTAGCGGGCTTGGAGGACTGTGTTGGAAAAGGAAATATCTTCTCCTAAAAACGACATAGAAGCATTCTCAGAAACTCCTCTGTGATGATTGCTTTCAACTCCCAGAGTTGAACATTCCTTTTGATAGAGCAGTTTGCAAACACTCTTTTTGTAGAATCTGCAAGTGGAGATTTGGACCGCTTTGAGGCCTGTGGTAGTAAAGGAAAGAACTTCATATAAAAACTAGACGGTACACTCTCAGAAAATTCTTTGTGACGATGGAGTTTAACTCAGAGAGCTGAACATTCGTTATGATGGAGCAGTTTCCAAACACACGTTTTGTAGAATCTGCAAGGGGATATTTGGACCTCTCTGAGGATTTCGTTGGAAACGGTATCAACTTCCCATAACTGAACAGAAGCAAACTCAGAACATTCTTTGTGATGTTTGTATTCAACTCACAGAGTTGAACCTTCCTTTGATAGTTCAGGTTTGCAACACCCTTGTAGTAGAATCTGCAAGTGTATATTTTGACCACTTTGTAGCCTTCGTTTGAAACGTCTATATCTTCACCTCAAACCTAGACAGAAGCATTCTCAGAAAGTTTTCTGCGATGACTGCATTCAACTCACAGAGTTGAACAATCCTTTTGATGGAGCAGTTTTGAAACCCTCTTTCTTTGGAATCTGCAAGGGGATATGTGGACCTCTTTGAAGATTTCACTGGAAACGGGATCATCTTCACATAAGAACTAAACAGAAGCATTCTCGGAAACTACTTTGTGATGTTTGTATTCAACTCCCAGAGTTGAACTTTCCTTTTGAAAGAGCAGCTATGAAACACTCTTTTTCGAGAATCTGCAAGTGGACGTTTGGAGGGCTTTGAGGCCTGTGGTGGAAAAGGAAATATCTTCACATAAAAACTAGATAGAAGCATTCTCAGAAACGACTTTGTGAGGATGGCATTCAACTCATGGAGTTGAACAATCCTAATGATAGAGCACATTGGAATCACTCTTTTTGTAGAATCTGCAAATGGAGATTTGGACTGCTATGAGGCCTACGGTAGTATAGGAAGGAACTTCATATAAAAGGCAAACGGAAGCATTCTCAGAATATTCTTTGTGATGATGGAGTTTCACTCACAGAGCTGAACATGCCTTTTGATGGAGCAGTTTCCAAATACACTTTTGGTAGAATCGGCAGGTGGATATTTGGACCTCTCTGAGGATTTCGTTGGAAACGGGAATAATTTCCCATAACTAAACACAAACACTCTGAGAAAGTTCTTCATGATGAATGCATTTAACTCGCAGAGATGAACCTGCCTTTGAGAGTTCAGGTTCGAAACACTCTTTCTGTATAATCTGCAAGTGGATATTTGGACCACTGGGTGGCCTTCTTTCGAAACGGGTATATGTTCACGTAAAAACTAAAGAGAAGCATTCTCAGAAACTTCTGAGTGATGATTGCATTCAAGTCACACAGTTGAACCCTCCTTTTGATGGAGCAGTTTTGAAACTGTCTTTTTGTAGAATCTGTAAGTGGATACGTGGACCTCTTTGAAGATTTCTTTGGAAACGGGAATATTTCCACAGAAAAACTAAACTGAAACATTCTCAGAAACCGCTTTGTGATTTTTGTGTTCCAGCCACAGAGTTTAACATTGCTTTTCATAGAGCAGTTTTGAAATATTCTTTTGGCAGAATCTGCAAGTGGACATTTGGAGCGCTTTCAGGCCTGTGGTGGAAAAGGCCTGAAAGCCTTTTCCTTTATCTTCACAGAAAGACGAGAGAGAAGCATTGTCAGAAACTTCTTTGTGATGATTGCATTCAACTCACAGAGTTGAAGATTCCTTTTGAAACAGCAGTTTCGAAACACTCTTTCTGTGGGATCCGCAAGGGGATATTTGGACCTCTTTGAAGGTTTCGTTGGAAACGGGATAATCTTCACCTAAAAGCTAAACGGAAGCATTCTCAGAAACTTCTTTGGGATGTTTGCATTCACCTCACAGAGTTGAACTTTCCCTTTGATAGCGCAGCTTTGACACACTTTTTCTACAATGTGCAAGTGGCTATTTAGCGGGCTTGGAGGACTGTGTTGGAAAAGGAAATATCTTCTCCTAAAAACGACATAGAAGCATTCTCAGAAACTGCTCTGTGATGATTGCATTCAACTCCCAGAGTTGAACATTCCTTTTGATAGAGCAGTTTGCAAACACTCTTTTTGTACAATCTGCAAGTGGAGATTTGGACCGCTTTGAGGCCTGTGGTAGTGAAGGAAAGAACTTCATATAAAAACCAGACGGTAGCACTCTCAGAAAATTCTTTGTGACGATGGAGTTTAACTCAGGGAGCTGAACATTCGTTATGATGGAGCAGTTTCCAAACACACGTTTTGTAGAATCTGCAAGGGGATATTTGGACCTCTCTGAGGATTTCGTTGGAAACGGGATCAACTTCCCATAACTGAACGGAAGCAAACTCAGAACATTCTTTGTGATGTTTGTATTCAACTCACAGAGTTGAACCTTCCTTTGATAGTTCAGGTTTGCAACACCCTTGTAGTAGAATCTGCAAGTGTATATTTTGACCACTTTGTAGCCTTCGTTTGAAACGTCTATATCTTCACATCAAACCTAGACAGAAGCATTCTCAGAAAGTTTTCTGCGATGACTGCATTCAACTCACAGAGTTGAACAATCCTTCTGATGGAGCAGTTTTGAAACCCTCTTTCTTTGGAATCTGCAAGGGGATATGTGGACTTCTTTGAAGATTTCACTGGAAACGGGATCATCTTCACATAAAAACTAAACAGAAGCATTCTCGGAAACTATTTTGTGATGTTTGTATTCAACTCCCAGAGTTGAACTTTCCTTTTGAAAGAGCAGCTATGAAACACTCTTTTTCGAGAATCTGCAAGTGGACGTTTGGAGGGCTTTGAGGCCTGTGGTGGAAAAGGAAATATCTTCACACAAAAACCAGATAGAAGCATTCTCAGAAACTGCTTTGTGAGGATGGCATTCAACTCATGGAGTTGAACAATCCTATTGATAGAGCAGATTGGAATCACTCTTTTTGTAGAATCTGCAAATGGAGATTTGGACTGCTTTGAGGCCTACGGTAGTACAGGAAGGAACTTCATATAAAAGGCAAACGGAAGCATTCTCAGAATATTCTTTGTGATGATGGAGTTTCACTCACAGAGCTGAACATGCCTTTTGATGGAGCAGTTTCCAAATACACTTTTGGTAGAATCTGCAGGTGGATATTTGGAGCTCTCTGAGGATTTCGTTGGAAACGGGAATAATTTCCCATAACTAAACACAAACACTCTGAGAAAGTTCTTCATGATGAATGCATTTAACTCGCAGAGATGAACCTGCCTTTGAGAGTTCAGGTTCGAAACACTCTTTCTGTAGAATCTGCAAGTGGATATTTGGACCACTGGGTGGCCTTCGTTCGAAACGGATATATGTTCACGTAAAAACTAAAGAGAAGCATTCTCAGAAACTTCTGAGTGATGATTGCATTCAAGTCACACGGTTGAACCCTCCTTTTGATGGAGCAGTTTTGAAACTGTCTTTTTGTAGAATCTGTAAGTGGATACGTGGACCTCTTTGAAGATTTCTTTGGAAACGGGAATATTTCCACAGAAAAACTAAACTGAAGCATTCTCAGAAACGGCTTTGTGATGTTTGTGTTCGAGCCACAGAGTTTAACATTGCTTTTCATAGAGCAGTTTTGAAATATTCTTTTGGCAGAATCTGCAAGTGGACATTTGGAGCGCTTTCAGGCCTGTGGTGGAAAAGGCCTGAAAGCCTTTTCCTTTATCTTCACAGAAAGACGAGAGAGAAGCATTGTCAGAAACTTCTTTGTGATGATTGCATTCAACTCACAGAGTTGAAGATTCCTTTTGAAACAGCAGTTTCGAAACACTCTTTCTGTGGGATCCGCAGGGGGATATTTGGACCTCTTTGAAGATTTCGTTGGAAACGGGATAATCTTCACCTAAAAGCTAAACGGAAGTATTCTCAGAAACTTCTTTGGGATGTTTGCATTCACCTCACAGAGTTGAACTTTCCCTTTGATAGCGCAGCTTCGACACACTTTTTCTACAATGTGCAAGTGGATATTTAGCGGGCTTGGAGGACTGTGTTGGAAAAGGAAATATCTTCTCCTAAAAACGACATAGAAGCATTCTCAGAAACTGCTCTGTGATGATTGCTTTCAACTCCCAGAGTTGAACATTCCTTTTGATAGAGCAGTTTGCAAACACTCTTTTTGTAGAATCTGCAAGTGGAGATTTGGACCGCTTTGAGGCCTGTGGTAGTAAAGGAAACAACTTCATATAAAAACCAGAGGGTAGCACCCTCAGAAAATTCTTTGTGACGATGGAGTTTAACTCAGAGAGCTGAACATTCGTTATGATGGAGCAGTTTCCAAACACACGTTTTGTAGAATCTGCAAGGGGATATTTGGACCTCTCTGAGGATTTCGTTGGAAACGGGATCAACTTCCCATAACTGAACGGAAGCAAACTCAGAACATTCTTTGTGATGTTTGTATTCAACTCACAGAGTTGAACCTTCCTTTTATAGTTGAGGTTTGCATCACCCTTGTAGTAGAATCTGCAAGTGTATATTTTGACCACTTTGTAGCCTTCGTTTGAAACGTCTATATCTTCACCTCAAACCTAGACAGAAGCATTCTCAGAAAGTTTTCTGCGATGACTGCATTCAACTCACAGAGTTGCACAATCCTTTTGATGGAGCAGTTTTGAAACCCTCTTTCTTTGGAATCTGCAAGGGGATATATGGACCTCTTTGAAGATTTCACTGGAAACGGGATCATCTTCACATAACAACTAAACAGAAGCATTCTCGGAAACTACTTTGTGATGTTTGTATTCAACTCCCAGAGTTGAACTTTCCTTTTGAAAGAGCAGCTATGAAACACTCTTTTTCGAGAATCTGCAAGTGGACGTTTGGAGGGCTTTGAGGCCTGTGGTGGAAAAGGAAATATCTTCACATAAAAACTAGATAGAAGCATTCTCAGAAACTACTTTGTGAGGATGGCATTCAACTCATGGAGTTGAACAATCCTATTGATAGAGCAGATTGGAATCACTCTTTTTGTAGAATCTGCAAATGGAGATTTGGACTGCTTTGAGGCCTACGGTGGTACAGGAAGGAAGTTCATATAAAAGGCAAACGGAAGCATTCTCAGAATATTCTTTGTGATGATGGAGTTTCACTCACAGAGCTGAACATGCCTTTTGATGGAGCAGTTTCCAAATACACTTTTGGTAGAATCTACAGGTGGATATTTGGAGCTCTCTGAGGATTTCGTTGGAAACGGGAATAATTTCCCATAACTAAACACAAACAATCTGAGAAAGTTCTTCATGATGAATGCATTTAACTCGCAGAGATGGACCTGCCTTTGAGAGATCAGGTTCGAAACACTCTTTGTGTAGAATCTGCAAGTGGATATTTGGACCACTGGGTGGCCTTCGTTCGAAACGGGTATATGTTCACGTAAAAACTAAAGAGAAGCATTCTCAGAAACTTCTGAGTGATGATTGCATTCAAGTCACACAGTTGAACCCTCCTTTTGATGGAGCAGTTTTGAAACTGTCTTTTTGTAGAATCTGTAAGTGGATACGTGGACCTCTTTGAAGATTTCTTTGGAAACGGGAATATTTTCACAGAAAAACTAAACTGAAGCATTCTCAGAAACCGCTTTGTGATGTTTGTGTTCGAGCCACAGAGTTTAACATTGCTTTTCATAGAGCAGTTTTGAAATATTCTTTTGGCAGAATCTGCAAGTGGACATTTGGAGTGCTTTCAGGCCTGTGGTGGAAAAGGCCTGAAAGCCTTTTCCTTTATCTTCACAGAAAGACGAGAGAGAAGCATTGTCAGAAACTTCTTTGTGATGATTGCATTCAACTCACAGAGTTGAAGATTCCTTTTGAAACAGCAGTTTCGAAACACTCTTTCTGTGGGATCCGCAAGGGGATATTTGGACCTCTTTGAAGGTTTCGTTGGAAACGGGATAATCTTCACCTAAAAGCTAAACGGAAGCATTCTCAGAAACTTCTTTGGGATGTTTGCATTCACCTCACAGAGTTGAACTTTCCCTTTGATAGCGCAGCTTCGACACACTTTTTCTACAATGTGCAAGTGGCTATTTAGCGGGCTTGGAGGACTGTGTTGGAAAAGGAAATATCTTCTCCTAAAAACGACATAGAAGCATTCTCAGAAACTGCTCTGTGATGATTGCATTCAACTCCCAGAGTTGAACATTCCCTTTTGATAGAGCAGTTTGCAAACACTCTTTTTGTAGAATCTGCAAGTGGAGATTTGGACCGCTTTGAGGCCTGTGGTAGTGAAGGAAAGAACTTCATATAAAAACCAGACGGTAGCACTCTCAGAAAATTCTTTGTGACGATGGAGTTTAACTCAGGGAGCTGAACATTCGTTATGATGGAGCAGTTTCCAAACACACGTTTTGTAGAATCTGCGAGGGGATATTTGGACCTCTCTGAGGATTTCGTTGGAAACGGGATCAACTTCCCATAACTGAACGGAAGCAAACTCAGAACATTCTTTGTGATGTTTGTATTCAACTCACAGAGTTGAACCTTCCTTTGATAGTTCAGGTTTGCAACACCCTTGTAGTAGAATCTGCAAGTGTATATTTTGACCACTTTGTAGCCTTCGTTTGAAACATGCTATATCTTCACATCAAACCTAGACAGAAGCATTCTCAGAAAGTTTTCTGCGATGACTGCATTCAACTCACAGAGTTGAACAATCCTTCTGATGGAGCAGTTTTGAAACCCTCTTTCTTTGGAATCTGCAAGGGGATATGTGGACCTCTTTGAAGATTTCACTGGAAACGGGATCATCTTCACATAAAAACTAAACAGAAGCATTCTCGGAAACTATTTTGTGATGTTTGTATTCAACTCCCAGAGTTGAACTTTCCTTTTGAAAGAGCAGCTATGAAACACTCTTTTTCGAGAATCTGCAAGTGGTCGTTTGGAGGGCTTTGAGGCCTGTGGTGGAAAAGGAAATATCTTCACACAAAAACCAGATAGAAGCATTCTCAGAAACTACTTTGTGAGGATGGCATTCAACTCATGGAGTTGAACAATCCTATTGATAGAGCAGATTGGAATCACTCTTTTTGTAGAATCTGCAAATGGAGATTTGGACTGCTTTGAGGCCTACGGTCGTATAGGAAGGAACTTCATATAAAAGGCAAACGGAAGCATTCTCAGAATATTCTTTGTGATGATGGAGTTTCACTCACAGAGCTGAACATGCCTTTTGATGGAGCAGTTTCCAAATACACTTTTGGTAGAATCTGCAGGTGGATATTTGGAGCTCTCTGAGGATTTCGTTGGAAACGGGAATAATTTCCCATAACTAAACACACACTCTGAGAAAGTTCTTCATGATGAATGCATTTAACTCGCAGAGATGAACCTGCCTTTGAGAGTTCAGGTTCGAAACACTCTTTCTGTAGAATCTGCAAGTGGATATTTGGACCACTGGGTGGCCTTCGTTCGAAACGGGTATATGTTCACGTAAAAACTAAAGAGAAGCATTCTCAGAAACTTCTGAGTGATGATTGCATTCAAGTCACACAGTTGAACCCTCCTTTTGATGGAGCAGTTTTGAAACTGTCTTTTTGTAGAATCTGTAAGTGGATACGTGGACCTCTTTGAAGATTTCTTTGGAAACGGGAATATTTCCACAGAAAAACTAAACTGAAGCATTCTCAGAAACCGCTTTGTGATGTTTGTGTTCGAGCCACAGAGTTTAACATTGCTTTTCATAGAGCAGTTTTGAAATATTCTTTTCGCAGAATCTGCAAGTGGACATTTGGAGCGCTTTCAGGCCTGTGGTGGAAAAGGCCTGAAAGCCTTTTCCTTTATCTTCACAGAAAGACGAGAGAGAAGCATTGTCAGAAACTTCTTTGTGATGATTGCATTCAACTCACAGAGTTGAAGATTCCTTTTGAAACAGCAGTTTCGAAACACTCTTTCTGAGGGATCCGCAAGGGGATATTTGGACCTCTTTGAAGGTTTCGTTGGAAGCGGGATAATCTTCACCTAAAAGCTAAACGGAAGCACTCTCAGAAACTTCTTTGGGATGTTTGCATTCACCTCACAGAGTTGAACTTTCCCTTTGATAGCGCAGCTTTGACACACTTTTTCTACAATGTGCAAGTGGCTATTTAGCGGGCTTGGAGGACTGTGTTGGAAAAGGAAATATCTTCTCCTAAAAACGACATAGAAGCATTCTCAGAAACTGCTCTGTGATGATTGCATTCAACTCCCAGAGTTGAACATTCCTTTTGATAGAGCAGTTTGCAAACACTCTTTTTGTAGAATCTGCAAGTGGAGATTTGGACCGCTTTGAGGCCTGGGGTAGTAAAGGAAAGAGCTTCATATAAAAACCAGACGGTAGCACTCTCAGAAAATTCTTTGTGACGATGGAGTTTAACTCAGGGAGCTGAACATTCGTTATGATGGAGCAGTTTCCAAACACACGTTTTGTAGAATCTGCAAGGGGATATTTGGACCTCTCTGAGGATTTCGTTGGAAACGGGATCAACTTCCCATAACTGAACGGAAGCAAACTCAGAACATTCTTTGTGATGTTTGTATTCAACTCACAGAGTTGAACCTTCCTTTGATAGTTCAGGTTTGCAACACCCTTGTAGTAGAATCTGCAAGTGTATATTTTGACCACTTTGTAGCCTTCGTTTGAAACGTCTATATCTTCACATCAAACCTAGACAGAAGCATTCTCAGAAAGTTTTCTGCGATGACTGCATTCAACTCACAGAGTTGAACAATCCTTCTGATGGAGCAGTTTTGAAACCCTCTTTCTTTGGAATCTGCAAGGGGATATGTGGACCTCTTTGAAGATTTCACTGGAAACGGGATCATCTTCACATAAAAACTAAACAGAAGCATTCTCGGAAACTACTTTGTGATGTTTGTATTCAACTCCCAGAGTTGAACTTTCCTTTTGAAAGAGCAGCTATGAAACACTCTTTTTCGAGAATCTGCAAGTGGACGTTTGGAAGGCTTTGAGGCCTGTGGTGGAAAAGGAAATATCTTCACATAAAAACTAGATAGAAGCATTCTCAGAAACGACTTTGGAGGATGGCATTCAACTCATGGAGTTGAACAATCCTATTGATAGAGCAGATTGGAATCACTCTTTTTGTAGAATCTGCAAATGGAGATTTGGACTGCTTTGAGGCCTACGGTCGTATAGGAAGGAACTTCATATAAAAGGCAAACGGAAGCATTCTCAGAATATTCTTTGTGATGATGGAGTTTCACTCACAGAGCTGAACATGCCTTTTCATGGAGCAGTTTCCAAATACACTTTTGGTAGAATCTGCAGGTGGATATTTGGACCTCTCTGAGGATTTCGTTGGAAACGGGAATAATTTCCCATACATAAACACAAACACGCTGAGAAAGTTCTTCATGATGAATGCATTGAACTCGCAGAGATGAACCTGCCTTTGAGAGTTCAGGTTCGAAACACTCTTTCTGTAGAATCTGCAAGTGGATATTTGGACCACTGGCTGGCCTTCGTTCGAAACGGGTATATGTTCACGTAAAAACTAAAGAGAAGCGTTCTCAGAAACTTCTGAGTGATGATTGCATTCAAGTCACACAGTTGAACCCTCCTTTTGATTGAGCAGTTTTGAAACTGTATTTTGTAGAATCTGTAAGTGGATGCGTGGAACTCTTTGAAGATTTCTTTGGAAACGGGAATATTTCCACAGAAAAACTAAACTGAAGCATTCTCAGAAACTGCTTTGTGATGTTTGTGTTCGAGCCACAGAGTTTAACATTGCTTTTCATAGAGCAGTTTTGAAATATTCTTTTGGCAGAATCTGCAAGTGGACATTTGGAGCGCTTTCAGGCCTGTGGTGGAAAAGGCCTGAAAGCCTTTTCCTTTATCTTCACAGAAAGACGAGAGAGAAGCATTGTCAGAAACTTCTTTGTGATGATTGCATTCAACTCACAGAGTTGAAGATTCCTTTTGAAACAGCAGTTTCGAAACACTCTTTCTGTGGGATCCGCAAGGGGATATTTGGACCTCTTTGAAGATTTCGTTGGAAACGGGATAATCTTCACCTAAAAGCTAAACGGAAGCATTCTCAGAAACTTCTTTGGGATGTTTGCATTCACCTCACAGAGTTGAACTTTCCTTTTGATAGCGCAGCTTCGACACCCTTTTTCTACAATGTGCAAGTGGATATTTAGCGGGCTTGGAGGACTGTGTTGGAAAAGGAAATATCTTCTCCTAAAAACGACATAGAAGCATTCTCAGAAACTGCTCTGTGATGATTGCATTCAACTCCCAGAGTTGAACATTCCTTTTGATAGAGCAGTTTGCAAACACTCTTTTTGTAGAATCTGCAAGTGGAGATTTGGACCGCTTTGAGGCCTGTGGTAGTAAAGGAAAGAACTTCATATAAAAACCAGACGGTAGCACTCTCAGAAAATTCTTTGTGACGATGGAGTTTAACTCAGAGAGCTGAACATTCGTTATGATGGAGCAGTTTCCAAACACACGTTTTGTAGAATCTGCAAGGGGATATTTGGACCTCTCTGAGGATTTCGTTGGAAACGGGATCAACTTCCCATAACTGAATGGAAGCAAACTCAGAACATTCTTTGTGATGTTTGTATTCAACTCACAGAGTTGAACCTTCCTTTGATAGTTCAGGTTTGCAACACCCTTGTAGTAGAATCTGCAAGTGTATATTTTGACCACTTTGTAGCCTTCGTTTGAAACGTCTATATCTTCACCTCAAACCTAGACAGAAGCATTCTCAGAAAGTTTTCTGCGATGACTGCATTCAACTCACAGAGTTGAACAATCCTTTTGATGGAGCAGTTTTGAAACCCTCTTTCTTTGGAATCTGCAAGGGGATATGTGGACCTCTTTGAAGATTTCACTGGAAACGGGATCATCTTCACATAAGAACTAAACAGAAGCATTCTCGGAAACTACTTTGTGATGTTTGTATTCAACTCCCAGAGTTGAACTTTCCTTTTGAAAGAGCAGCTATGAAACACTCTTTTTCGAGAATCTGCAAGTGGACGTTTGGAGGGCTTTGAGGCCTGTGGTGGAAAAGGAAATATCTTCACATAAAAACTAGATAGAAGCATTCTCAGAAACGACTTTGTGAGGACGGCATTCAACTCATGGAGTTGAACAATCCTATTGATAGAGCAGATTGGAATCACTCTTTTTGTAGAATCTGCAAATGGAGATTTGGACTGCTTTGAGGCCTACGGTCGTATAGGAAGGAACTTCAGATAAAAGGCAAACGGAAGCATTCTCAGAATATTCTTTGTGATGATGGAGTTTCACTCACAGAGCTGAACATGCCTTTTGATGGAGCAGTTTCCAAATACACTTTTGGTAGAATCTGCAGGTGGATATTTGGAGCTCTCTGAGGATTTCGTTGGAAACGGGAATAATTTCCCATAACTAAACACAAACACTCTGAGAAAGTTCTTCATGATGAATGCATTTAACTCGCAGAGATGAACCTGCCTTTGAGAGTTCAGGTTCGAAACACTCTTTCTGTAGAATCTGCAAGTGGATATTTGGACCACTGGGTGGCCTTCGTTCGAAACGGGTATATGTTCACGTAAAAACTAAAGAGAAGCATTCTCAGAAACTTCTGAGTGATGATTGCATTCAAGTCACACAGTTGAACCCTCCTTTTGATGGAGCAGTTTTGAAACTGTCTTTTTGTAGAATCTGTAAGTGGATACGTGGACCTCTTTGAAGATTTCTTTGGAAACGGGAATATTTCCACAGAAAAACTAAACTGAAGCATTCTCAGAAACTGCTTTGTGATGTTTGTGTTCGAGCGACAGAGTTTAACATTGCTTTTCATAGAGCAGTTTTGAAATATTCTTTTGGCAGAATCTGCAAGTGGACATTTGGAGCGCTTTCAGGCCTGTGGTGGAAAAGGCCTGAAAGCCTTTTCCTTTATCTTCACAGAAAGACGAGAGAGAAGCATTGTCAGAAACTTCTTTGTGATGATTGCATTCAACTCACAGAGTTGAAGATTCCTTTTGAAACAGCAGTTTCGAAACACTCTTTCTGTGGGATCCGCAAGGGGATATTTGGACCTCTTTGAAGGTTTCGTTGGAAACGGGATAATCTTCACCTAAAAGCTAAACGGAAGCATTCTCAGAAACTTCTTTGGGATGTTTGCATTCACCTCACAGAGTTGAACTTTCCCTTTGATAGCGCAGCTTTGACACACTTTTTCTACAATGTGCAAGTGGCTATTTAGCGGGCTTGGAGGACTGTGTTGGAAAAGGAAATATCTTCTCCTAAAAACGACATAGAAGCATTCTCAGAAACTGCTCTGTGATGATTGCATTCAACTCCCAGAGTTGAACATTCCTTTTGATAGAGCAGTTTGCAAACACTCTTTTTGTAGAATCTGCAAGTGGAGATTTGGACCGCTTTGAGGCCTGTGGTAGTGAAGGAAAGAACTTCATATAAAAACCAGACGGTAGCACTCTCAGAAAATTCTTTGTGACGATGGAGTTTAACTCAGGGAGCTGAACATTCGTTACGATGGAGCAGATTCCAAACACACGTTTTGTAGAATCTGCAAGGGGATATTTGGACCTCTCTGAGGATTTCGTTGGAAACGGGATCAACTTCCCATAACTGAACGGAAGCAAACTCAGAACATTCTTTGTGATGTTTGTATTCAACTCACAGAGTTGAACCTTCCTTTGATAGTTCAGGTTTGCAACACCCTTGTAGTACAATCTGCAAGTGTATATTTTGACCACTTTGTAGCCTTCATTTGAAACGTCTATATCTTCACATCAAACCTAGACAGAAGCATTCTCAGAAAGTTTTCTGCGATGACTGCATTCAACTCACAGAGTTGAACAATCCTTCTGATGGAGCAGTTTTGAAACCCTCTTTCTTTGGAATCTGCAAGGGGATATGTGGACCTCTTTGAAGATTTCACTGGAAACGGGATCATCTTCACATAAAAACTAAACAGAAGCATTCTCGGAAACTACTTTGTGATGTTTGTATTCAACTCCCAGAGTTGAACTTTCCTTTTGAAAGAGCAGCTATGAAACACTCTTTTTCGAGAATCTGCAAGTGGACGTTTGGAAGGCTTTGAGGCCTGTGGTGGAAAAGGAAATATCTTCACATAAAAACTAGATAGAAGCATTCTCAGAAACTACTTTGTGAGGATGGCATTCAACTCATGGAGTTGAACAATCCTATTGATAGAGCAGATTGGAATCACTCTTTTTATAGAATCTGCAAATGGAGATTTGGACTGCTTTGAGGCCTACGGTAGTACAGGAAGGAACTTCATATAAAAGGCAAACGGAAGCATTCTCAGAATATTCTTTGTGATGATGGAGTTTCACTCACAGAGCTGAACATGCCTTTTGATGGAGCAGTTTCCAAATACACTTTTGGTAGAATCTGCAGGTGGATATTTGGAGCTCTCTGAGGATTTCGTTGGAAACGGGAATAATTTCCCATAACTAAACACAAAACACTCTGAGAAAGTTCTTCATTTAGAATGCATTGAACTCGCAGAGATGAACCTGCCTTTGAGAGTTCAGGTTCGAAACACTCTTTCTGTAGAATCTGCAAGTGGATATTTGGACCACTGGCTGGCCTTCGTTCGAAACGGGTATATGTTCACGTAAAAACTAAAGAGAAGCATTCTCAGAAACTTCTGAGTGATGATTGCATTCAAGTCACACAGTTGAACCCTCCTTTTGATGGAGCAGTTTTGAAACTGTCTTTTTGTAGAATCTGTAAGTGGATACGTGGACCTCTTTGAAGATTTCTTTGGAAACGGGAATATTTCCACAGAAAAACTAAACTGAAGCATTCTCAGAAACTGCTTTGTGATGTTTGTGTTCGAGCCACAGAGTTTAACATTGCTTTTCATAGAGCAGTTTTGAAATATTCTTTTCACAGAATCTGCAAGTGGACATTTGGAGCGCTTTCAGGCCTGTGGTGGAAAAGGCCTGAAAGCCTTTTCCTTTATCTTCACAGAAAGACGAGAGAGAAGCATTGTCAGAAACTTCTTTGTGATGATTGCATTCAACTCACAGAGTTGAAGATTCCTTTTGAAACAGCAGTTTCGAAACACTCTTTCTGTGGGATCCGCAAGGGGATATTTGGACCTCTTTGAAGGTTTCGTTGGAAACGGGATAATCTTCACCTAAAAGCTAAACGGAAGCATTCTCAGAAACTTCTTTGGGATGTTTGCATTCACCTCACAGAGTTGAACTTTCCCTTTGATAGCGCAGCTTTGACACACTTTTTCTACAATGTGCAAGTGGCTATTTAGCGGGCTTGGAGGACTGTGTTGGAAAAGGAAATATCTTCTCCTAAAAACGACATAGAAGCATTCTCAGAAACTGCTCTGTGATGATTGCATTCAACTCCCAGAGTTGAACATTCCTTTTGATAGAGCAGTTTGCAAACACTCTTTTTGTAGAATCTGCAAGTGGAGATTTGGACCGCTTTGAGGCCTGTGGTAGTGAAGGAAAGAACTTCATATAAAAACCAGACGGTAGCACTCTCAGAAAATTCTTTGTGACGATGGAGTTTAACTCAGGGAGCTGAACATTCGTTATGATGGAGCAGTTTCCAAACACACGTTTTGTAGAATCTGCGAGGGGATATTTGGACCTCTCTGAGGATTTCGTTGGAAACGGGATCAACTTCCCATAACTGAACGGAAGCAAACTCAGAACATTCTTTGTGATGTTTGTATTCAATTCACAGAGTTGAACCTTCCTTTGATAGTTCAGGTTTGCAACACCCTTGTAGTAGAATCTGCAAGTGTATATTTTGACCACTTTGTAGCCTTCGTTTGAAACGTCTATATCTTCACATCAAACCTAGACAGAAGCATTCTCAGAAAGTTTTCTGCGATGACTGCATTCAACTCACAGAGTTGAACAATCCTTCTGATGGAGCAGTTTTGAAACCCTCTTTCTTTGGAATCTGCAAGGGGATATGTGGACCTCTTTGAAGATTTCACTGGAAACGGGATCATCTTCACATAAAAACTAAACAGAAGCATTCTCGGAAACTAGTTTGTGATGTTTGTATTCAACTCCCAGAGTTGAACTTTCCTTTTGAAAGAGCAGCTATGAAACACTCTTTTTCGAGAATCTGCAAGTGGACGTTTGGAGGGCTTTGAGGTCTGTGGTGGAAAAGGAAATATCTTCACACAAAAACCAGATAGAAGCATTCTCAGAAACGACTTTGTGAGGATGGCATTCAACTCATGGAGTTGAACAATCCTATTGATAGAGCAGATTGGAATCACTCTTTTTGTAGAATCTGCAAATGGAGATTTGGACTGCTTTGAGGCCTACGGTAGTACAGGAAGGAACTTCATATAAAAGGCAAACGGAAGCATTCTCAGAATATTCTTTGTGATGATGGAGTTTCACTGACAGAGCTGAACATGCCTTTTGATGGAGCAGTTTCCAAATACACTTTTGGTAGAATCTGCAGGTGGATATTTGGAGCTCTCTGAGGATTTCGTTGGAAACGGGAATAATTTCCCATAACTAAACACAAAACACTCTGAGAAAGTTCTTCATGATGAATGCATTTAACTCGCAGAGATGAACCTGCCTTTGAGAGTTCAGGTTCGAAACACTCTTTCTGTATAATCTGCAAGTGGATATTTGGACCACTGGGTGGCCTTCGTTCGAAACGGGTATATGTTCACGTAAAAACTAAAGAGAAGCATTCTCAGATACTTCTGAGTGATGATTGCATTCAAGTCACACGGTTGAACACTCCTTTTGATGGAGCAGTTTTGAAACTGTCCTTTTGTAGAATCTGTAAGTGGATACGTGGACCTCTTTGAAGATTTCTTTGGAAACGGGAATATTTCCACAGAAAAACTAAACTGAAGCATTCTCAGAAACCGCTTTGTGATGTTTGTGTTCGAGCCACAGAGTTTAACATTGCTTTTCATAGAGCAGTTTTGAAATATTCTTTTGGCAGAATCTGCAAGTGGACATTTGGAGCGCTTTCAGGCCTGTGGTGGCAAAGGCCTGAAAGCCTTTTCCTTTATCTTCACAGAAAGACGAGAGAGAAGCATTGTCAGAAACTTCTTTGTGATGATTGCATTCAACTCACAGAGTTGAAGATTCCTTTTGAAACAGCAGTTTCGAAACACTCTTTCTGTGGGATCCGCAAGGGGATATTTGGACCTCTTTGAAGGTTTCGTTGGAAACGGGATAATCTTCACCTAAAAGCTAAACGGAAGCATTCTCAGAAACTTCTTTGGGATGTTTGCATTCACCTCACAGAGTTGAACTTTCCCTTTGATAGCGCAGCTTTGACACACTTTTTCTACAATGTGCAAGTGGATATTTAGCGGGCTTGGAGGACTGTGTTGGAAAAGGAAATATCTTCTAAAAACGACATAGAAGCATTCTCAGAAACTGCTCTGTGATGATTGCATTCAACTCCCAGAGTTGAACATTCCTTTTGATAGAGCAGTTTGCAAACACTCTTTTTGTAGAATCTGCAAGTGGAGATTTGGACCGCTTTGAGGCCTGTGGTAGTGAAGGAAAGAACTTCATACAAAAACCAGACGGTAGCACTCTCAGAAAATTCTTTGTGACGATGGAGTTTAACTCAGGGAGCTGAACATTCGTTATGATGGAGCAGTTTCCAAACACACGTTTTGTAGAATCTGCAAGGGGATATTTGGACCTCTCTGAGGATTTCGTTGGAAACGGGATCAACTTCCCATAACTGAACGGAAGCAAACTCAGAACATTCTTTGTGATGTTTGTATTCAACTCACAGAGTTGAACCTTCCTTTGATAGTTCAGGTTTGCAACACCCTTGTAGTAGAATCTGCAAGTGTATATTTTGACCACTTTGTAGCCTTCGTTTGAAACGTCTATATCTTCACATCAAACCTAGACAGAAGCATTCTCAGAAAGTTTTCTGCGATGACTGCATTCAACTCACAGAGTTGAACAATCCTTCTGATGGAGCAGTTTTGAAACCCTCTTTCGTTGGAATCTGCAAGGGGATATGTGGACCTCTTTGAAGATTTCACTGGAAACGGGATCATCTTCACATAAAAACTAAACAGAAGCATTCTCGGAAACTACTTTGTGATGTTTGTATTCAACTCCCAGAGTTGAACTTTCCTTTTGAAAGAGCAGCTATGAAACACTCTTTTTCGAGAATCTGCAAGTGGACGTTTGGAGGGCTTTGAGGCCTGTGGTGGAAAAGGAAATATCTTCACATAAAAACTAGATAGAAGCATTCTCAGAAACGACTTTGGAGGATGGCATTCAACTCATGGAGTTGAACAATCCTATTGATAGAGCAGATTGGAATCACTCTTTTTGTAGAATCTGCAAATGGAGATTTGGACTGCTTTGAGGCCTACGGTCGTATAGGAAGGAACTTCAGATAAAAGGCAAACGGAAGCATTCTCAGAATATTCTTTGTGATGATGGAGTTTCACTCACAGAGCTGAACATGCCTTTTGATGGAGCAGTTTCCAAATACACTTTTGGTAGAATCTGCAGGTGGATATTTGGACCTCTCTGAGGATTTCGTTGGAAACGGGAATAATTTCCCATAACTAAACACAAACACTCTGAGAAAGTTCTTCATGATGAATGCATTGAACTCGCAGAGATGAACCTGCCTTTGAGAGTTCAGGTTCGAAACACTCTTTCTGTAGAATCTGCAAGTGGATATTTGGACCACTGGGTGGCCTTCGTTCGAAACGGGTATATGTTCACGTAAAAACTAAAGAGAAGCATTCTCAGAAACTTCTGAGTGATGATTGCATTCAAGTCACACGGTTGAACCCTCCTTTTGATTGAGCAGTTTTGAAACTGTCTTTTTGTAGAATCTGTAAGTGGATACGTGGACCTCTTTGAAGATTTCTTTCGAAACGGGAATATTTCCACAGAAAAACTAAACTGAAGCATTCTCAGAAACCGCTTTGTGATGTTTGTGTTCGAGCCACAGAGTTTAACATTGCTTTTCATAGAGCAGTTTTGAAATATTCTTTTGGCAGAATCTGCAAGTGGACATTTGGAGCGCTTTCAGGCCTGTGGTGGAAAAGGCCTGAAAGCCTTTTCCTTTATCTTCACAGAAAGACGAGAGAGAAGCATTGTCAGAAACTTCTTTGTGATGATTGCATTCAACTCACAGAGTTGAAGATTCCTTTTGAAACAGCAGTTTCGAAACACTCTTTCTGTGGGATCCGCAAGGGGATATTTGGACCTCTTTGAAGGTTTCGTTGGAAACGGGATAATCTTCACCTAAAAGCTAAACGGAAGCATTCTCAGAAACTTCTTTGGGATGTTTGCATTCACCTCACAGAGTTGAACTTTCCCTTTGATAGCGCAGCTTTGACACACTTTTTCTACAATGTGCAAGTGGCTATTTAGCGGGCTTGGAGGACTGTGTTGGAAAAGGAAATATCTTCTCCTAAAAACGACATAGAAGCATTCTCAGAAACTGCTCTGTGATGATTGCATTCAACTCCCAGAGTTGAACATTCCTTTTGATAGAGCAGTTTGCAAACACTCTTTTTGTAGAATCTGCAAGTGGAGATTTGGACCGCTTTGAGGCCTGTGGTAGTGAAGGAAAGAACTTCATATAAAAACCAGACGGTAGCACTCTCAGAAAATTCTTTGTGACGATGGAGTTTAACTCAGGGAGCTGAACATTCGTTATGATGGAGCAGTTTCCAAACACACGTTTTGTAGAATCTGCAAGGGGATATTTGGACCTCTCTGAGGATTTCGTTGGAAACGGGATCAACTTCCCATAACTGAACGGAAGCAAACTCAGAACATTCTTTGTGATGTTTGTATTCAACCCACAGAGTTGAACCTTCCTTTGATAGTTCAGGTTTGCAACACCCTTGTAGTAGAATCTGCAAGTGTATATTTTGACCACTTTGTAGCCTTCGTTTGAAACGTCTATATCTTCACATCAAACCTAGACAGAAGCATTCTCAGAAAGTTTTCTGCGATGACTGCATTCAACTCACAGAGTTGAACAATCCTCTGATGGAGCAGTTTTGAAACCCTCTTTCTTTGGAATCTGCAAGGGGATATGTGGACCTCTTTGAAGATTTCACTGGAAACGGGATCATCTTCACATAAAAACTAAACAGAAGCATTCTCGGAAACTATTTTGTGATGTTTGTATTCAACTCCCAGAGTTGAACTTTCCTTTTGAAAGAGCAGCTATGAAACACTCTTTTTCGAGAATCTGCAAGTGGACGTTTGGAGGGCTTTGAGGCCTGTGGTGGAAAAGGAAATATCTTCACACAAAAACCAGATAGAAGCATTCTCAGAAACTACTTTGTGAGGATGGCATTCAACTCATGGAGTTGAACAATCCTATTGATAGAGCAGATTGGAATCACTCTTTTTATAGAATCTGCAAATGGAGATTTGGACTGCTTTGAGGCCTACGGTAGTACAGGAAGGAACTTCATATAAAAGGCAAACGGAAGCATTCTCAGAATATTCTTTGTGATGATGGAGTTTCACTCACAGAGCTGAACATGCCTTTTGATGGAGCAGTTTCCAAATACACTTTTGGTAGAATCTGCAGGTGGATATTTGGAGCTCTCTGAGGATTTCGTTGGAAACGGGAATAATTTCCCATAACTAAACACAAACACTCTGAGAAAGTTCTTCATGATGAATGCATTTAACTCGCAGAGATGAACCTGCCTTTGAGAGTTCAGGTTCGAAACACTCTTTCTGTATAATCTGCAAGTGGATATTTGGACCACTGGGTGGCCTTCGTTCGAAACGGGTATATGTTCACGTAAAAACTAAAGAGAAGCATTCTCAGAAACTTCTGAGTGATGATTGCATTCAAGTCACACGGTTGAACCCTCCTTTTGATGGAGCAGTTTTGAAACTGTCTTTTTGTAGAATCTGTAAGTGGATACGTGGACCTCTTTGAAGATTTCTTTGGAAACGGGAATATTTCCACAGAAAAACTAAACTGAAGCATTCTCAGAAACCGCTTTGTGATGTTTGTGTTCGAGCCACAGAGTTTAACATTGCTTTTCATAGAGCAGTTTTGAAATATTCTTTTGGCAGAATCTGCAAGTGGACATTTGGAGCGCTTTCAGGCCTGTGGTGGCAAAGGCCTGAAAGCCTTTTCCTTTATCTTCACAGAAAGACGAGAGAGAAGCATTGTCAGAAACTTCTTTGTGATGATTGCATTCAACTCACAGAGTTGAAGATTCCTTTTGAAACAGCAGTTTCGAAACACTCTTTCTGTGGGATCCGCAAGGGGATATTTGGACCTCTTTGAAGGTTTCGTTGGAAACGGGATAATCTTCACCTAAAAGCTAAACGGAAGCATTCTCAGAAACTTCTTTGGGATGTTTGCATTCACCTCACAGAGTTGAACTTTCCCTTTGATAGCGCAGCTTCGACACACTTTTTCTACAATGTGCAAGTGGATATTTAGCGGGCTTGGAGGACTGTGTTGGAAAAGGAAATATCTTCTCCTAAAAACGACATAGAAGCATTCTCAGAAACTGCTCTGTGATGATTGCATTCAACTCCCAGAGTTGAACATTCCTTTTGATAGAGCAGTTTGCAAACACTCTTTTTGTAGAATCTGCAAGTGGAGATTTGGACCGCTTTGAGGACTGAGGTAGTAAAGGAAAGAACTTCATATAAAAACTAGACGGTAGCACTCTCAGAAAATTCTTTGTGACGATGGAGTTTAACTCAGAGAGCTGAACATTCGTTATGATGGAGCAGTTTCCAAACACACGTTTTGTAGAATCTGCAAGGGGATATTTGGACCTCTCTGAGGATTTCGTTGGAAACGGGATCAACTTCCCATAACTGAACGGAAGCAAACTCAGAACATTCTTTGTGATGTTTGTATTCAACTCACAGAGTTGAACCTTCCTTTGATAGTTCAGGTTTGCAACACCCTTGTAGTAGAATCTGCAAGTGTATATTTTGAACACTTTGTAGCCTTCGTTTGAAACGTCTATATCTTCACCTCAAACCTAGACAGAAGCATTCTCAGAAAGTTTTCTGCGATGACTGCATTCAACTCACAGAGTTGAACAATCCTTTTGATGGAGCAGTTTTGAAACCCTCTTTCTTTGGAATCTGCAAGGGGATATGTGGACCTCTTTGAAGATTTCACTGGAAACGGGATCATCTTCACATAAGAACTAAACAGAAGCATTCTCGGAAACTACTTTGTGAAGTTTGTATTCAACTCCCAGAGTTGAACTTTCCTTGTGAAAGAGCAGCTATGAAACACTCTTTTTCAAGAATCTGCAATAGGACGTTTGGAGGGCTTTGAGGCCTGTGGTGGAAAAGGAAATATCTTCACATAAAAACTAGATAGAAGCATTCTCAGAAACGACTTTGTGAGGATGGCATTCAACTCATGGAGTTGAACAATCCTATTGATAGAGCAGATTGGAATCACTCTTTTTGTAGAATCTGCAAATGGAGATTTGGACTGCTTTGAGGCCTACGGTAGTATAGGAAGGAACTTCATATAAAAGGCAAACGGAAGCATTCTCAGAATATTCTTTGTGATGATGGAGTTTCACTGACAGAGCTGAACATGCCTTTTGATGGAGCAGTTTCCAAATACACTTTTGGTAGAATCTGCAGGTGGATATTTGGAGCTCTCTGAGGATTTCGTTGGAAACGGGAATAATTTCCCATAACTAAACACAAACACTCTGAGAAAGTTCTTCATGATGAATGCATTTAACTCGCAGAGATGAACCTGCCTTTGAGAGTTCAGGTTCGAAACACTCTTTCTGTAGAATCTGCAAGTTGATATTTGGACCACTGGCTGGCCTTCGTTCGAAACGGGTATATGTTCACGTAAAAACTAAAGAGAAGCATTCTCAGAAACTTCTGAGTGATGATTGCATTCAAGTCACACAGTTGAACCCTCCTTTTGATGGAGCAGTTTTGAAACTGTCTTTTTGTAGAATCTGTAAGTGGATACGTGGACCTCTTTGAAGATTTCTTTGGAAACGGGAATATTTCCACAGAAAAACTAAACTGAAACATTCTCAGAAACCGCTTTGTGATGTTTGTGTTCCAGCCACAGAGTTTAACATTGCTTTTCATAGAGCAGTTTTGAAATATTCTTTTCGCAGAATCTGCAAGTGGACATTTGGAGCGCTTTCAGGCCTGTGGTGGAAAAGGCCTGAAAGCCTTTTCCTTTATCTTCACAGAAAGACGAGAGAGAAGCATTGTCAGAAACTTCTTTGTGATGATTGCATTCAACTCACAGAGTTGAAGATTCCTTTTGAAACAGCAGTTTCGAAACACTCTTTCTGTGGGATCCGCAAGGGGATATTTGGACCTCTTTGAAGGTTTCGTTGGAAACGGGATAATCTTCACCTAAAAGCTAAACGGAAGCATTCTCAGAAACTTCTTTGGGATGTTTGCATTCACCTCACAGAGTTGAACTTTCCCTTTGATAGCGCAGCTTTGACACACTTTTTCTACAATGTGCAAGTGGCTATTTAGCGGGCTTGGAGGACTGTGTTGGAAAAGGAAATATCTTCTCCTAAAAACGACATAGAAGCATTCTCAGAAACTGCTCTGTGATGATTGCATTCAACTCCCAGAGTTGAACATTCCTTTTGATAGAGCAGTTTGCAAACACTCTTTTTGTAGAATCTGCAAGTGGAGATTAGGACCGCTTTGAGGCCTGTGGTAGTGAAGGAAAGAGCATCATATAAAAACCAGACGGTAGCACTCTCAGAAAATTCTTTGTGACGATGGAGTTTAACTCAGGGAGCTGAACATTCGTTATGATGGAGCAGTTTCCAAACACACGTTTTGTAGAATCTGCAAGGGGATATTTGGACCTCTCTGAGGATTTCGTTGGAAACGGGATCAACTTCCCATAACTGAACGGAAGCAAACTCAGAACATTCTTTGTGATGTTTGTATTCAACTCACAGAGTTGAACCTTCCTTTGATAGTTCAGATTTGCAACACCCTTGTAGTAGAATCTGCAAGTGTATATTTTGACCACTTTGTAGCCTTCGTTTGAAACGTCTATATCTTCACATCAAACCTAGACAGAAGCATTCTCAGAAAGTTTTCTGCGATGACTGCATTCAACTCACAGAGTTGAACAATCCTTTTGATGGAGCAGTTTTGAAACCCTCTTTCTTTGGAATCTGCAAGGGGATATGTGGACCTCTTTGAAGATTTCACTGGAAACGGGATCATCTTCACATAAGAACTAAACAGAAGCATTCTCGGAAACTACTTTGTGATGTTTGTATTCAGCTCCCAGAGTTGAACTTTCCTTTTGAAAGAGCAGCTATGAAACACACTTTTTCGAGAATCTGCAAGTGGACGTTTGGAGGGCTTTGAGGCCTGTGGTGGAAAAGGAAATATCTTCACATAAAAACTAGATAGAAGCATTCTCAGAAACGACTTTGTGAGCATGGCATTCAACTCATGGAGTTGAACAATCCTATTGATAGAGCAGATTGGAATCACTCTTTTTGTAGAATCTGCAAATGGAGATTTGGACTGCTTTGAGGCCTACGGTCGTATAGGAAGGAACTTCATATAAAAGGCAAACGGAAGCATTCTCAGAATATTCTTTGTGATGATGGAGTTTCACTCACAGAGCTGAACATACCTTTTGATGGAGCAGTTTCCAAATACACTTTTGGTAGAATCTGCAGGTGGATATTTGGAGCTCTCTGAGGATTTCGTTGGAAACGGGAATAATTTCCCATAACTAAACACAAACACGCTGAGAAAGTTCTTCATGATGAATGCATTTAACTCGCAGAGATGAACCTGCCTTTGAGAGTTCAGGTTCGAAACACTCTTTCTGTAGAATCTGCAAGTGGATATTTGGACCACTGGCTGGCCTTCGTTCGAAATGGGTATATGTTCACGTAAAAACTAAAGAGAAGCGTTCTCAGAAACTTCTGAGTGATGATTGCTTTCAAGTCACACAGTTGAACCCTCCTTTTGATTGAGCAGTTTTGAAACTGTCTTTTTGTAGAATCTGTAAGTGGATGCGTGGACCTCTTTGAAGATTTCTTTGGAAACGGGAATATTTCCACAGAAAAACTAAACTGAAGCATTCTCAGAAACTGCTTTGTGATGTTTGTGTTCGAGCCGCAGAGTTTAACATTGCTTTTCATAGAGCAGTTTTGAAATATTCTTTTGGCAGAATCTGCAAGTGGACATTTGGAGCGCTTTCAGGCCTGTGATGGAAAAGACCTGAAAGCCTTTTCCTATATCTTCACAGAAAGACGAGAGAGAAGCATTGTCAGAAACTTCTTTGTGATGATTGCATTCAACTCACAGAGTTGAAGATTCCTTTTGAAACAGCAGTTTCGAAACACTCTTTCTGTGGGATCCGCAAGGGGATATTTGGACCTCTTTGAAGGTTTCGTTGGAAACGGGATAATCTTCACCTAAAAGCTAAACGGAAGCATTCTCAGAAACTTCTTTGGGATGTTTGCATTCACCTCACAGAGTTGAACTTTCCCTTTGATAGCGCAGCTTTGACACACTTTTTCTACAATGTGCAAGTGGCTATTTAGCGGGCTTGGAGGACTGTGTTGGAAAAGGAAATATCTTCTCCTAAAAACGACATAGAAGCATTCTCAGAAACTGCTCTGTGTTGATTGCATTCAACTCCCAGAGTTGAACATTCCTTTTGATAGAGCAGTTTGCAAACACTCTTTTTGTAGAATCTGCAAGTGGAGGTTTGGACCGCTTTGAGGCCTGTGGTAGTGAAGGAAAGAACTTCATATAAAAACCAGACGGTAGCACTCTCAGAAAATTCTTTGTGACGATGGAGTTTAACTCAGGGAGCTGAACATTCGTTATGATGGAGCAGTTTCCCAACACACGTTTTGTAGAATCTGCAAGGGGATATTTGGACCTCTCTGAGGATTTTGTTGGAAAAGGGATCAACTTCCCATAACTGAACGGAAGCAAACTCAGAACATTCTTTGTGATGTTTGTATTCAACTCACAGAGTTGAACCTTCCTTTGATAGTTCAGGTTTGCAACACCCTTGTAGTAGAATCTGCAAGTGTATATTTTGACCACTTTGTAGCCTTCGTTTGAAACGTCTATATCTTCACATCAAACCTAGAAAGAAGCATTCTCAGAAAGTTTGCTGTGATGACTGCATTCAACTCACAGAGTTGAACAATCCTTTTGATGGAGCAGTTTTGAAACCATCTTTCTTTGGAATCTGCAAGGGGATATGTGGACCTCTTTGAAGAATTCACTGGAAACGGGATCATCTTCACATAAAAACTAAACAGAAGCATTCTCGGAAACTATTTTGTGATGTTTGTATTCAACTCCCAGAGTTGAACTTTCCTTTTGAAAGAGCAGCTATGAAACACTCTTTTTCGAGAATCTGCAAGTGGACGTTTGGAGGGCTTTGAGGCCTGTGGTGGAAAAGGAAATATCTTCACACAAAAACCAGATAGAAGCATTCTCAGAAACTACTTTGTGAGGATGGCATTCAACTCATGGAGTTGAACAATCCTATTGATAGAGCAGATTGGAATCACTCTTTTTGTAGAATCTGCAAATGGAGATTTGGACTGCTTTGAGGCCTACGGTAGTACAGGAAGGAACTTCATATAAAAGGCAAACGGAAGCATTCTCAGAATATTCTTTGTGATGATGGAGTTTCACTGACAGAGCTGAACATGCCTTTTGATGGAGCAGTTTCCAAATACACTTTTGGTAGAATCTGCAGGTGGATATTTGGAGCTCTCTGAGGATTTCGTTGGAAACGGGAATAATTTCCCATAACTAAACACAAACACTCTGAGAAAGTTCTTCATGATGAATGCATTTAACTCGCAGAGATGAACCTGCCTTTGAGAGTTCAGGTTCGAAACACTCTTTCTGTAGAATCTGCAAGTGGATATTTGGACCACTGGGTGGCGTTCGTTCGAAACGGGTATATGTTCACCTAAAAACTAAAGAGAAGCATTCTCAGAAACTTCTGAGTGATGATTGCATTCAAGTCACACAGTTGAACCTTCCTTTTGATGGAGCAGTTTTGAAACTGTCTTTTTGTAGAATCTGTAAGTGGATACGTGGACCTCTTTGAAGATTTCTTTGGAAACGGGAATATTTCCACAGAAAAACTAAACTGAAGCATTCTCAGAAACCGCTTTGTGATGTTTGTGTTCGAGCCGCAGAGTTTAACATTGCTTTTCATAGAGCAGTTTTGAAATATTCTTTTGGCAGAATCTGCAAGTGGACATTTGGAGCGCTTTCAGGCCTGTGGTGGAAAAGGCCTGAAAGCCTTTTCCTTTATCTTCACAGAAAGACGAGAGAGAAGCATTGTCAGAAACTTCTTTGTGATGATTGCATTCAACTCACAGAGTTGAAGATTCCTTTTGAAACAGCAGTTTCGAAACACTCTTTCTGTGGGATCCGCAAGGGGATATTTGGACCTCTTTGAAGGTTTCGTTGGAAACGGGATAATCTTCACCTAAAAGCTAAATGGAAGCATTCTCAGAAACTTCTTTGGGATGTTTGCATTCACCTCACAGAGTTGAACTTTCCCTTTGATAGCGCAGCTTTGACACACTTTTTCTACAATGTGCAAGTGGCTATTTAGCGGGCTTGGAGGACTGTGTTGGAAAAGGAAATATCTTCTAAAAACGACATAGAAGCATTCTCAGAAACTGCTCTGTGATGATTGCATTCAACTCCCAGAGTTGAACATTCCTTTTGATAGAGCAGTTTGCAAACACTCTTTTTGTAGAATCTGCAAGTGGAGATTTGGACCGCTTTGAGGCCTGTGGTAGTAAAGGAAACAACTTCATATAAAAACCAGACGGTGGCACTCTCAGAAAATTCTTTGTGACGATGGAGTTTAACTCAGAGAGCTGAACATTCGTTATGATGGAGCAGTTTCGAAACACACGTTTTGTAGAATCTGCAAGGGGATATTTGGACCTCTCTGAGGATTTCGTTGGAAACGGGATCAACTTCCCATAACTGAACGGAAGCAAACTCAGAACATTCTTTGTGATGTTTGTATTCAACTCACAGAGTTGAACCTTCCTTTGATAGTTCAGGTTTGCATCACCCTTGTAGTAGAATCTGCAAGTGTATATTTTGACCACTTTGTAGCCTTCGTTTGAAACGTCTATATGCTTCACATCAAACCTAGACAGAAGCATTCTCAGAAAGTTTTCTGCGATGACTGCATTCAACTCACAGAGTTGAACAATCCTTTTGATGGAGCAGTTTTGAAACCCTCTTTCTTTGGAATCTGCAAGGGGATATGTGGACCTCTTTGAAGATTTCACTGGAAAGGGGATCATCTTCACATAAGAACTAAACAGAAGCATTCTCGGAAACTACTTTGTGATGTTTGTATTCAACTCCCAGAGTTGAACTTTCCTTTTGAAAGAGCAGCTATGAAACACTCTTTTTCGAGAATCTGCAAGTGGACGTTTGGAGGGCTTTGAGGCCTGTGGTGGAAAAGGAAATATCTTCACATAAAAACTAGATAGAAGCATTCTCAGAAACGACTTTGTGAGGATGGCATTCAACTCATGGAGTTGAACAGTCCTATTGATAGAGCAGATTGGAATCACTCTTTTTGTAGAATCTGCAAATGGAGATTTGGACTGCTTTGAGGCCTACGGTAGTATAGGAAGGAACTTCATATAAAAGGCAAACGGAGGCATTCTCAGAATATTCTTTGTGATGATGGAGTTTCACACACAGAGTTGAACATGCCTTTTGATGGAGCAGTTTCCAAATACACTTTTGGTAGAATCTGCAGGTGAATATTTGAACCTCTCTGAGGATTTCGTTGGAAACGGGAATAATTTCCCATAACTAAACACAAACACGCTGAGAAAGTTCTTCATGATGAATGCATTTAACTCGCAGAGATGAACCTGCCTTTGAGATTTCAGGTTCGAAACACTCTTTCTGTAGAATCTGCAAGTGGATATTTGGACCACTGGGTGGCCTTCGTTCGAAACGGGTATATGTTCACGTAAAAACTAAAGAGAAGCATTCTCAGAAACTTCTGAGTGATGATTGCATTCAAGTCACACAGTTGAACCCTCGTTTTGATTGAGCAGTTTTGAAACTGTGTTTTTGTAGAATCTGTAAGTGGATGCGTGGACCTCTTTGAAGATTTCTTTGGAAACGGGAATATTTCCACAGAAAAACTAAACTGAAGCATTCTCAGAAACTGCTTTGTGATGTTTGTGTTCGAGCCGCAGAGTTTAACATTGCTTTTCATAGAGCAGTTTTGAAATATTCTTTTGGCAGAATCTGCAAGTGGACATTTGGAGCGCTTTCAGGCCTGTGGTGGAAAAGGCCTGAAAGCCTTTTCCTTTATCTTCACAGAAAGACGAGAGAGAAGCATTGTCAGAAACTTCTTTGTGATGATTGCATTCAACTCACAGAGTTGAAGATTCCTTTTGAAACAGCAGTTTCGAAACACTCTTTCTGTGGGAACCGCAAGGGGATATTTGGATCTATTTGAAGGTTTCGTTGGAAACTGGATAATCTTCACCTAAAAGCTAAACGGAAGCATTCTCAGAAACTTCTTTGGGATGTTTGCATTCACCTCACAGAGTTGAACTTTCCCTTTGATAGCGCAGCTTCGACACACTTTTTCTACAATGTGCAAGTGGATATTTAGCGGGCTTGGAGGACTGTGTTGGAAAAGGAAATATCTTCTCCTAAAAACGACATAGAAGCATTCTCAGAAACTGCTCTGTGATGATTGCATTCAACTCCCAGAGTTGAACATTCCTTTTGATAGAGCACTTTGCAAACACTCTTTTTGTAGAATCTGCAAGTGGAGATTTGGACCGCTTTGAGGCCTGTGGTAGTAAAGGAAAGAACTTCATATAAAAACTAGACGGTAGCACTCTCAGAAAATTCTTTGTGACGATGGAGTTTAACTCAGGGAGCTGAACATTCGTTATGATGGAGCAGTTTCCAAACACACGTTTTGTAGAATCTGCAAGGGGATATTTGGACCTCTCTGAGGATTTCGTTGGAAACGGGATCAACTTCCCATAACTGAACGGAAGCAAACTCAGAACATTCTTTGTGATGTTTGTATTCAATTCACAGAGTTGAACCTTCCTTTGATAGTTCAGGTTTGCAACACCCTTGTAGTAGAATCTGCAAGTGTATATTTTGACCACTTTGTAGCCTTCGTTTGAAACGTCTATATCTTCACATCAAACCTAGACAGAAGCATTCTCAGAAAGTTTTCTGCGATGACTGCATTCAACTCACAGAGTTGAACAATCCTTTTGATGGAGCAGTTTTGAAACCCTCTTTCTTTGGAATCTGCAAGGGGATATGTGGACCTCTTTGAAGATTTCACTGGAAACGGGATCATCTTCACATAAGAACTAAACAGAAGCATTCTCGGAAACTACTTTGTGATGTTTGTATTCAGCTCCCAGAGTTGAACTTTCCTTTTGAAAGAGCAGCTATGAAACACTCTTTTTCGAGAATCTGCAAGTGGACGTTTGGAGGGCTTTGAGGCCTGTGGTGGAAAAGGAAATATCTTCACATAAAAACTAGATAGAAACATTCTCAGAAACTACTTTGTGAGGATGGCATTCAACTCATGGAGTTGAACAGTCCTATTGATAGAGCAGATTGGAATCACTCTTTTTGTAGAATCTGCAAATGGAGATTTGGACTGCTTTGAGGCCTACGGTAGTATAGGAAGGAACTTCATATAAAAGGCAAATGGAAGCATTCTCAGAATATTCTTTGTGATGATGGAGTTTCACTCACAGAGCTGAACATTCCTTTTGATGGAGCAGTTTCCAAATACACTTTTGGTAGAATCTGCAGGTGGATATTTGGACCTCTCTGAGGATTTCGTTGGAAACGGGAATAATTTCCAATAACTAAACACAAACACGCTGAGAAAGTTCTTCATGATGAATGCATTTAACTCGCAGAGATGAACCTGCCTTTGAGAGTTCAGGTTCGAAACACTCTTTCTGTAGAATCTGCAAGTGGATATTTGGACCACTGGGTGGCCTTCGTTCGAAACGGGTATATGTTCACGTAAAAACTAAAGAGAAGCGTTCTCAGAAACTTCTGAGTGATGATTGCATTCAAGTCACACAGTTGAACCCTCGTTTTGATTGAGCAGTTTTGAAACTGTCTTTTTGTAGAATCTGTAAGTGGATGCGTGGACCTCTTTGAAGATTTCTTTGGAAACGGGAATATTTCCACAGAAAAACTAAACTGAAGCATTCTCAGAAACTGCTTTGTGATGTTTGTGTTCGAGCCACAGAGTTTAACATTGCTTTTCATAGAGCAGTTTTGAAATATTCTTTTGGCAGAATCTGCAAGTGGACATTTGGAGCGCTTTCAGGCCTGTGGTGGAAAAGGCCTGAAAGCCTTTTCCTTTATCTTCACAGAAAGACGAGAGAGAAGCATTGTCAGAAACTTCTTTGTGATGATTGCATTCAACTCACAGAGTTGAAGATTCCTTTTGAAACAGCAGTTTCGAAACACTCTTTCTGTGGGATCCGCAAGGGGATATTTGGACCTCTTTGAAGGTTTCGTTGGAAACGGGATAATCTTCACCTAAAAGCTAAACGGAAGCATTCTCAGAAACTTCTTTGGGATGTTTGCATTCACCTCACAGAGTTGAACTTTCCCTTTGATAGCGCAGCTTTGACACACTTTTTCTACAATGTGCAAGTGGCTATTTAGCGGGCTTGGAGGACTGTGTTGGAAAACGAAATATCTTCTCCTAAAAACGACATAGAAGCATTCTCAGAAACTGCTCTGTGATGATTGCATTCAACTCCCAGAGTTGAACATTCCTTTTGATAGAGCAGTTTGCAAACACTCTTTTTGTAGAATCTGCAAGTGGAGATTTGGACCGCTTTGAGGCCTGTGGTAGTGAAGGAAAGAACTTCATATAAAAACCAGACGGTAGCACTCTCAGAAAATTCTTTGTGACGATGGAGTTTAACTCAGGGAGCTGAACATTCGTTATGATGGAGCAGTTTCCAAACACACGTTTTGTAGAATCTGCAAGGGGATATTTGGACCTCTCTGAGGATTTCGTTGGAAACGGGATCAACTTCCCATAACTGAACGGAAGCAAACTCAGAACATTCTTTGTGATGTTTGTATTCAACTCACAGAGTTGAACCTTCCTTTGATAGTTCAGGTTTGCAACACCCTTGTAGTAGAATCTGCAAGTGTATATTTTGACCACTTTGTAGCCTTCGTTTGAAACGTCTATATCTTCACATCAAACCTAGACAGAAGCATTCTCAGAAAGTTTTCTGCGATTACTGCATTCAACTCACAGAGTTGAACAATCCTTCTGATGGAGCAGTTTTGAAACCCTCTTTCTTTGGAATCTGCAAGGGGATATGTGGACCTCTTTGAAGATTTCACTGGAAACGGGATCATCTTCACATAAAAACTAAACAGAAGCATTCTCGGAAACTACTTTGTGATGTTTGTATTCAACTGCCAGAGTTGAACTTTCCTTTTGAAAGAGCAGCTATGAAACACTCTTTTTCGAGAATCTGCAAGTGGACGTTTGGAGGGCTTTGAGGCCTGTGGTGGAAAAGGAAATATCTTCACATAAAAACTAGATAGAAGCATTCTCAGAAACGACTTTGTGAGGATGGCATTCAACTCATGGAGTTGAACAATCCTATTGATAGAGCAGATTGGAATCACTCTTTTTGTAGAATCTGCAAATGGAGATTTGGACTGCTTTGAGGCCTACGGTCGTATAGGAAGGAACTTCAGATAAAAGGCAAACGGAAGCATTCTCAGAATATTCTTTGTGATGATGGAGTTTCACTCACAGAGCTGAACATGCCTTTTGATGGAGCAGTTTCCAAATACACTTTTGGTAGAATCTGCAGGTGGATATTTGGAGCTCTCTGAGGATTTCGTTGGAAACGGGAATAATTTCCCATAACTAAACACAAACACTCTGAGAAAGTTCTTCATGATGAATGCATTTAACTCGCAGAGATGAACCTGCCTTTGAGAGTTCAGGTTCGAAACACTCTTTCTGTAGAATCTGCAAGTGGATATTTGGACCACTGGCTGGCCTTCGTTCGAAACGGGTATATGTTCACGTAAAAACTAAAGAGAAGCATTCTCAGAAACTTCTGAGTGATGATTGCATTCAACTCACACAGTTGAACCCTCCTTTTGATGGAGCAGTTTTGAAACTGTCTTTTTGTAGAATCTGTAAGTGGATACGTGGACCTCTTTGAAGATTTCTTTGGAAACGGGAATATTTCCACAGAAAAACTAAACTGAAGCATTCTCAGAAACCGCTTTGTGATGTTTGTGTTCGAGCCACAGAGTTTAACATTGCTTTTCATAGAGCAGTTTTGAAATATTCTTTTGGCAGAATCTGCAAGTGGACATTTGGAGCGCTTTCAGGCCTGTGGGTGGAAAAGGCCTGAAAGCCTTTTCCTTTACCTTCACAGAAAGACGAGAGAGAAGCATTGTCAGAAACTTCTTTGTGATGATTGCATTCAACTCACAGAGTTGAAGATTCCTTTTGAAACAGCAGTTTCGAAACACTCTTTCTGTGGGATCCGCAAGGGGATATTTGGACCTCTTTGAAGGTTTCGTTGGAAACGGGATAATCTTCACCTAAAAGCTAAACGGAAGCATTCTCAGAAACTTCTTTGGGATGTTTGCATTCACCTCACAGAGTTGAACTTTCCCTTTGATAGCGCAGCTTTGACACACTTTTTCTACAATGTGCAAGTGGCTATTTAGCGGGCTTGGAGGACTGTGTTGGAAAAGGAAATATCTTCTCCTAAAAACGACATAGAAGCATTCTCAGAAACTGCTCTGTGATGATTGCATTCAACTCCCAGAGTTGAACATTCCTTTTGATAGAGCAGTTTGCAAACACTCTTTTTGTAGAATCTGCAAGTGGAGATTTGGACCGCTTTGAGGCCTGTGGTAGTGAAGGAAAGAACTTCATATAAAAACCAGACGGTAGCACTCTCAGAAAATTCTTTGTGACGATGGAGTTTAACTCAGGGAGCTGAACATTCGTTATGATGGAGCAGTTTCCAAACACATGTTTTGTAGAATCTGCGAGGGGATATTTGGACCTCTCTGAGGATTTCGTTGGAAACGGGATCAACTTCCCATAACTGAACGGAAGCAAACTCAGAACATTCTTTGTGATGTTTGTATTCAACTCACAGAGTTGAACCTTCCTTTGATAGTTCAGGTTTGCAACACCCTTGTAGTAGAATCTGCAAGTGTATATTTTGACCACTTTGTAGCCTTCGTTTGAAACGTCTATATCTTCACATCAAACCTAGACAGAAGCATTCTCAGAAAGTTTTCTGCGATGACTGCATTCAACTCACAGAGTTGAACAATCCTTCTGATGGAGCAGTTTTGAAACCCTCTTTCTTTGGAATCTGCAAGGGGATATGTGGACCTCTTTGAAGATTTCACTGGAAACGGGATCATCTTCACATAAAAACTAAACAGAAGCATTCTCGGAAACTACTTTGTGATGTTTGTATTCAACTCCCAGAGTTGAACTTTCCTTTTGAAAGAGCAGCTATGAAACACTCTTTTTCGGGAATCTGCAAGTGGACGTTTGGAGGGCTTTGAGGCCTGTGGTGGAAAAGGAAATATCTTCACACAAAAACCAGATAGAAGCATTCTCAGAAACTACTTTGTCAGGATGGCATTCAACTCATGGAGTTGAACAATCCTATTGATAGAGCAGATTGGAATCACTCTTTTTGTAGAATCTGCAAATGGAGATTTGGACTGCTTTGAGGCCTACGGTCGTATAGGAAGGAACTTCATATAAAAGGCAAACGGAAGCATTCTCAGAATATTCTTTGTGATGATGGAGTTTCACTCACAGAGCTGAACATGCCTTTTGATGGAGCAGTTTCCAAATACACTTTTGGTAGAATCTGCAGGTGGATATTTGGAGCTCTCTGAGGATTTCGTTGGAAACGGGAATAATTTCCCATAACTAAACACAAACACTCTGAGAAAGTTCTTCATGATGAATGCATTTAACTCGCAGAGATGAACCTGCCTTTGAGAGTTCAGGTTCGAAACACTCTTTCTGTAGAATCTGCAAGTGGATATTTGGACCACTGGCTGGCCTTCGTTCGAAACGGGTATATGTTCACGTAAAAACTAAAGAGAAGCATTCTCAGAAACTTCTGAGTGATGATTGCATTCAAGTCACACAGTTGAACCCTCCTTTTGATGGAGCAGTTTTGAAACTGTCTTTTTGTAGAATCTGTAAGTGGATACGTGGACCTCTTTGAAGATTTCTTTGGAAACGGGAATATTTCCAAAGAAAAACTAAACTGAAGCATTCTCAGAAACCGCTTTGTGATGTTTGTGTTCGAGCCACAGAGTTTAACATTGCTTTTCATAGAGCAGTTTTGAAATATTCTTTTCGCAGAATCTGCAAGTGGACATTTGGAGCGCTTTCAGGCCTGTGGTGGCAAAGGCCTGAAAGCCTTTTCCTTTATCTTCACAGAAAGACGAGAGAGAAGCATTGTCAGAAACTTCTTTGTGATGATTGCATTCAACTCACAGAGTTGAAGATTCCTTTTGAAACAGCAGTTTCGAAACACTCTGTGGGATCCGCAAGGGGATATTTGGACCTCTTTGAAGGTTTCGTTGGAAACGGGATAATCTTCACCTAAAAGCTAAACGGAAGCACTCTCAGAAACTTCTTTGGGATGTTTGCATTCACCTCTCAGAGTTGAACTTTCCCTTTGATAGCGCAGCTTTGACACACTTTTTCTACAATGTGCAAGTGGATATTTAGCGGGCTTGGAGGACTGTGTTGGAAAAGGAAATATCTTCTCCTATAAACGACATAGAAGCATTCTCAGAAACTGCTCTGTGATGATTGCATTCAACTCCCAGAGTTGAACATTCCTTTTGATAGAGCAGTTTGCAAACACTCTTTTTGTAGAATCTGCAAGTGGAGATTTGGACCGCTTTGAGGCCTGTGGTAGTGAAGGAAAGAGCTTCATATAAAAACCAGACGGTAGCACTCTCAGAAAATTCTTTGTGACGATGGAGTTTAACTCAGGGAGCTGAACATTCGTTATGATGGAGCAGTTTCCAAACACACGTTTTGTAGAATCTGCAAGGGGATATTTGGACCTCTCTGAGGATTTCGTTGGAAACGGGATCAACTTCCCATAACTGAACGGAAGCAAACTCAGAACATTCTTTGTGATGTTTGCATTCGTCTCACAGAGTTGAACCTTCCTTTGATAGTTGAGGTTTGCAACACCCTTGTAGTAGAATCTGCAAGTGTATATTTTGACCACTTTGTAGCCTTCGTTTGAAACGTCTATATCTTCACATCAAACCTAGACAGAAGCATTCTCAGAAAGTTTTCTGCGATGACTGCATTCAACTCACAGAGTTGAACAATCCTTTTGATGGAGCAGTTTTGAAACCCTCTTTCTTTGGAATCTGCAAGGGGATATGTGGACCTCTTTGAAGATTTCACTGGAAACGGGATCATCTTCACATAAGAACTAAACAGAAGCATTCTCGGAAACTACTTTGTGATGTTTGTATTCAACTCCCAGAGTTGAACTTTCCTTTTGAAAGAGCAGCTATGAAACACTCTTTTTCGAGAATCTGCAAGTGGACGTTTGGAGGGCTTTGAGGCCTGTGGTGGAAAAGGAAATATCTTCACATAAAAACTAGATAGAAGCATTCTCAGAAACGACTTTGTGAGGATGGCATTCAACTCATGGAGTTGAACAATCCTATTGATAGAGCAGATTGGAATCACTCTTTTTGTGGAATCTGCAAATGGAGATTTGGACTGCTTTGAGGCCTACGGTCGTATAGGAAGGAACTTCAGATAAAAGGCAAACGGAAGCATTCTCAGAATATTCTTTGTGATGATGGAGTTTCACTCACAGAGCTGAACATGCCTTTTGATGGAGCAGTTTCCAAATACACTTTTGGTAGAATCTGCAGGTGGATATTTGGAGCTCTCTGAGGATTTCGTTGGAAACGGGAATAATTTCCCATAACTAAACACAAACACTCTGAGAAAGTTCTTCATGATGAATGCATTTAACTCGCAGAGATGAACCTGCCTTTGAGAGTTCAGGTTCGAAACACTCTTTCTGTAGAATCTGCAAGTGGATATTTGGACCACTGGGTGGCCTTCGTTCGAAACGGGTATATGTTCACGTAAAAACTAAAGAGAAGCATTCTCAGAAACTTCTGAGTGATGATTGCATTCAAGTCACACAGTTGAACCCTCCTTTTGATGGAGCAGTTTTGAAACTGTCTTTTTGTAGAATCTGTAAGTGGATACGTGGACCTCTTTGAAGATTTCTTTGGAAACGGGAATATTTCCACAGAAAAACTAAACTGAAGCATTCTCAGAAACAGCTTTGTGATGTTTGTGTTCGAGCCACAGAGTTTAACATTGCTTTTCATAGAGCAGTTTTGAAATATTCTTTTCGCAGAATCTGCAAGTGGACATTTGGAGCGCTTTCAGGCCTGTGGTGGAAAAGGCCTGAAAGCCTTTTCCTTTATCTTCACAGAAAGACGAGAGAGAAGCATTGTCAGAAACTTCTTTGTGATGATTGCATTCAACTCACAGAGTTGAAGATTCCTTTTGAAACAGCAGTTTCGAAACACTCTTTCTGTGGGGTCCACAAGGGGATATTTGGACCTCTTTGAAGGTTTCGTTGGAAACGGGATAATCTTCACCTAAAAGCTAAACGGAAGCATTCTCAGAAACTTCTTTGGGATGTTTGCATTCACCTCACAGAGTTGAACTTTCCCTTTGATAGCGCAGCTTTGACACACTTTTTCTACAATGTGCAAGTGGCTATTTAGCGGGCTTGGAGGACTGTGTTGGAAAAGGAAATATCTTCTCCTAAAAACGACATAGAAGCATTCTCAGAAACTGCTCTGTGATGATTGCATTCAACTCCCAGAGTTGAACATTCCTTTTTATAGAGCAGTTTGCAAACACTCTTTTTGTAGAATCTGCAAGTGGAGATTTGGACCGCTTTGAGGCCAGTGGTAGTGAAGGAAAGAACTTCATATAAAAACCAGACGGTAGCACTCTCAGAAAATTCTTTGTGACGATGGAGTTTAACTCAGGGAGCTGAACATTCGTTATGATGGAGCAGTTTCCAAACACACGTTTTGTAGAATCTGCAAGGGGATATTTGGACCTCTCTGAGGATTTCGTTGGAAACGGGATCAACTTCCCATAACTGAACGGAAGCAAACTCAGAACATTCTTTGTGATGTTTGTATTCAACTCACAGAGTTGAACCTTCCTTTGATAGTTCAGGTTTGCAACACCCTTGTAGTAGAATCTGCAAGTGTATATTTTGACCACTTTGTAGCCTTCATTTGAAACGTCTATATCTTCACATCAAACCTAGACAGAAGCATTCTCAGAAAAGTTTTCTGCGATGACTGCATTCAACTCACAGAGTTGAACAATCCTTTTGATGGAGCAGTTTTGAAACCCTCTTTCTTTGGAATCTGCAAGGGGATATGTGGACCTCTTTGAAGATTTCACTGGAAACGGGATCATCTTCACATAAGAACTAAACAGAAGCATTCTCGGAAACTACTTTGTGATGTTTGTATTCAGCTCCCAGAGTTGAACTTCCCTTTTGAAAGAGCAGCTATGAAGCACTCTTTTTCGAGAATCTGCAAGTGGACGTTTGGAGGGCTTTGAGGCCTGTGGTGGAAAAGGAAATATCTTCACATAAAAACTAGATAGAAGCATTCTCAGAAACTACTTTGTGAGGATGGCATTCAACTCATGGAGTTGAACAGTCCTATTGATAGAGCAGATTGGAATCACTCTTTTTGTAGAATCTGCAAATGGAGATTTGGACTGCTTTGAGGCCTACGGTAGTATAGGAAGGAACTTCATATAAAAGGCAAACGGAAGCATTCTCAGAATATTCTTTGTGATGATGGAGTTTCACCCACAGAGCTGAACATGCCTTTTGATGGAGCAGTTTCCAAATACACTTTTGGTAGAATCTGCAGGTGGATATTTGGAGCTCTCTGAGGATTTCGTTGGAAACGGGAATAATTTCCCATAACTAAACACAAACACGCTGAGAAAGTTCTTCATGATGAATGCATTGAACTCGCAGAGATGAACCTGCCTTTGAGAGTTCAGGTTCGAAACACTCTTTCTGTAGAATCTGCAAGTGGATATTTGGACCACTGGGTGGCCTTCGTTCGAAACGGCTATATGTTCACGTAAAAACTAAACAGAAGCATTCTCAGAAACTTCTGAGTGATGATTGCATTCAAGTCACACAGTTGAACCCTCCTTTTGATGGAGCAGTTTTGAAACTGTCTTTTTGTAGAATCTGTAAGTGGATACGTGGACCTCTTTGAAGATTTCTTTGGAAACGGGAATATTTCCACAGAAAAACTAAACTGAAGCATTCTCAGAAACCGCTTTGTGATGTTTGTGTTCGAGCCACAGAGTTTAACATTGCTTTTCATAGAGCAGTTTTGAAATATTCTTTTGGCAGAATCTGCAAGTGGACATTTGGAGCGCTTTCAGGCCTGTGGTGGAAAAGGCCTGAAAGCCTTTTCCTTTATCTTCACAGAAAGACGAGAGAGAAGCATTGTCAGAAACTTCTTTGTGATGATTGCATTCAACTCACAGAGTTGAAGATTCCTTTTGAAACAGCAGTTTCGAAACACTCTTTCTGTGGGATCCGCAAGGGGATATTTGGACCTCTTTGAAGGTTTCGTTGGAAACGGGATAATCTTCACCTAAAAGCTAAACGGAAGCATTCTCAGAAACTTCTTTGGGATGTTTGCATTCACCTCACAGAGTTGAACTTTCCCTTTGATAGCGCAGCTTTGACACACTTTTTCTACAATGTGCAAGTGGCTATTTAGCGGGCTTGGAGGACTGTGTTGGAAAAGGAAATATCTTCTCCTAAAAACGACATAGAAGCATTCTCAGAAACTGCTCTGTGATGATTGCATTCAACTCCCAGAGTTGAACATTCCTTTTGATAGAGCAGTTTGCAAACACTCTTTTTGTAGAATCTGCAAGTGGAGATTTGGACCGCTTTGAGGTCTGTGGTAGTGAAGGAAAGAACTTCATATAAAAACCAGACGGCAGCACTCTCAGAAAATTCTTTGTGACAATGGAGTTTAACTCAGGGAGCTGAACATTCGTTATGATGGAGCAGTTTCCAAACACACGTTTTGTAGAATCTGCAAGGGGATATTTGGACCTCTCTGAGGATTTCGTTGGAAACGGGATCAACTTCCCATAACTGAACGGAAGCAAACTCAGAACATTCTTTGTGATGTTTGTATTCAACTCACAGAGTTGAACCTTCCTTTGATAGTTCAGGTTTGCAACACCCTTGTAGTAGAATCTGCAAGTGTATATTTTGACCACTTTGTAGCCTTCGTTTGAAACGTCTATATCTTCACATCAAACCTAGACAGAAGCATTCTCAGAAAGTTTTCTGCGATGACTGCATTCAACTCACAGAGTTGAACAATCCTTCTGATGGAGCAGTTTTGAAACCCTCTTTCTTTGGAATCTGCAAGGGGATATGTGGACCTCTTTGAAGATTTCACTGGAAACGGCATCATCTTCACATAAAAACTAAACAGAAGCATTCTCGGAAACTACTTTGTGATGTTTGTATTCAACTCCCAGAGTTGAACTTTCCTTTTGAAAGAGCAGCTATGAAACACTCTTTTTCGAGAATCTGCAAGTGGACGTTTGGAGGGCTTTGAGGCCTGTGGTGGAAAAGGAAATATCTTCACATAAAAACTATATAGAAGCATTCTCAGAAACGACTTTGTGAGGATGGCATTCAACTCATGGAGTTGAACAATCCTATTGATAGAGCAGATTGGAATCACTCTTTTTGTAGAATCTGCAAATGGAGATTTGGACTGCTTTGAGGCCTACGGTCGTATAGGAAGGAACTTCATATAAAAGGCAAACGGAAGCATTCTCAGAATATTCTTTGTGATGATGGAGTTTCACTCACAGAGCTGAACATGCCTTTTGATGGAGCAGTTTCCAAATACACTTTTGGTAGAATCTGCAGGTGGATATTTGGACCTCTCTGAGGATTTCGTTGGAAACGGCAATAATTTCCCATACCTAAACACAAACACTCTGAGAAAGTTCTTCATGATGAATGCATTGAACTCGCAGAGATGAACCTGCCTTTGAGAGTTCAGGTTCGAAACACTCTTTCTGTAGAATCTGCAAGTGGATATTTGGACCACTGGCTGGCCTTCGTTCGAAACGGGTATATGTTCACGTAAAAACTAAAGAGAAGCATTCTCAGAAACTTCTGAGTGATGATTGCATTCAAGTCACACGGTTGAACCCTCCTTTTGATTGAGCAGTTTTGAAACTGTCTTTTTGTAGAATCTGTAAGTGGATACGTGGACCTCTTTGAAGATTTCTTTGGAAATGGGAATATTTCCACAGAAAAACTAAACTGAAGCATTCTCAGAAACTGCTTTGTGATGTTTGTGTTCGAGCCGCAGAGTTTAACATTGCTTTTCATAGAGCAGTTTTGAAATATTCTTTTGGCAGAATCTGCAAGTGGACATTTGGAGCGCTTTCAGGCCTGTGGTGGAAAAGGCCTGAAAGCCTTTTCCTTTATCTTCACAGAAAGACGAGAGAGAAGCATTGTCAGAAACTTCTTTGTGATGATTGCATTCAACCCACAGAGTTGAAGATTCCTTTTGAAACAGCAGTTTCGAAACACTCTTTCTGTGGGATCCGCAAGGGGATATTTGGACCTCTTTGAAGATTTCGTTGGAAACGGGATAATCTTCACCTAAAAGCTAAACGGAAGCATTCTCAGAAACTTCTTTGGGATGTTTGCATTCACCTCACAGAGTTGAACTTTCCCTTTGATAGCGCAGCTTCGACACACTTTTTCTCCAATGTGCAAGTGGATATTTAGCGGGCTTGGAGGACTGTGTTGGAAAAGGAAATATCTTCTCCTAAAAACGACATAGAAGTATTCTCAGAAACTGCTCTGTGATGATTGCATTCAACTCCCAGAGTTGAACATTCCTTTTGATAGAGCAGTTTGCAAACACTCTTTTTGTAGAATCTGCAAGTGGAGATTTGGACCGCTTTGAGGCCTGTGGTAGTAAAGGAAAGAACTTCATATAAAAACCAGACGGTTAGCACTCTCAGAAAATTCTTTGTGACGATGGAGTTTAACTCAGGGAGCTGAACATTCGTTATGATGGAGCAGTTTCCAAACACACGTTTTGTAGAATCTGCAAGGGGATATTTGGACCTCTCTGAGGATTTCGTTGGAAACGGGATCAACTTCCCATAACTGAACGGAAGCAAACTCAGAACATTCTTTGTGATGTTTGCATTCATCTCACAGAGTTGAACCTTCCTTTGATAGTTGAGGTTTGCAACACCCTTGTAGTAGAATCTGCAAGTGTATATTTTGACCACTTTGTAGCCTTCGTTTGAAACGTCTATATCTTCACATCAAACCTAGACAGAAGCATTCTCAGAAAGTTTTCTGCGATGACTGCATTCAACTCACAGAGTTGAACAATCCTTTTGATGGAGCAGTTTTGAAACCCTCTTTCTTTGGAATCTGCAAGGGGATATGTGGACCTCTTTGAAGATTTCACTGGAAACGGGATCATCTTCACATAAGAACTAAACAGAAGCATTCTCGGAAACTACTTTGTGATGTTTGTATTCAACTCCCAGAGTTGAACTTTCCTTTTGAAAGAGCAGCTATGAAACCCTCTTTTTCGAGAATCTGCAAGTGGACGTTTGGAGGGCTTTGAGGCCTGTGGTGGAAAAGGAAATATCTTCACATAGAAACTAGATAGAAGCATTCTCAGAAACTACTTTGTGAGGATGGCATTCAACTCATGGAGTTGAACAATCCTATTGATAGAGCAGATTGGAATCACTCTTTTTGTAGAATCTGCAAATGGAGATTTGGACTGCTTTGAGGCCTACGGTAGTATAGGAAGGAACTTCATATAAAAGGCAAACGGAAGCATTCTCAGAATATTCTTTGTGATGATGGAGTTTCACTCACAGAGCTGAACATGCCTTTTGATGGAGCAGTTTCCAAATACACTTTTGGTAGAATCTGCAGGTGGATATTTGGAGCTCTCTGAGGATTTCGTTGGAAACGGGAATAATTTCCCATAACTAAACACAAACACTCTGAGAAAGTTCTTCATGATGAATGCATTTAACTCGCAGAGATGAACCTGCCTTTGAGAGTTCAGGTTCGAAACATTCTTTCTGTAGAATCTGCAAGTGGATATTTGGACCACTGGCTGGCCTTGGTTCGAAAAGGTTATATGTTCACGTAAAAACTAAAGAGAAGCATTCTCAGAAACTTCTGAGTGATGATTGCATTCAAGTCACACAGTTGAACCCTCCTTTTGATGGAGCAGTTTTGAAACTGTCTTTTTGTAGAATCTGTAAGTGGATACGTGGACCTCTTTGAAGATTTCTTTGGAAACGGGAATATTTCCACAGAAAAACTAAACTGAAGCATTCTCAGAAACTGCTTTGTGATGTTTGCGTTCGAGCCACAGAGTTTAACATTGCTTTTCATAGAGCAGTTTTGAAATATTCTTTTCGCAGAATCTGCAAGTGGACATTTGGAGCGCTTTCAGGCCTGTGGTGGAAAAGGCCTGAAAGCCTTTTCCTTTATCTTCACAGAAAGACGAGAGAGAAGCATTGTCAGAAACTTCTTTGTGATGATTGCATTCAACTCACAGAGTTGAAGATTCCTTTTGAAACAGCAGTTTCGAAACACTCTTTCTGTGGGATCCGCAAGGGGATATTTGGACCTCTTTGAAGGTTTCGTTGGAAACGGGATAATCTTCACCTAAAAGCTAAACGGAAGCATTCTCAGAAACTTCTTTGGGATGTTTGCATTCACCTCACAGAGTTGAACTTTCCCTTTGATAGCGCAGCTTTGACACACTTTTTCTACAATGTGCAAGTGGCTATTTAGCGGGCTTGGAGGACTGTGTTGGAAAAGGAAATATACTTCTCCTAAAAACGACATAGAAGCATTCTCAGAAACTGCTCTGTGATGATTGCATTCAACTCCCAGAGTTGAACATTCCTTTTGATAGAGCAGTTTGCAAACACTCTTTTTGTAGAATCTGCAAGTGGAGATTTGGACCGCTTTGAGGCCTGTGGTAGTGAAGGAAAGAACTTCATATAAAAACCAGACGGTAGCACTCTCAGAAAATTCTTTGTGACGATGGAGTTTAACTCAGGGAGCTGAACATTCGTTATGATGGAGCAGTTTCCAAACACACGTTTTGTAGAATCTGCAAGGGGATATTTGGACCTCTCTGAGGATTTCGTTGGAAACGGGATCAACTTCCCATAACTGAACGGAAGCAAACTCAGAACATTCTTTGTGATGTTTGTATTCAACTCACAGAGTTGAACCTTCCTTTGATAGTTCAGGTTTGCAACACCCTTGTAGTAGAATCTGCAAGTGTATATTTTGACCACTTTGTAGCCTTCGTTTGAAACATCTATATCTTCACATCAAACCTAGACAGAAGCATTCTCAGAAAGTTTTCTGCGATGACTGCATTCAACTCACAGAGTTGAACAATCCTTCTGATGGAGCAGTTTTGAAACCCTCTTTCTTTGGAATCTGCAAGGGGATATGTGGACCTCTTTGAAGATTTCACTGGAAACGGGATCATCTTCACATAAAAACTAAACTGAAGCATTCTCGGAAACTACTTTGTGATGTTTGTATTCAACTCCCAGAGTTGAACTTTCCTTTTGAAAGAGCAGCTATGAAACACTCTTTTTCGAGAATCTGCAAGTGGACGTTTGGAGGGCTTTGAGGCCTGTGGTGGAAAAGGAAATATCTTCACACAAAAACCAGATAGAAGCATTCTCAGAAACTACTTTGTGAGGATGGCATTCAACTCATGGAGTTGAACAATCCTATTGATAGAGCAGATTGGAATCACTCTTTTTGTAGAATCTGCAAATGGAGATTTGGACTGCTTTGAGGCCTACGGTAGTACAGGAAGGAACTTCATATAAAAGGCAAACGGAAGCATTCTCAGAATATTCTTTGTGATGATGGAGTTTCACTCACAGAGCTGAACATGCCTTTTGATGGAGCAGTTTCCAAATACACTTTTGGTAGAATCTGCAGGTGGATATTTGGAGCTCTCTGAGGATTTCGTTGGAAACGGGAATAATTTCCCATAACTAAACACAAACACGCTGAGAAAGTTCTTCATGATGAATGCATTTAACTCGCAGAGATGAACCTGCCTTTGAGAGTTCAGGTTCGAAACACTCTTTCTGTGGAATCTGCAAGTGGATATTTGGACCACTGGCTGGCCTTCATTCCAAACGGGTATATGTTCACGTAAAAACTAAAGAGAAGCGTTCTCAGAAACTTCTGAGTGATGATTGCATTCAAGTCACACAGTTGAACCCTCCTTTTGATTGAGCAGTTTTGAAACTGTCTTTTTGTAGAATCTGTAAGTGGATGCGTGGACCTCTTTGAAGATTTCTTTGGAAACGGGAATATTTCCACAGAAAAACTAAACTGAAGCATTCTCAGAAACTGCTTTGTGATGTTTGTGTTCGAGCCACAGAGTTTAACATTGCTTTTCATAGAGCAGTTTTGAAATATTCTTTTGGCAGAATCTGCAAGTGGACATTTGGAGCGCTTTCAGGCCTGTGGTGGAAAAGGCCTGAAAGCCTTTTCCTTTATCTTCACAGAAAGACGAGAGAGAAGCATTGTCAGAAACTTCTTTGTGATGATTGCATTCAACTCACAGAGTTGAAGATTCCTTTTGAAACAGCAGTTTCGAAACACTCTTTCTGGGGGATCCGCAAGGGGATATTTGGACCTCTTTGAAGATTTCGTTGGAAACGGGATAATCTTCACCTAAAAGCTAAACGGAAGCATTCTCAGAAACTTCTTTGGGATGTTCGCATTCACCTCACAGAGTTGAACTTTCCCTTTGATAGCGCAGCTTCGACACACTTTTTCTAAAATGTGCAAGTGGATATTTAGCGGGCTTGCAGGACTGTGTTGGAAAAGGAAATATCTTCTCCTAAAAACCACATAGAAGCATTCTCAGAAACTGCTCTGTGATGATTGCATTCAACTCCCAGAGTTGAACATTCCTTTTGATAGAGCAGTTTGCAAACACTCTTTTTGTAGAATCTGCAAGTGGAGATTTGGACCGCTTTGAGGCCTGTGGTAGTAAAGGAAAGAACTTCATATAAAAACTAGACGGTAGCACTCTCAGAAAATTCTTTGTGACGATGGAGTTTAACTCAGAGAGCTGAACATTCGTTATGATGGAGCAGTTTCCAAACACACGTTTTGTAGAATCTGCAAGGGGATATTTGGACCTCTCTGAGGATTTCGTTGGAAACGGTATCAATTTCCCATAACTAAACGGAAGCAAACTCAGAACATTTTTTGTGATGGTTGCATTCATCTCACAGAGTTGAACCTTCCTTTGATAGTTGAGGTTTGCATCACCCTTGTAGTAGAATCTGCAAGTGTATATTTTGACCACTTTGTAGCCTTCGTTTGAAACGTCTATATCTTCACATCAAACCTAGACAGAAGCATTCTCAGAAAGTTTTCTGCGATGACTGCATTCAACTCACAGAGTTGAACAATCCTTTTGATGGAGCAGTTTTGAAACCCTCTTTCTTTGGAATCTGCAAGGGGATATGTGGACCTCTTTGAAGATTTCACTGGAAACGGGATCATCTTCACATAAGAACTAAACAGAAGCATTCTCGGAAACTAATTTGTGATGTTTGTATTCACCTCCCAGAGTTGAACTTTCCTTTTGAAAGAGCAGCTATGAAACACTCTTTTTCGAGAATCTGCAAGTGGACGTTTGGAGGGCTTTGAGGCCTGTGGTGGAAAAGGAAATATCTTCACATAAAAACTAGATAGAAGCATTCTCAGAAACGACTTTGTGAGGATGGCATTCAACTCATGGAGTTGAACAGTCCTATTGATAGAGGAGATTGGAATCACTCTTTTTGTAGAATCTGCAAATGGAGATTTGGACTGCTTTGAGGCCTACGGTAGTATAGGAAGGAACTTCATATAAAAGGCAAACGGAAGCATTCTCAGAATATTTTGTGTGATGATGGAGTTTCACTCACAGAGCTGAACGTGCCTTTTGATGGAGCAGTTTCCAAATACACTTTTGGTAGAATCTGCAGGTGGATATTTGGAGCTCTCTGAGGATTTCGTTGGAAACGGGAATAATTTCCCATAACTAAACACAAACACTCTGAGAAAGTTCTTCATGATGAATGCATTTAACTCGCAGAGATGAACCTGCCTTTGAGAGTTCAGGTTCGAAACACTCTTTCTGTATAATCTGCAAGTGGATATTTGGACCACTGGGTGGCCTTCGTTCGAAACGGGTATATGTTCACGTAAAAACTAAAGAGAAGCATTCTCAGAAACTTCTGAGTGATGATTACATTCAAGTCACACAGTTGAACCCTCCTTTTGATTGAGCAGTTTTGAAACTGTCTTTTTGTAAAATCTGTAAGTGGATACGTGGACCTCTTTGAATATTTCTTTGGAAACGGGAATATTTCCACAGAAAAACTAAACTGAAGCATTCTCAGAAACTGCTTTGTGATGTTTGTGTTCGAGCCACAGAGTTTAACATTGCTTTTCATAGAGCAGTTTTGAAATATTCTTTTGGCAGAATCTGCAAGTGGACATTTGGAGCGCTTTCAGGCCTGTGGTGGAAAAGGCCTGAAAGCCTTTTCCTTTATCTTCACAGAAAGACGAGAGAGAAGCATTGTCAGAAACTTCTTTGTGATGATTGCATTCAACTCACAGAGTTGAAGATTCCTTTTGAAACAGCAGTTTCGAAACACTCTTTCTGTGGGATCCGCAAGGGGATATTTGGACCTCTTTGAAGGTTTCGTTGGAAACGGGATAATCTTCACCTAAAAGCTAAACGGAAGCATTCTCAGAAACTTCTTTGGGATGTTTGCATTCACCTCACAGAGTTGAACTTTCCCTTTGATAGCGCAGCTTTGACACACTTTTTCTACAATGTGCAAGTGGCTATTTAGCGGGCTTGGAGGACTGTGTTGGAAAAGGAAATATCTTCTCCTAAAAACGACATAGAAGCATTCTCAGAAACTGCTCTGTGATGATTGCATTCAACTCCCAGAGTTGAACATTCCTTTTGATAGAGCAGTTTGCAAACACTCTTTTTGTAGAATCTGCAAGTGGAGATTTGGACCGCTTTGAGGCCTGTGGTAGTGAAGGAAAGAACTTCATATAAAAACCAGACGGTAGCACTCTCAGAAAATTCTTTGTGACGATGGAGTTTAACTCAGGGAGCTGAACATTCGTTATGATGGAGCAGTTTCCAAACACACGTTTTGTAGAATCTGCGAGGGGATATTTGGACCTCTCTGAGGATTTCGTTGGAAACGGGATCAACTTCCCATAACTGAACGGAAGCAAACTCAGAACATTCTTTGTGATGTTTGTATTCAACTCACAGAGTTGAACCATCCTTTGATAGTTCAGGTTTGTAACACCCTTGTAGTAGAATCTGCAAGTGTATATTTTGACCACATTGTAGCCTTCGTTTGAAACGTCTATATCTTCACATCAAACCTAGACAGAAGCATTCTCAGAAAGTTTTCTGCGATGACTGCATTCAACTCACAGAGTTGAACAATCCTTCTGATGGAGCAGTTTTGAAACCCTCTTTCTTTGGAATCTGCAAGGGGATATGTGGACCTCTTTGAAGATTTCACTGGAAACGGGATCATCTTCACATAAAAACTAAACAGAAGCATTCTCGGAAACTACTTTGTGATGTTTGTATTCAACTCCCAGAGTTGAACTTTCCTTTTGAAAGAGCAGCTATGAAACACTCTTTTTCGAGAATCTGCAAGTGGACGTTTGGAGGGCTTGGAGGCCTGTGGTGGAAAAGGAAATACCTTCACATAAAAACTAGATAGAAGCATTCTCAGAAACTACTTTGTGAGGATGGCATTCAACTCATGGAGTTGAACAATCCTATTGATAGAGCAGATTGGAATCACTCTTTTTGTAGAATCTGCAAATGGAGATTTGGACTGCTTTGAGGCCTACAGTAGTACAGGAAGGAACTTCATATAAAAGGCAAACGGAAGCATTCTCAGAATATTCTTTGTGATGATGGAGTTTCACTCACAGAGCTGAACATGCCTTTTGATGGAGCAGTTTCCAAATACACTTTTGGTAGAATCAGCAGGTGGATATTTGGAGCTCTCTGAGGATTTCGTTGGAAACGGGAATAATTTCCCATAACTAAACACAAACACTCTGAGAAAGTTCTTCATGATGAATGCATTTAACTTGCAGAGATGAACTTGCCTTTGAGAGTTCAGGTTCGAAACACTCTTTCTGTATAATCTGCAAGTGGATATTTGGACCACTGGGTGGCCTTCGTTCGAAACGGGTATATGTTCACGTAAAAACTAAAGAGAAGCATTCTCAGAAACTTCTGAGTGATGATTGCATTCAAGTCACACAGTTGAACCCTCCTTTTGATGGAGCAGTTTTGAAACTGTCTTTTTGTAGAATCTGTAAGTGGATACGTGGACCTCTTTGAAGATTTCTTTGGAAACGGGAATATTTCCACAGAAAAACTAAACTGAAGCATTCTCAGAAACCGCTTTGTGATGTTTGTGTTCGAGCCACAGAGTTTAACATTGCTTTTCGTAGAGCAGTTTTGAAATATTCTTTTCGCAGAATCTGCAAGTGGACATTTGGAGCGCTTTCAGGCCTGTGGTGGAAACGGCCTGAAAGCCTTTTCCTTTATCTTCACAGAAAGACGAGAGAGAAGCATTGTCAGAAACTTCTTTGTGATGATTGCATTCAACTCACAGAGTTGAAGATTCCTTTTGAAACAGCAGTTTCGAAACACTCTTTCTGTGGGATCCGCAAGGGGATATTTGGACCTCTTTGAAGGTTTCGTTGGAAACGGGATAATCTTCACCTAAAAGCTAAACGGAAGCATTCTCAGAAACTTCTTTGGGATGTTTGCATTCACCTCACAGAGTTGAACTTTCCCTTTGATAGCGCAGCTTTGACACACTTTTTCTACAATGTGCAAGTGGCTATTTAGCGGGCTTGGAGGACTGTGTTGGAAAAGGAAATATCTTCTCCTAAAAACGACATAGAAGCATTCTCAGAAACTGCTCTGTGATGATTGCATTCAACTCCCAGAGTTGAACATTCCTTTTGATAGAGCAGTTTGCAAACACTCTTTTTGTAGAATCTGCAAGTGGAGATTTGGACCGCTTTGAGGCCTGTGGTAGTGAAGGAAAGAACTTCATATAAAAACCAGACGGTAGCACTCTCAGAAAATTCTTTGTGACGATGGAGTTTAACTCAGGGAGCTGAACATTCGTTATGATGGAGCAGTTTCCAAACACACGTTTTGTAGAATCTGCAAGGGGATATTTGGACCTCTCTGAGGATTTCGTTGGAAACGGGATCAACTTCCCATAACTGAACGGAAGCAAACTCAGAACATTCTTTGTGATGTTTGTATTCAACTCACAGAGTTGAACCTTCCTTTGATAGTTCAGGTTTGCAACACCCTTGTAGTAGAATCTGCAAGTGTATATTTTGACCACTTTGTAGCCTTCGTTTGAAACGTCTATATCTTCACATCAAACCTAGACAGAAGCATTCTCAGAAAGTTTTCTGCGATGACTGCATTCAACTCACAGAGTTGAACAATCCTTCTGATGGAGCAGTTTTGAAACCCTCTTTCTTTGGAATCTGCAAGGGGATATGTGGACCTCTTTGAAGATTTCACTGGAAACGGGATCATCTTCACATAAAAACTAAACAGAAGCATTCTCGGAAACTACTTTGTGATGTTTGTATTCAACTCCCAGAGTTGAACTTTCCTTTTGAAAGAGCAGCTATGAAACACTCTTTTTCGAGAATCTGCAAGTGGACGTTTGGAAGGCTTTGAGGCCTGTGGTGGAAAAGGAAATATCTTCACATAAAAACTAGATAGAAGCATTCTCAGAAACGACTTTGTGAGGATGGCATTCAACTCATGGAGTTGAACAATCCTATTGATAGAGCAGATTGGAATCACTCTTTTGGTAGAATCTGCAAATGGAGATTTGGACTGCTTTGAGGCCTACGGTAGTATAGGAAGGAACTTCATATAAAAGGCAAACGGAAGCATTCTCAGAATATTCTTTGTGATGATGGAGTTTCACTCACAGAGCTGAACATGCCTTTTGATGGAGCAGTTTCCAAATACACTTTTGGTAGAATCTGCAGGTGGATATTTGGACCTCTCTGAAGATTTCGTTGGAAACGGGAATAATTTCCCATACCTAAACACAAACACTCTGAGAAAGTTCTTCATGATGAATGCATTGAACTCGCAGAGATGAACCTGCCTTTGAGAGTTCAGGTTCGAAACACTCTTTCTGTAGAATCTGCAAGTGGATATTTGGACCACTGGGTGGCCTTCGTTCGAAACGGGTATATGTTCACGTAAAAACTAAAGAGAAGCATTCTCAGAAACTTCTGAGTGATGATTGCATTCAAGTCACACAGTTGAACCCTCCTTTTGATGGAGCAGTTTTGAAACTGTCTTTTTGTAGAATCTGTAAGTGGATACGTGGACCTCTTTGAAGATTTCTTTGGAAACGGGAATATTTCCACAGAAAAACTAAACTGAAACATTATCAGAAACCGCTTTGTGATGTTTGTGTTCCAGCCACAGAGTTTAACATTGCTTTTCATAGAGCAGTTTTGAAATATTCTTTTGGCAGAATCTGCAAGTGGACATTTGGAGCGCTTTCAGGCCTGTGGTGGCAAAGGCCTGAAAGCCTTTTCCTTTATCTTCACAGAAAGACGAGAGAGAAGCATTGTCAGAAACTTCTTTGTGATGATTGCATTCAACTCACAGAGTTGAAGATTCCTTTTGAAACAGCAGTTTCGAAACACTCTTTCTGTGGGATCCGCAAGGGGATATTTGGACCTCTTTGAAGGTTTCGTTGGAAACGGGATAATCTTCACCTAAAAGCTAAACGGAAGCATTCTCAGAAACTTCTTTGGGATGTTTGCATTCACCTCACAGAGTTGAACTTTCCCTTTGATAGCGCAGCTTTGACACACTTTTTCTACAATGTGCAAGTGGCTATTTAGCGGGCTTGGAGGACTGTGTTGGAAAAGGAAATATCTTCTCCTAAAAACGACATAGAAGCATTCTCAGAAACTGCTCTGTGTTGATTGCATTCAACTCCCAGAGTTGAACATTCCTTTTGATAGAGCAGTTTGCAAACACTCTTTTTGTAGAATCTGCAAGTGGAGGTTTGGACCGCTTTGAGGCCTGTGGTAGTGAAGGAAAGAACTTCATATAAAAACCAGACGGTAGCACTCTCAGAAAATTCTTTGTGACGATGGAGTTTAACTCAGGGAGCTGAACATTCGTTATGATGGAGCAGTTTCCCAACACACGTTTTGTAGAATCTGCAAGGGGATATTTGGACCTCTCTGAGGATTTTGTTGGAAAAGGGATCAACTTCCCATAACTGAACGGAAGCAAACTCAGAACATTCTTTGTGATGTTTGTATTCAACTCACAGAGTTGAACCTTCCTTTGATAGTTCAGGTTTGCAACACCCTTGTAGTAGAATCTGCAAGTGTATATTTTGACCACTTTGTAGCCTTCGTTTGAAACGTCTATATCTTCACATCAAACCTAGACAGAAGCATTCTCAGAAAGATTTCTGCGATGACTGCATTCAACTCACAGAGTTGAACAATCCTTTTGATGGAGCAGTTTTGAAACCCTCTTTCTTTGGAATCTGCAAGGGGATATGTGGACCTCTTTGAAGATTTCACTGGAAACGGGATCATCTTCACATAAGAACTAAACAGAAGCATTCTCGGAAACTACTTTGTGATGTTTGTATTCAACTCCCAGAGTTGAACTTTCCTTTTGAAAGAGCAGCTATGAAACACTCTTTTTCGAGAATCTGCAAGTGGACGTTTGGAGGGCTTTGAGGCCTGTGGTGGAAAAGGAAATATCTTCACATAAAAACTAGATAGAAGCATTCTCAGAAACGACTTTGTGAGGATGGCATTCAACTCATGGAGTTGAACAATCCTAATGATAGAGCACATTGGAATCACTCTTTTTGTAGAATCTGCAAATGGAGATTTGGACTGCTTTGAGGCCTACGGTAGTATAGGAAGGAACTTCATATAAAAGGCAAACGGAAGCATTCTCAGAATATTCTTTGTGATGATGGAGTTTCACTCACAGAGCTGAACATGCCTTTTGATGGAGCAGTTTCCAAATACACTTTTGGTAGAATCTGCAGGTGGATATTTGGAGCTCTCTGAGGATTTCGTTGGAAACGGGAATAATTTCCCATAACTAAACACAAACACGCTGAGAAAGTTCTTCATGATGAATGCATTTAACTCGCAGAGATGAACCTGCCTTTGAGAGTTCAGGTTCGAAACACACTTTCTGTATAATCTGCAAGTGGATATTTGGACCACTGGGTGGCCTTCGTTCGAAACGGGTATATGTTCACGTAAAAACTAAAGAGAAGCATTCTCAGAAACTTCTGAGTGATGATTGCATTCAAGTCACACAGTTGAACCCTCCTTTTGATGGAGCAGTTTTGAAACTGTCTTTTTGTAGAATCTGTAAGTGGATACGTGGACCTCTTTGAAGATTTCTTTGGAAACGGGAATATTTCCACAGAAAAACTAAACTGAAGCATTCTCAGAAACCTCTTTGTGATGTTTGTGTTCGAGCCACAGAGTTTAACATTGCTTTTCATAGAGCAGTTTTGAAATATTCTTTTCGCAGAATCTGCAAGTGGACATTTGGAGCGCTTTCAGGCCTGTGGTGGCAAAGGCCTGAAAGCCTTTTCCTTTATCTTCACAGAAAGACGAGAGAGAAGCATTGTCAGAAACTTCTTTGTGATGATTGCATTCAACTCACAGAGTTGAAGATTCCTTTTGAAACAGCAGTTTCGAAACACTCTTTCTGTGGGATCCGCAAGGGGATATTTGGACCTCTTTGAAGGTTTCGTTGGAAACGGGATAATCTTCACCTAAAAGCTAAACGGAAGCATTCTCAGAAACTTCTTTGGGATGTTTGCATTCACCTCACAGAGTTGAACTTTCCCTTTGATAGCGCAGCTTTGACACACTTTTTCTACAATGTGCAAGTGGCTATTTAGCGGGCTTGGAGGACTGTGTTGGAAAAGGAAATATCTTCTCCTAAAAACGACATAGAAGCATTCTCAGAAACTGCTCTGTGATGATTGCATTCAACTCCCAGAGTTGAACATTCCTTTTGATAGAGCAGTTTGCAAACACTCTTTTTGTAGAATCTGCAAGTGGAGATTTGGACCGCTTTGAGGCCTGTCGTAGTGAAGGAAAGAACTTCATATAAAAACCAGACGGTAGCACTCTCAGAAAATTCTTTGTGACGATGGAGTTTAACTCAGGGAGCTGAACATTCGTTATGATGGAGCAGTTTCCAAACACACGTTTTGTAGAATCTGCGAGGGGATATTTGGACCTCTCTGAGGATTTCGTTGGAAACGGGATCAACTTCCCATAACTGAACGGAAGCAAACTCAGAACATTCTTTGTGATGTTTGTATTCAACTCACAGAGTTGAACCTTCCTTTGATAGTTCAGGTTTGCAACACTCTTGTAGTAGAATCTGCAAGTGTATATTTTGACCACTTTGTAGCCTTCGTTTGAAACATCTATATCTTCACATCAAACCTAGACAGAAGCATTCTCAGAAAGTTTTCTGCGATGACTGCATTCAACTCACAGAGTTGAACAATCCTTTTGATGGAGCAGTTTTGAAACCCTCTTTCTTTGGAATCTGCAAGAGGATATGTGGACCTCTTTGAAGATTTCACTGGAAACGGGATCATCTTCACATAAAAACTAAACAGAAGCATTCTCGGAAACTATTTTGTGATGTTTGTATTCAACTCCCAGAGTTGAACTTTCCTTTTGAAAGAGCAGCTATGAAACACTCTTTTTCTAGAATCTGCAAGTGGACGTTTGGAGGGCTTTGAGGCCTGTGGTGGAAAAGGAAATATCTTCACACAAAAACCAGATAGAAGCATTCTCAGAAACTACTTTGTGAGGATGGCATTCAACTCATGGAGTTGAACAATCCTATTGATAGAGCAGATTGGAATCACTCTTTTTGTAGAATCTGCAAATGGAGATTTGGACTGCTTTGAGGCCTACGGTAGTACAGGAAGGAACTTCATATAAAAGGCAAACGGAAGCATTCTCAGAATATTCTTTGTGATGATGGAGTTTCACTCACAGAGCTGAACATGCCTTTTGATGGAGCAGTTTCCAAATACACTTTTGGTAGAATCTGCAGGTGGATATTTGGACCACTCTGAGGATTTCGTTGGAAAAGGGAATAATTTCCCATAACTAAACACAAACACTCTGAGAAAGTTCTTCATGATGAATGCATTTAACTCGCAGAGATGAACCTGCCTTTGAGAGTTCAGGTTCGAAACACTCTGTAGAATCTGCAAGTGGATATTTGGACCACTGGGTGGCGTTCGTTCGAAACGGGTATATGTTCACGTAAAAACTAAAGAGAAGCATTCTCAGAAACTTCTGAGTGATGATTGCATTCAAGTCACACAGTTGAACCCTCCTTTTGATGGAGCAGTTTTGAAACTGTCTTTTTGTAGAATCTGTAAGTGGATACGTGGACCTCTTTGAAGATTTCTTTGGAAACGGGAATATTTCCACAGAAAAACTAAACTGAAGCATTCTCAGAAACCGCTTTGTGATGTTTGTGTTCGAGCCACAGAGTTTAACATTGCTTTTCATAGAGCAGTTTTGAAATATTCTTTTGGAGCGCTTTCAGGCCTGTGGTGGAAAAGGCCTGAAAGCCTTTTCCTTTATCTTCACAGAAAGACGAGAGAGAAGCATTGTCAGAAACTTCTTTGTGATGATTGCATTCAACTCACAGAGTTGAAGATTCCTTTTGAAACAGCAGTTTCGAAACACTCTTTCTGTGGGATCCGCAAGGGGATATTTGGACCTCTTTGAAGGTTTCGTTGGAAACGGGATAATCTTCACCTAAAAGCTAAACGGAAGCATTCTCAGAAACTTCTTTGGGATGTTTGCATTCACCTCACAGAGTTGAACTTTCCCTTTGATAGCGCAGCTTTGACACACTTTTTCTACAATGTGCAAGTGGCTATTTAGCGGGCTTGGAGGACTGTGTTGGAAAAGGAAATATCTTCTCCTAAAAACGACATAGAAGCATTCTCAGAAACTGCTCTGTGATGATTGCATTCAACTCCCAGAGTTGAACATTCCTTTTGATAGAGCAGTTTGCAAACACTCTTTTTGTAGAATCTGCAAGTGGAGATTTGGACCGCTTTGAGGCCAGTGGTAGTGAAGGAAAGAACTTCATATAAAAACCAGACGGTAGCACTCTCAGAAAATTCTTTGTGACGATGGAGTTTAACTCAGAGAGCTGAACATTCGTTATGATGGAGCAGTTTCCAAACACACGTTTTGTAGAATCTGCAAGGGGATATTTGGACCTCTCTGAGGATTTCGTTGGAAATGGGATCAACTTCCCATAACTGAACGGAAGCAAACTCAGAACATTCTTTGTGATGTTTGTATTCAACTCACAGAGTTGAACCTTCCTTTGATAGTTCAGGTTTGCAACACCCTTGTAGTAGAATCTGCAAGTGTATATTTTGACCACTTTGTAGCCTTCGTTTGAAACGTCTATATCTTCACATCAAACCTAGACAGAAGCATTCTCAGAAAGTTTTCTGCAATGACTGCATTCAACTCACAGAGTTGAACAATCCTTTTGATGGAGCAGTTTTGAAACCCTCTTTCTTTGGAATCTGCAAGGGGATATGTGGACCTCTTTGAAGATTTCACTGGAAACGGGATCATCTTCACATAAGAACTAAACAGAAGCATTCTCGGAAACTACTTTGTGATGTTTGTATTCAACTCCCAGAGTTGAACTTTCCTTTTGAAAGAGCAGCTATGAAACACTCTTTTTCGAGAATCTGCAAGTGGACGTTTGGAGGGCTTTGAGGCCTGTGGTGGAAAAGGGAATATCTTCACATAAAAACTAGATAGAAGCATTCTCAGAAACGACTTTGTGAGGATGGCATTCAACTCATGGAGTTGAACAGTCCTATTGATAGAGCAGATTGGAATCACTCTTTTTGTAGAATCTGCAAATGGAGATTTGGACTGCTTTGAGGCCTACGGTAGTATAGGAAGGAACTTCATATAAAAGGGAAACGGAAGCATTCTCAGAATATTCTTTGTGATGATGGAGTTTCACTCACAGAGCTGAACATGCCTTTTGATGGAGCAGTTTCCAAATACACTTTTGGTAGAATCTGCAGGTGGATATTTGGAGCTCTCTGAGGATTTCGTTGGAAACGGGAATAATTTCCCATAACTAAACACAAACACGCTGAGAAAGTTCTTCATGATGAATGCATTTAACTCGCAGAGATGAACCTGCCTTTGAGAGTTCAGGTTCGAAACACTCTTTCTGTAGAATCTGCAAGTGGATATTTGGACCACTGGCTGGCCTTCGTTCGAAACGGGTATATGTTCACGTAAAAACTAAAGAGAAGCATTCTCAGAAACTTCTGAGTGATGATTGCATTCAAGTCACACAGTTGAACCCTCCTTTTGATGGAGCAGTTTTGAAACTGTCTTTTTGTAGAATCTGTAAGTGGATACGTGGACCTCTTTGAAGATTTCTTTGGAAACGGGAATATTTCCACAGAAAAACTAAACTGAAGCATTCTCAGAAACTGCTTTGTGATGTTTGTGTTCGAGCGACAGAGTTTAACATTGCTTTTCATAGAGCAGTTTTGAAATATTCTTTTGGCAGAATCTGCAAGTGGACATTTGGAGCGCTTTCAGGCCTGTGGTGGAAAAGGCCTGAAAGCCTTTTCCTTTATCTTCACAGAAAGACGAGAGAGAAGCATTGTCAGAAACTTCTTTGTGATGATTGCATTCAACTCACAGAGTTGAAGATTCCTTTTGAAACAGCAGTTTCGAAACACTCTTTCTGTGGGATCCGCAAGGGGATATTTGGACCTCTTTGAAGGTTTCGTTGGAAACGGGATAATCTTCACCTAAAAGCTAAACGGAAGCATTCTCAGAAACTTCTTTGGGATGTTTGCATTCACCTCACAGAGTTGAACTTTCCCTTTGATAGCGCAGCTTTGACACACTTTTTCTACAATGTGCAAGTGGCTATTTAGCGGGCTTGGAGGACTGTGTTGGAAAAGGAAATATCTTCTCCTAAAAACGACATAGAAGCATTCTCAGAAACTGCTCTGTGATGATTGCATTCAACTCCCAGAGTTGAACATTCCTTTTGATAGAGCAGTTTGCAAACACTCTTTTTGTAGAATCTGCAAGTGGAGATTTGGACCGCTTTGAGGTCTGTGGTAGTGAAGGAAAGAACTTCATATAAAAACCAGACGGTAGCACTCTCAGAAAATTCTTTGTGACGATGGAGTTTAACTCAGGGAGCTGAACATTCGTTATGATGGAGCAGTTTCCAAACACACGTTTTGTAGAATCTGCAAGGGGATATTTGGACCTCTCTGAGGATTTCGTTGGAAACGGGATCAACTTCCCATAACTGAACGGAAGCAAACTCAGAACATTCTTTGTGATGTTTGTATTCAACTCACAGAGTTGAACCTTCCTTTGATAGTTCAGGTTTGCAACACCCTTGTAGTAGAATCTGCAAGTGTATATTTTGACCACTTTGTAGCCTTCGTTTGAAACGTCTATATCTTCACATCAAACCTAGACAGAAGCATTCTCAGAAAGTTTTCTGCGATGACTGCATTCAACTCACAGAGTTGAACAATCCTTCTGATGGAGCAGTTTTGAAACCCTCTTTCTTTGGAATCTGCAAGGGGATATGTGGACCTCTTTGAAGATTTCACTGGAAACGGGATCATCTTCACATAAAAACTAAACAGAAGCATTCTCGGAAACTACTTTGTGATGTTTGTATTCAACTCCCAGAGTTGAACTTTCCTTTTGAAAGAGCAGCTATGAAACACTCCTTTTCGAGAATCTGCAAGTGGACGTTTGGAGGGCTTTGAGGCCTGTGGTGGAAAAGGAAATATCTTCACATAAAAACTAGATAGAAGCATTCTCAGAAACGACTTTGTGAGGATGGCATTCAACTCATGGAGTTGAACAATCCTATTGATAGAGCAGATTGGAATCACTCTTTTTGTAGAATCTGCAAATGGAGATTTGGACTGCTTTGAGGCCTACGGTCGTATAGGAAGGAACTTCAGATAAAAGGCAAACGGAAGCATTCTCAGAATATTCTTTGTGATGATGGAGTTTCACTCACAGAGCTGAACATGCCTCTTGATGGAGCAGTTTCCAAATACACTTTTGGTAGAATCTGCAGGTGGATATTTGGAGCTCTCTGAGGATTTCGTTGGAAACGGGAATAATTTCCCATAACTAAACACAAACACTCTGAGAAAGTTCTTCATGATGAATGCATTTAACTCGCAGAGATGAACCTGCCTTTGAGAGTTCAGGTTCGAAACACTCTTTCTGTAGAATCTGCAAGTGGATATTTGGACCACTGGCTGGCCTTCGTTCGAAACGGGTATATGTTCACGTAAAAACTAAAGAGAAGCATTCTCAGAAACTTCTGAGTGATGATTGCATTCAAGTCACACAGTTGAACCCTCCTTTTGATGGAGCAGTTTTGAAACTGTCTTTTTGCAGAATCTGTAAGTGGATACGTGGACCTCTTTGAAGATTTCTTTGGAAACGGGAATATTTCCACAGAAAAACTAAACTGAAGCATTCTCAGAAACTGCTTTGTGATGTTTGTGTTCGAGCCACAGAGTTTAACATTGCTTTTCATAGAGCAGTTTTGAAATATTCTTTTGGCAGAATCTGCAAGTGGACATTTGGAGCGCTTTCAGGCCTGTGGTGGAAAAGGCCTGAAAGCCTTTTCCTTTATCTTCACAGAAAGACGAGAGAGAAGCATTGTCAGAAACTTCTTTGTGATGATTGCATTCAACTCACAGAGTTGAAGATTCCTTTTGAAACAGCAGTTTCGAAACACTCTTTCTGTGGGATCCGCAAGGGGATATTTGGACCTCTTTGAAGGTTTCGTTGGAAACGGGATAATCTTCACCTAAAAGCTAAACGGAAGCATTCTCAGAAACTTCTTTGGGATGTTTGCATTCACCTCACAGAGTTCAACTTTCCCTTTGATAGCGCAGCTTTGACACACTTTTTCTACAATGTGCAAGTGGCTATTTAGCGGGCTTGGAGGACTGTGTTGGAAAAGGAAATATCTTCTCCTAAAAACGACATAGAAGCATTCTCAGAAACTGCTCTGTGATGATTGCATTCAACTCCCAGAGTTGAACATTCCTTTTGATAGAGCAGTTTGCAAACACTCTTTTTGTAGAATCTGCAAGTGGAGATTTGGACCGCTTTGAGGCCTGTGGTAGTGAAGGAAAGAACTTCATATAAAAACCAGACGGTAGCACTCTCAGAAAATTCTTTGTGACGATGGAGTTTAACTCAGGGAGCTGAACATTCGTTATGATGGAGCAGTTTCCAAACACACGTTTTGTAGAATCTGCAAGGGGATATTTGGACCTCTCTGAGGATTTCGTTGGAAACGGGATCAACTTCCCATAACTGAACGGAAGCAAACTCAGAACATTCTTTGTGATGTTTGTATTCAACTCACAGAGTTGAACCTTCCTTTGATAGTTCAGGTTTGCAACACCCTTGTAGTAGAATCTGCAAGTGTATATTTTGACCACTTTGTAGCCTTCGTTTGAAACGTCTATATCTTCACATCAAACCTAGACAGAAGCATTCTCAGAAAGTTTTCTGCGATGACTGCATTCAACTCACAGAGTTGAAGAATCCTTTTGATGGAGCAGTTTTGAAACCCTCTTTCTTTGGAATCTGCAAGGGGATATGTGGACCTCTTTGAAGATTTCACTGGAAACGGGATCATCTTCACATAAAAACTAAACAGAAGCATTCTCGGAAACTATTTTGTGATGTTTGTATTCAACTCCCAGAGTTGAACTTTCCTTTTGAAAGAGCAGCTATGAAACACTCTTTTTCGAGAATCTGCAAGTGGTCGTTTGGAGGGCTTTGAGGCCTGTGGTGGTAAAGGAAATATCTTCACACAAAAACCAGATAGAAGCATTCTCAGAAACTACTTTGTGAGGATGGCATTCAACTCATGGAGTTGAACAATCCTATTGATAGAGCAGATTGGAATCACTCTTTTTGTAGAATCTGCAAATGGAGATTTGGACTGCTTTGAGGCCTACGGTCGTATAGGAAGGAACTTCATATAAAAGGCAAACGGAAGCATTCTCAGAATATTCTTTGTGATGATGGAGTTTCACTCACAGAGCTGAACATGCCTTTTGATGGAGCAGTTTCCAAATACACTTTTGGTAGAATCTGCAGGTGGATATTTGGAGCTCTCTGAGGATTTCGTTGGAAACGGGAATAATTTCCCATAACTAAACACAAACACTCTGAGAAAGTTCTTCATGATGAATGCATTTAACTCGCAGAGATGAACCTGCCTTTGAGAGTTCAGGTTCGAAACACTCTTTCTGTAGAATCTGCAAGTGGATATTTGGACCACTGGGTGGCCTTCGTTCGAAACGGGTATATGTTCACGTAAAAACTAAAGAGAAGCATTCTCAGAAACTTCTGAGTGATGATTGCATTCAAGTCACACAGTTGAACCCTCCTTTTGATGGAGCAGTTTTGAAACTGTCTTTTTGTAGAATCTGTAAGTGGATACGTGGACCTCTTTGAAGATTTCTTTGGAAACGGGAATATTTCCAAAGAAAAACTAAACTGAAGCATTCTCAGAAACCGCTTTGTGATGTTTGTGTTCGAGCCACAGAGTTTAACATTGCTTTTCATAGAGCAGTTTTGAAATATTCTTTTCGCAGAATCTGCAAGTGGACATTTGGAGCGCTTTCAGGCCTGTGGTGGCAAAGGCCTGAAAGCCTTTTCCTTTATCTTCACAGAAAGACGAGAGAGAAGCATTGTCAGAAACTTCTTTGTGATGATTGCATTCAACTCACAGAGTTGAAGATTCCTTTTGAAACAGCAGTTTCGAAACACTCTTTCTGTGGGATCCGCAAGGGGATATTTGGACCTCTTTGAAGGTTTCGTTGGAAACGGGATAATCTTCACCTAAAAGCTAAACGGAAGCATTCTCAGAAACTTCTTTGGGATGTTTGCATTCACCTCACAGAGTTGAACTTTCCCTTTGATAGCGCAGCTTCGACACACTGTTTCTACAATGTGCAAGTGGATATTTAGCGGGCTTGGAGGACTGTGTTGGAAAAGGAAATATCTTCTCCTAAAAACGACATAGAAGCATTCTCAGGAACTGCTCTGTGATGATTGCATTCAACTCCCAGAGTTGAACATTCCTTTTGATAGAGCAGTTTGCAAACACTCTTTTTGTAGAATCTGCAAGTGGAGATTTGGACCGCTTTGAGGCCTGTGGTAGTAAAGGAAAGAACTTCATATAAAAACCAGACGGTAGCACTCTCAGAAAATTCTTTGTGACGATGGAGTTTAACTCAGAGAGCTGAACATTCGTTATGATGGAGCAGTTTCCAAACACACGTTTTGTAGAATCTGCAAGGGGATATTTGGACCTCTCTGAGGATTTCGTTGGAAACGGTATCAATTTCCCATAACTAAACGGAAGCAAACTCAGAACATTCTTTGTGATGTTTGCATTCATCTCACAGAGTTGAACCTTCCTTTGATAGTTGAGGTTTGCAACACCCTTGTAGTAGAATCTGCAAGTGTATATTTTGACCACATTGTAGCCTTCGTTTGAAACGTCTATATCTTCACATCAAACCTAGACAGAAGCATTCTCAGAAAGTTTTCTGCGATGACTGCATTCAACTCACAGAGTTGAACAATCCTTCTGATGGAGCAGTTTTGAAACCCTCTTTCTTTGGAATCTGCAAGGGGATATGTGGACCTCTTTGAAGATTTCACTGGAAACGGGATCATCTTCACATAAAAACTAAACAGAAGCATTCTCGGAAACTATTTTGTGATGTTTGTATTCAACTCCCAGAGTTGAACTTTCCTTTTGAAAGAGCAGCTATGAAACACTCTTTTTCGAGAATCTGCAAGTGGACGTTTGGAGGGCTTTGAGGCCTGTGGTGGAAAAGGAAATATCTTCACACAAAAACCAGATAGAAGCATTCTCAGAAACTACTTTGTGAGGATGGCATTCAACTCATGGAGTTGAACAATCCTATTGATAGAGCAGATTGGAATCACTCTTTTTGTAGAATCTGCAAATGGAGATTTGGACTGCTTTGAGGCCTACGGTAGTACAGGAAGGAAGTTCATATAAAAGGCAAACGGAAGCATTCTCAGAATATTCTTTGTGATGATGGAGTTTCACTCACAGAGCTGAACATGCCTTTTGATGGAGCAGTTTCCAAATACACTTTTGGTAGAATCTGCAGGTGGATATTTGGAGCTCCCTGAGGATTTCGTTGGAAACGGGAATAATTTCCCATAACTAAACACAAACACTCTGAGAAAGTTCTTCATGATGAATGCATTTAACTCGCAGAGATGAACCTGCCTTTGAGAGTTCAGGTTCGAAACACTCTTTCTGTAGAATCTGCAAGTGGATATTTGGACCACTGGGTGGCCTTCGTTCGAAACGGGTATATGTTCACGTAAAAACTAAAGAGAAGCATTCTCAGAAACTTCTGAGTGATGATTGCATTCAAGTCACACAGTTGAACCCTCCTTTTGATGGAGCAGTTTTGAAACTGTCTTTTTGTAGAATCTGTAAGTGGATACGTGGACCTCTTTGAAGATTTCTTTGGAAACGGGAATATTTCCACAGAAAAACTAAACTGAAACATTCTCAGAAACCGCTTTGTGATGTTTGTGTTCCAGCCACAGAGTTTAACATTGCTTTTCATAGAGCAGTTTTGAAATATTCTTTTGGCAGAATCTGCAAGTGGACATTTGGAGCGCTTTCAGGCCTGTGGTGGCAAAGGCCTGAAAGCCTTTTCCTTTATCTTCACAGAAAGACGAGAGAGAAGCATTGTCAGAAACTTCTTTGTGATGATTGCATTCAACTCACAGAGTTGAAGATTCCTTTTGAAACAGCAGTTTCGAAACACTCTTTCTGTGGGATCCGCAAGGGGATATTTGGACCTCTTTGAAGGTTTCGTTGGAAACGGGATAATCCTCACCTAAAAGCTAAACGGAAGCATTCTCAGAAACTTCTTTGGGATGTTTGCATTCACCTCACAGAGTTGAACTTTCCCTTTGATAGCGCAGCTTCGACACACTTTTTCTACAATGTGTAAGTGGATATTTAGCGGGCTTGGAGGACTGTGTTGGAAAAGGAAATATCTTCTCCTAAAAACGACATAGAAGCATTCTCAGAAACTGCTCTGTGATGATTGCATTCAACTCCCAGAGTTGAACATTCCTTTTGATAGAGCAATTTGCAAACACTCTTTTTGTAGAATCTGCAAGTGGAGATTTGGACCGCTTTGAGGCCTGTGGTAGTAAAGGAAAGAACTTCATATAAAAACTAGAAGGTAGCACCCTCAGAAAATTCTTTGTGACGATGGAGTTTAACTCAGAGAGCTGAACATTCGTTATGATGGAGCAGTTTCCAAACACACGTTTTGTAGAATCTGCAAGGGGATATTTGGACCTCTCTGAGGATTTCGTTGGAAACGGGATCAACTTCCCATAACTGAACGGAAGCAAACTCAGAACATTCTTTGTGATGTTTGCATTCATCTCACAGAGTTGAACCTTCCTTTGATAGTTGAGGTTTGCAACACCCTTGTAGTAGAATCTGCAAGTGTATATTTTGACCACTTTGTAGCCTTCGTTTGAAACGTCTATATCTTCACATCAAACCTAGACAGAAGCATTCTCAGAAAGTTTTCTGCGATGACTGCATTCAACTCACAGAGTTGAACAATCCTTTTGATGGAGCAGTTTTGAAACCCTCTTTCTTTGGAATCTGCAAGGGGATATGTGGACCTCTTTGAAGATTTCACTGGAAACGGGATCATCTTCACATAAGAACTAAACAGAAGCATTCTCGGAAAATACTTTGTGATGTTTGTATTCAACTCCCAGATTTTAACTTTCCTTTTGAAAGAGCAGCTATGAAACCCTCTTTTTCGAGAATCTGCAAGTGGACGTTTGGAGGGCTTTGAGGCCTGTGGTGGAAAAGGAAATATCTTCACATAAAAACTAGATAGAAGCATTCTCAGAAACTACTTTGTGAGGATGGCATTCAACTCATGGAGTTGAACAATCCTATTGATAGAGCAGATTGGAATCACTCTTTTTGTAGAATCTGCAAATGGAGATTTGGACTGCTTTGAGGCCTACGGTAGTATAGGAAGGAACTTCATATAAAAGGCCAACGGAAGCATTCTCAGAATATTCTTTGTGATGATGGAGTTTCACTCACAGAGCTGAACATGCCTTTTGATGGAGCAGTTTCCAAATACACTTTTGGTAGAATCTGCAGGTGGATATTTGGAGCTCTCTGAGGATTTCGTTGGAAACGGGAATAATTTCCCATAACTAAACACAAACACGCTGAGAAAGTTCTTCATGATGAATGCATTTAACTCGCAGAGATGAACCTGCCTTTGAGAGTTCAGGTTCGAAACACTCTTTCTGTAGAATCTGCAAGTGGATATTTGGACCACTGGCTGGCCTTCGTTCGAAACGGGTATATGTTCACGTAAAAACTAAAGAGAAGCGTTCACAGAAACTTCTGAGTGATGATTGCATTCAAGTCACACAGTTGAACCCTCGTTTTGATTGAGCAGTTTTGAAACTGTCTTTTTGTAGAATCTGTAAGTGGATGCGTGGACCTCTTTGAAGATTTCTTTGGAAACGGGAATATTTCCACAGAAAAACTAAACTGAAGCATTCTCAGAAACTGCTTTGTGATGTTTGTGTTCGAGCCACAGAGTTTAACATTGCTTTTCATAGAGCAGTTTTGAAATATTCTTTTGGCAGAATCTGCAAGTGGACATTTGGAGCGCTTTCAGGCCTGTGGTGGAAAAGGCCTGAAAGCCTTTTCCTTTATCTTCACAGAAAGACGAGAGAGAAGCATTGTCAGAAACTTCTTTGTGAAGATTGCATTCAACTCACAGAGTTGAAGATTCCTTTTGAAACAGCAGTTTCGAAACACTCTTTCTGTGGGATCTGCAAGGGGATATTTGGACCTCTTTGAAGATTTCGTTGGAAACAGGATAATCTTCACCTAAAAGCTAAACGGAAGCATTCTCAGAAACTTCTTTGGGATGTTTGCATTCACCTCACAGAGTTGAACTTTCCCTTTGATAGCGCAGCTTCGACACACTTTTTCTCCAATGTGCAAGTGGATATTTAGCGGGCTTGGAGGACTGTGTTGGAAAAGGAAATATCTTCTCCTAAAAACGACATAGAAGCATTCTCAGAAACTGCTCTGTGATGATTGCATTCAACTCCCAGAGTTGAACATTCCTTTTGATAGAGCAGTTTGCAAACACTCTTTTTGTAGAATCTGCAAGTGGAGATTTGGACCGCTTTGAGGCCTGTGGTAGTAAAGGAAAGAACTTCATATAAAAACCAGACGGTAGCACTCTCAGAAAATTCTTTGTGACGATGGAGTTTAACTCAGAGAGCTGAACATTCGTTATGATGGAGCAGTTTCCAAACACACGTTTTGTAGAATCTGCAAGGGGATATTTGGACCTCTCTGAGGATTTCGTTGGAAACGGGATCAACTTCCCATAACTGAACGGAAGCAAACTCAGAACATTCTTTGTGATGTTTGTATTCAACTCACAGAGTTGAACCTTCCTCTGATAGTTCAGGTTTGCATCACCCTTGTAGTAGAATCTGCAAGTGTATATTTTGACCACTTTGTAGCCTTCGTTTGAAACGTCTATATCTTCACATCAAACCTAGACAGAAGCATTCTCAGAAAGTTTTCTGCGATGACTGCATTCAACTCACAGAGTTGAACAATCCTTTTGATGGAGCAGTTTTGAAACCCTCTTTCTTTGGAATCTGCAAGGGGATATGTGGACCTCTTTGAAGATTTCACTGGAAACGGGATCATCTTCACATAAGAACTAAACAGAAGCATTCTCGGAAACTACTTTGTGATGTTTGTATTCAACTCCCAGAGTTGAATTTTCCTTTTGAAAGAGCAGCTATGAAACACTCTTTTTCGAGAATCTGCAAGTGGACGTTTGGAGGGCTTTGAAGCCTGTGGTGGAAAAGGAAATATCTTCACATAAAAACTAGATAGAAGCATTCTCAGAAACTACTTTGTGAGGATGGCATTCAACTCATGGAGTTGAACAATCCTATTGATAGAGCAGATTGGAATCACTCTTTTTGTAGAATCTGCAAATGGAGATTTGGACTGCTTTGAGGCCTACGGTAGTATAGGAAGGAACTTCATATAAAAGGCAAACGGAAGCATTCTCAGAATATTCTTTGTGATGATGGAGTTTCACTGACAGAGCTGAACATGCCTTTTGATGGAGCAGTTTCCAAATACACTTTTGGTAGAATCTGCAGGTGGATATTTGGAGCTCTCTGAGGATTTCGTTGGAAACGGGAATAATTTCCCATAACTAAACACAAACACTCTGAGAAAGTTCTTCATGATGAATGCATTTAACTCGCAGAGATGAACCTGCCTTTGAGAGTTCAGGTTCGAAACACTCTTTCTGTAGAATCTGCAAGTGGATATTTGGACCACTGGCTGGCCTTCGTTCGAAACGGGTATATGTTCACGTAAAAACTAAAGAGAAGCATTCTCAGAAACTTCTGAGTGATGATTGCATTCAAGTCACACAGTTGAACCCTCCTTTTGATGGAGCAGTTTTGAAACTGTCTTTTTGCAGAATCTGTAAGTGGATACGTGGACCTCTTTGAAGATTTCTTTGGAAACGGGAATATTTCCACAGAAAAACTAAACTGAAGCATTCTCAGAAACCGCTTTGTGATGTTTGTGTTCGAGCCACAGAGTTTAACATTGCTTTTCATAGAGCAGTTTTGAAATATTCTTTTCGCAGAATCTGCAAGTGGACATTTGGAGCGCTTTCAGGCCTGTGGTGGAAAAGGCCTGAAAGCCTTTTCCTTTATCTTCACAGAAAGACGAGAGAGAAGCATTGTCAGAAACTTCTTTGTGATGATTGCATTCAACTCACAGAGTTGAAGATTCCTTTTGAAACAGCAGTTTCGAAACACTCTTTCTGTGGGATCCGCAAGGGGATATTTGGACCTCTTTGAAGGTTTCGTTGGAAACGGGATAATCTTCACCTAAAAGCTAAACGGAAGCATTCTCAGAAACTTCTTTGGGATGTTTGCATTCACCTCACAGAGTTGAACTTTCCCTTTGATAGCGCAGCTTTGACACACTTTTTCTACAATGTGCAAGTGGCTATTTAGCGGGCTTGGAGGACTGTGTTGGAAAAGGAAATATCTTCTCCTAAAAACGACATAGAAGCATTCTCAGAAACTGCTCTGTGATGATTGCATTCAACTCCCAGAGTTGAACATTCCTTTTGATAGAGCAGTTTGCAAACACTCTTTTTGTAGAATCTGCAAGTGGAGATTTGGACCGCTTTGAGGCCTGTGGTAGTGAAGGAAAGAACTTCATATAAAAACCAGACGGTAGCACTCTCAGAAAATTCTTTGTGACGATGGAGTTTAACTCAGGGAGCTGAACATTCGTTATGATGGAGCAGTTTCCAAACACACGTTTTGTAGAATCTGCAAGGGGATATTTGGACCTCTCTGAGGATTTCGTTGGAAACGGGATCAACTTCCCATAACTGAACGGAAGCAAACTCAGAACATTCTTTGTGATGTTTGTATTCAACTCACAGAGTTGAACCTTCCTTTGATAGTTCAGGTTTGCAACACCCTTGTAGTAGAATCTGCAAGTGTATATTTTGACCACTTTGTAGCCTTCGTTTGAAACGTCTATATCTTCACATCAAACCTAGACAGAAGCATTCTCAGAAAGTTTTCTGCGATGACTGCATTCAACTCACAGAGTTGAACAATCCTTCTGATGGAGCAGTTTTGAAACCCTCTTTCTTTGGAATCTGCAAGGGGATATGTGGACCTCTTTGAAGATTTCACTGGAAACGGGATCATCTTCACATAAAAACTAAACAGAAGCATTCTCGGAAACTACTTTGTGATGTTTGTATTCAACTCCCAGAGTTGAACTTTCCTTTGGAAAGAGCAGCTATGAAACACTCTTTTTCGAGAATCTGCAAGTGGACGTTTGGAGGGCTTTGAGGCCTGTGGTGGAAAAGGAAATATCTTCACACAAAAACCAGATAGAAGCATTCTCAGAAACTACTTTGTGAGGATGGCATTCAACTCATGGAGTTGAACAATCCTATTGATAGAGCAGATTGGAATCACTCTTTTTGTAGAATCTGCAAATGGAGATTTGGACTGCTTTGAGGCCTACAGTAGTACAGGAAGGAACTTCATATAAAAGGCAAACGGAAGCATTCTCAGAATATTCTTTGTGATGATGGAGTTTCACTCACAGAGCTGAACATGCCTTTTGATGGAGCAGTTTCCAAATACACTTTTGGTAGAATCTGCAGGTGGATATTTGGAGCTCTCTGAGGATTTCGTTGGAAACGGGAATAATTTCCCATAACTAAACACAAACACTCTGAGAAAGTTCTTCATGATGAATGCATTTAACTCACAGAGATGAACCTGCCTTTGAGAGTTCAGGTTCGAAACACTCTTTCTGTAGAATCTGCAAGTGGATATTTGGACCACTGGGTGGCCTTCGTTCGAAACGGGTATATGTTCACGTAAAAACTAAAGAGAAGCATTCTCAGAAACTTCTGAGTGATGATTGCATTCAAGTCACACAGTTGAACCCTCCTTTTGATGGAGCAGTTTTGAAACTGTCTTTTTGTAGAATCTGTAAGTGGATACGTGGACCTCTTTGAAGATTTCTTTGGAAACGGGAATATTTCCACAGAAAAACTAAACTGAAGCATTCTCAGAAACTGCTTTGTGATGTTTGTGTTCGAGCCACAGAGTTTAACATTGCTTTTCATAGAGCAGTTTTGAAATATTCTTTTCACAGAATCTGCAAGTGGACATTTGGAGCGCTTTCAGGCCTGTGGTGGAAAAGGCCTGAAAGCCTTTTCCTTTATCTTCACAGAAAGACGAGAGAGAAGCATTGTCAGAAACTTCTTTGTGATGATTGCATTCAACTCACAGAGTTGAAGATTCCTTTTGAAACAGCAGTTTCGAAACACTCTTTCTGTGGGATCCGCAAGGGGATATTTGGACCTCTTTGAAGGTTTCGTTGGAAACGGGATAATCTTCACCTAAAAGCTAAACGGAAGCATTCTCAGAAACTTCTTTGGGATGTTTGCATTCACCTCACAGAGTTGAACTTTCCCTTTGATAGCGCAGCTTCGACACACTTTTTCTACAATGTGCAAGTGGATATTTAGCGGGCTTGGAGGACTGTGTTGGAAAAGGAAATATCTTCTCCTAAAAACGACATAGAAGCATTCTCAGAAACTGCTCTGTGATGATTGCATTCAACTCCCAGAGTTGAACATTCCTTTTGATAGAGCAGTTTGCAAACACTGTTTTTGTAGAATCTGCAACTGGAGATTTGGACCGCTTTGAGGCCTGTGGTAGTAAAGGAAAGAACTTCATATAAAAACCAGACGGTAGCACTCTCAGAAAATTCTTTGTGACGATGGAGTTTAACTCAGAGAGCTGAACATTCGTTATGATGGAGCAGTTTCCAAACACACGTTTTGTAGAATCTGCAAGGGGATATTTGGACCTCTCTGAGGATTTCGTTGGAAACGGGATCAACTTCCCATAACTGAACAGAAGCAAACTCAGAACATTCTTTGTGATGTTTGTATTCAACTCACAGAGTTGAACCTTCCTTTGATAGTTCAGGTTTGCAACACCCTTGTAGTAGAATCTGCAAGTGTATATTTTGACCACTTTGTAGCCTTCGTTTAAAACATCTATATCTTCACACCAAACCTAGACAGAAGCATTCTCAGAAAGTTTTCTGCGATGACTGCATTCAACTCACAGAGTTGAACAATCCTTCTGATGGAGCAGTTTTGAAACCCTCTTTCTTTGGAATCTGCAAGGGGATATGTGGACCTCTTTGAAGATTTCACTGGAAACGGGATCATCTTCACATAAAAACTAAACAGAAGCATTCTCGGAAACTATTTTGTGATGTTTGTATTCAATTCCCAGAGTTGAACTTTCCTTTTGAAAGAGCAGCTATGAAACACTCTTTTTCGAGAATCTGCAAGTGGACGTTTGGAGGGCTTTGAGGCCTGTGGTGGAAAAGGAAATATCTTCACACAAAAACCAGATAGAAGCATTCTCAGAAACGACTTTGTGAGGATGGCATTCAACTCATGGAGTTGAACAATCCTATTGATAGAGCAGATTGGAATCACTCTTTTTGTAGAATCTGCAAATGGAGATTTGGACTGCTTTGAGGCCTACGGTAGTACAGGAAGGAACTTCATATAAAAGGCAAACGGAAGCATTCTCAGAATATTCTTTGTGATGATGGAGTTTCACTGACAGAGCTGAACATGCCTTTTGATGGAGCAGTTTCCAAATACACTTTTGGTAGAATCTGCAGGTGGATATTTGGAGCTCTCTGAGGATTTCGTTGGAAACGGGAATAATTTCCCATAACTAAACACAAACACTCTGAGAAAGTTCTTCATGATGAATGCATTTAACTCGCAGAGATGAACCTGCCTTTGAGAGTTCAGGTTCGAAACACTCTTTCTGTAGAATCTGCAAGTGGATATTTGGACCACTGGGTGGCCTTCGTTCGAAACGGGTATATGTTCACCTAAAAACTAAAGAGAAGCATTCTCAGAAACTTCTGAGTGATGATTGCATTCAAGTCACACAGTTGAACCCTCCTTTTGATGGAGCAGTTTTGAAACTGTCTTTTTGTAGAATCTGTAAGTGGATACGTGGACCTCTTTGAAGATTTCTTTGGAAACGGGAATATTTCCACAGAAAAACTAAACTGAAACATTCTCAGAAACCGCTTTGTGATGTTTGTGTTCCAGCCACAGAGTTTAACATTGCTTTTCATAGAGCAGTTTTGAAATATTCTTTTCGCAGAATCTGCAAGTGGACATTTGGAGCGCTTTCAGGCCTGTGGGTGGAAAAGGCCTGAAAGCCTTTTCCTTTATCTTCACAGAAAGACGAGAGAGAAGCATTGTCAGAAACTTCTTTGTGAAGATTGCATTCAACTCACAGAGTTGAAGATTCCTTTTGAAACAGCAGTTTCGAAACACTCTTTCTGTGGGATCTGCAAGGGGATATTTGGACCTCTTTGAAGATTTCGTTGGAAACAGGATAATCTTCACCTAAAAGCTAAACGGAAGCATTCTCAGAAACTTCTTTGGGATGTTTGCATTCACCTCACAGAGTTGAACTTTCCCTTTGATAGCGCAGCTTCGACACACTTTTTCTACAATGTGCAAGTGGCTATTTAGCGGGCTTGGAGGACTGTGTTGGAAAAGGAAATATCTTCTCCTAAAAACGACATAGAAGCATTCTCAGAAACTGCTCTGTGATGATTGCTTTCAACTCCCAGAGTTGAACATTCCTTTTGATAGAGCAGTTTGCAAACACTCTTTTTGTAGAATCTGCAAGTGGAGATTTGGACCGCTTTGAGGCCTGTGGTAGTAAAGGAAAGAACTTCATATAAAAACTAGACGGTACACTCTCAGAAAATTCTTTGTGACGATGGAGTTTAACTCAGAGAGCTGAACATTCGTTATGATGGAGCAGTTTCCAAACACACGTTTTGTAGAATCTGCAAGGGGATATTTGGACCTCTCTGAGGATTTCGTTGGAAACGGTATCAACTTCCCATAACTGAACAGAAGCAAACTCAGAACATTCTTTGTGATGTTTGTATTCAACTCACAGAGTTGAACCTTCCTTTGATAGTTCAGGTTTGCAACACCCTTGTAGTAGAATCTGCAAGTGTATATTTTGACCACTTTGTAGCCTTCGTTTGAAACGTCTATATCTTCACGTCAAACCTAGACAGAAGCATTCTCAGAAAGTTTTCTGCGATGACTGCATTCAACTCACAGAGTTGAACAATCCTTCTGATGGAGCAGTTTTTAAACCCCCTTTCTTTGGAATCTGCAAGGGGATATGTGGACCTCTTTGAAGATTTCACTGGAAACGGGATCATCTTCACATAAAAACTAAACAGAAGCATTCTCGGAAACTATTTTGTGATGTTTGTATTCAACTCCCAGAGTTGAACTTTCCTTTTGAAAGAGCAGCTATGAAACACTCTTTTTCGAGAATCTGCAAGTGGACGTTTGGAGGGCTTTGAGGCCTGTGGTGGAAAAGGAAATATCTTCACACAAAAACCAGATAGAAGCATTCTCAGAAACGACTTTGTGAGGATGGCATTCAACTCATGGAGTTGAACAATCCTATTGATAGAGCAGATTGGAATCACTCTTTTTGTAGAATCTGCAAATGGAGATTTGGACTGCTTTGAGGCCTACGGTAGTACAGGAAGGAACTTCATATAAAAGGCAAACGGAAGCATTCTCAGAATATTCTTTGTGATGATGGAGTTTCACTGACAGAGCTGAACATGCCTTTTGATGGAGCAGTTTCCAAATACACTTTTGGTAGAATCTGCAGGTGGATATTTGGAGCTCTCTGAGGATTTCGTTGGAAACGGGAATAATTTCCCATAACTAAACACAAACACTCTGAGAAAGTTCTTCATGATGAATGCATTTAACTCGCAGAGATGAACCTGCCTTTGAGAGTTCAGGTTCGAAACACTCTTTCTGTATAATTTGCAAGTGGATATTTGGACCACTGGGTGGCCTTCGTTCGAAACGGGTATATGTTCACGTAAAAACTAAAGAGAAGCATTCTCAGAAACTTCTGAGTGATGATTGCATTCAAGTCACACAGTTGAACCCTCCTTTTGATGGAGCAGTTTTGAAACTGTCTTTTTGTAGAATCTGTAAGTGGATACGTGGACCTCTTTGAAGATTTCTTTGGAAACGGGAATATTTCCACAGAAAAACTAAACTGAAGCATTCTCAGAAACTGCTTTGTGATGTTGGTGTTCGAGCCGCAGAGTTTAACATTGCTTTTCATAGAGCAGTTTTGAAATATTCTTTTGGCAGAATCTGCAAGTGGACATTTAGAGCGTTTTCAGGCCTGTGGTGGAAAAGGCCTGAAAGCCTTTTCCTTTATCTTCACAGAAAGACGAGAGAGAAGCATTGTCAGAAACTGCTTTGTGATGATTGCATTCAACCCACAGAGTTGTAGATTCCTTTTGAAACAGCAGTTTCGAAACACTCTTTCTGTGGGATCCGCAAGGGGATATTTGGACCTCTTTGAAGATTTCGTTGGAAACGGGATAATCTTCACCTAAAAGCTAAACGGAAGCATTCTCAGAAACTTCTTTGGGATGTTTGCATTCACCTCACAGAGTTGAACTTTCCCTTTGATAGCGCAGCTTCGACACACTTTTTCTACAATGTGCAAGTGGATATTTGGCGGGCTTGGAGGACTGTGTTGGAAAAGGAAATATCTTCTCCTAAAAACGACATAGAAGCATTCTCAGAAACTGCTCTGTGATGATTGCATTCAACTCCCAGAGTTGAACATTCCTTTTGATAGAGCAGTTTGCAAACACTCTTTTTGTAGAATCTGCAAGTGGAGATTTGGACCGCTTTGAGGCCTGTGGTAGTAAAGGAAAGAACTTCATATAAAAACTAGACGGTAGCACTTTCAGACAATTCTTTGTGACGATGGAGTTTAACTCAGAGAGCTGAACATTCGTTATGATGGAGCAGTTTCCAAACACACGTTTTGCAGAATCTGCAAGGGGATATTTGGACCTCTCTGAGGATTTCGTTGGAAACGGGATCAACTTCCCATAACTGAACGGAAGCAAACTCAGAACATTCTTTGTGATGTTTGTATTCAACTCACAGAGTTGAACCTTCCTTTGAGAGTTCAGGTTTGCAACACCCTTGTAGTAGAATCTGCAAGTGTATATTTTGACCACTTTGTAGCCTTCGTTTGAAACGTCTATATCTTCACATCAAACCTAGACAGAAGCATTCTCAGAAAGTTTTCTGCGATGACTGCATTCAACTCACAGAGTTGAACAATCCTTCTGATGGAGCAGTTTTGAAACCCTCTTTCTTTGGAATCTGCAAGGGGATATGTGGACCTCTTTGAAGATTTCACTGGAAACGGGATCATCTTCACATAAAAACTAAACAGAAGCATTCTCGGAAACTACTTTGTGATGTTTGTATTCAACTCCCAGAGTTGAACTTTCCTTTTGAAAGAGCAGCTATGAAACACTCTTTTTCGAGAATCTGCAAGTGGACGTTTGGAGGGCTTTGAGGCCTGTGGTGGAAAAGGAAATATCTTCACACAAAAACCAGATAGAAGCATTCTCAGAAACTACTTTGTGAGGATGGCATTCAACTCATGGAGTTGAACAATCCTATTGATAGAGCAGATTGGAATCACTCTTTTTGTAGAATCTGCAAATGGAGATTTGGACTGCTTTGAGGCCTACGGTCGTATAGGAAGGAACTTCATATAAAAGGCAAACGGAAGCATTCTCAGAATATTCTTTGTGATGATGGAGTTTCACTCACAGAGCTGAACATGCCTTTTGATGGAGCAGTTTCCAAATACACTTTTGGTAGAATCTGCAGGTGGATATTTGGAGCTCTCTGAGGATTTCGTTGGAAACGGGAATAATTTCCCATAACTAAACACAAACACGCTGAGAAAGTTCTTCATGATGAATGCATTTAACTCACAGAGATGAACCTGCCTTTGAGAGTTCAGGTTCGAAACACTCTTTCTGTAGAATCTGCAAGTGGATATTTGGACCACTGGCTGGCCTTCGTTCGAAACGGGTATATGTTCACGTAAAAACTAAAGAGAAGCGTTCTCAGAAACTTCTGAGTGATGATTGCATTCAAGTCACACAGTTGAACCCTCCTTTTGATTGAGCAGTTTTGAAACTGTCTTTTTGTAGAATCTGTAAGTGGATGCGTGGACCTCTTTGAAGATTTCTTTGGAAACGGGAATATTTCCACAGAAAAACTAAACTGAAGCATTCTCAGAAACTGCTTTGTGATGTTTGTGTTCGAGCCACAGAGTTTAACATTGCTTTTCATAGAGCAGTTTTGAAATATTCTTTTGGCAGAATCTGCAAGTGGACATTTGGAGTGCTTTCAGGCCTGTGGTGGAAAAGGCCTGAAAGCCTTTTCCTTTATCTTCACAGAAAGACGAGAGAGAAGCATTGTCAGAAACTTCTTTTTGATGATTGCATTCAACTCACAGAGTTGAAGATTCCTTTTGAAACAGCAGTTTCGAAACACTCTTTCTGTGGGATCCGCAAGGGGATATTTGGACCTCTTTGAAGGTTTCGTTGGAAACGGGATAATCTTCACCTAAAAGCTAAACGGAAGCATTCTCAGAAACTTCTTTGGGATGTTTGCATTCACCTCACAGAGTTGAACTTTCCCTTTGATAGCGCAGCTTCGACACACTTTTTCTGCAATGTGCAAGTGGATATTTAGTGGGCTTGGAGGACTGTGGTGGAAAAGGAAATATCTTCTCCTAAAAACGACATAGAAGCATTCTCAAGAACTGCTCTGTGATGATTGCATTCAACTCCCAGAGTTGAACATTCCTTTTGATAGAGCAGTTTGCAAACACTCTTTTTGTAGAATCTGCAAGTGGAGATTTGGACCGCTTTGAGGCCTGTGGTAGTAAAGGAAAGAACTTCATATAAAAACTAGACGGTAGCACTCTCAGAAAATTCTTTGTGACGATGGAGTTTAACTCAGAGAGCTGAACATTCGTTATGATGGAGCAGTTTCCAAACACACGTTTTGCAGAATCTGCAAGGGGATATTTGGACCTCTCTGAGGATTTCGTTGCAAACGGGATCAACTTCCCATAACTGAACGGAAGCAAACTCAGAACATTCTTTGTGATGTTTGTATTCAACTCACAGAGTTGAACCTTCCTTTGATAGTTCAGGTTTGCAACACCCTTGTAGTAGAATCTGCAAGTGTATATTTTGACCACTTTGTAGCCTTCGTTTGAAACGTCTATATCTTCACATTAAACCTAGACAGAAGCATTCTCAGAAAGTTTTCTGCGATGACTGCATTCAACTCACAGAGTTGAACAATCCTTTTGATGGAGCAGTTTTGAAACCCTCTTTCTTTGGAATCTGCAAGGGGATATGTGGACCTCTTTGAAGATTTCACTGGAAACGGGATCATCTTCACATAAGAACTAAACAGAAGCATTCTCGGAAACTACTTTGTGATGTTTGTATTCAACTCCCAGAGTTGAACTTTCCTTTTGAAAGAGCAGCTATGAAACACTCTTTTTCGAGAATCTGCAAGTGGATGTTTGGAGGGCTTTGAGTCCTGTGGTGGAAAAGGAAATATCTTCACATAAAAACTAGATAGAAGCATTCTCAGAAACGACTTTGTGAGGAAGGCATTCAACTCATGGAGTTGAACAATCCTATTGATAGAGCAGATTGGAATCACTCTTTTTGTAGAATCTGCAAATGGAGATTTGGACTGCTTTGAGGCCTACGGTAGTATAGGAAGGAACTTCATATAAAAGGCAAACGGAAGCATTCTCAGAATATTCTTTGTGATGATGGAGTTTCACTCACAGAGCTGAACATGCCTTTTGATGGAGCAGTTTCCAAATACACTTTTGGTAGAATCTGCAGGTGGATATTTGGACCTCTCGGAGGATTTCGTTGGAAACGGGAATAATTTCCCATAACTAAACACAAACACTCTGAGAAAGTTCTTCATGATGAATGCATTTAACTCGCAGAGATGAACCTGCCTTTGAGAGTTAAGGTTCGAAACACTCTTTCTGTAGAATCTGCAAGTGGATATTTGGACCACTGGGTGGCCTTCGTTCGAAACGGGTATATGTTCACGTAAAAACTAAAGAGAAGCATTCTCAGAAACTTCTGAGTGATGATTGCATTCAAGTCACACAGTTGAACCCGCCTTTTGTTTGAGCAGTTTTGAAACTGTCTTTTTGTAGAATCTGTAAGTGGATACGTGGACCTCTTTGAAGATTTCTTTGGAAAGGGGAATATTTCCACAGAAAAACTAAACTGAAGCATTCTCAGAAACTGCTTTGTGATGTTTGTGTTCGAGCCACAGAGTTTAACATTGCTTTTCATAGAGCAGTTTTGAAATATTCTTTTGGCAGAATCTGCAAGTGGACATTTGGAGCGCTTTCAGGCCTGTGGTGGAAAAGGCCTGAAAGCCTTTTCCTTTATCTTCACAGAAAGACGAGAGAGAAGCATTGTCAGAAACTTCTTTGTGATGATTGCATTCAACTCACAGAGTTGAAGATTCCTTTTGAAACAGCAGTTTCGAAACACTCTTTCTGTGGGATCCGCAAGGGGATATTTGGACCTCTTTGAAGATTTCGTTGGAAACGGGATAATCTTCACCTAAAAGCTAAACGGAAGCATTCTCAGAAACTTCTTTGGGATGTTTGCATTCACCTCACAGAGTTGAACTTTCCCTTTGATAGCGCAGCTTCGACACACTTTTTCTACAATGTGCAAGTGGATATTTAGCGGGCTTGGAGGACTGTGTTGGAAAAGGAAATATCTTCTCCTAAAAACGACATAGAAGCATTCTCAGAAACTGCTCTGTGATGATTGCATTCAACTCCCAGAGTTGAACATTCCTTTTGATAGAGCAGTTTGCAAACACTCTTTTTGTAGAATCTGCAAGTGGAGATTTGGACCGCTTTGAGGCCTGTGGTAGTAAAGGAAAGAACTTCATGTAAAAACTAGACGGTAGCACCCTCAGAAAATTCTTTGTGACGATGGAGTTTAACTCAGAGAGCTGAACATTCGTTATGATGGAGCAGTTTCCAAACACACGTTTTGTAGAATCTGCAAGGGGATATTTGGACCTCTCTGAGGATTTCGTTGGAAACGGGATCAACTTCCCATAACTGAACGGAAGCAAACTCAGAACATTCTTTGTGATGTTTGTATTCAACTCACAGAGTTGAACCTTCCTTTGATAGTTCAGGTTTGCATCACCCTTGTAGTAGAATCTGCAAGTGTATATTTTGACCACTTTGTAGCCTTCGTTTGAAACGTCTATATCTTCACATCAAACCTAGACAGAAGCATTCTCAGAAAGTTTTCTGCGATGACTGCATTCAACTCACAGAGTTGAACAATCCTTCTGATGGAGCAGTTTTGAAACCCTCTTTCTTTGGAATCTGCAAGGGGATATGTGGACCTCTTTGAAGATTTCACTGGAAACGGGATCATCTTCACATAAAAACTAAACAGAAGCATTCTCGGAAACTACTTTGTGATGTTTGTATTCAACTCAAAGAGTTGAACTTTCCTTTTGAAAGAGCAGCTATGAAACACTCTTTTTCGAGAATCTGCAAGTGGACGTTTGGAGGGCTTTGAGGCCTGTGGTGGAAAAGGAAATATCTTCACACAAAAACCAGATAGAAGCATTCTCAGAAACTACTTTGTGAGGATGGCATTCAACTCATGGAGTTGAACAATCCTATTGATAGAGCAGATTGGAATCACTCTTTTTATAGAATCTGCAAATGGAGATTTGGACTGCTTTGAGGCCTACGGTAGTACAGGAAGGAACTTCATATAAAAGGCAAACGGAAGCATTCTCAGAATATTCTTTGTGATGATGGAGTTTCACTCACAGAGCTGAACATGCCTTTTGATTGAGCAGTTTCCAAATACACTTTTGGTAGAATCTGCAGGTGGATATTTGGAGCTCTCTGAGGATTTCGTTGGAAACGGGAATAATTTCCCATAACTAAACACAAACACTCTGAGAAAGTTCTTCATGATGAATGCTTTTAACTCGCAGAGATGAACCTGCCTTTGAGAGTTCAGGTTCGAAACACTCTTTCTGTAGAATCTGCAAGTGGATATTTGGACCACTGGGTGGCCTTCGTTCGAAACGGGTATATGTTCACGTAAAAACTAAAGAGAAGCATTCTCAGAAACTTCTGAGTGATGATTGCATTCAAGTCACACAGTTGAACCCTCCTTTTGATGGAGCAGTTTTGAAACTGTCTTTTTGTAGAATCTGTAAGTGGATGCGTGGACCTCTTTGAAGATTTCTTTGGAAACGGGAATATTTCCACAGAAAAACTAAACTGAAGCATTCTCAGAAACCGCTTTGTGATGTTTGTGTTCGAGCCACAGAGTTTAACATTGCTTTTCATAGAGCAGTTTTGAAATATTCTTTTCGCAGAATCTGCAAGTGGACATTTGGAGCGCTTTCAGGCCTGTGGGTGGAAAAGGCCTGAAAGCCTTTTCCTTTATCTTCACAGAAAGACGAGAGAGAAGCATTGTCAGAAACTTCTTTGTGATGATTGCATTCAACTCACAGAGTTGAAGATTCCTTTTGAAACAGCAGTTTCGAAACACTCTTTCTGTGGGATCCGCAAGGGGATATTTGGACCTCTTTGAAGGTTTCGTTGGAAACGGGATAATCTTCACCTAAAAGCTAAACGGAAGCACTCTCAGAAACTTCTTTGGGATGTTTGCATTCACCTCTCAGAGTTGAACTTTCCCTTTGATAGCGCAGCTTTGACACACTTTTTCTACAATGTGCAAGTGGATATTTAGCGGGCTTGGAGGACTGTGTTGGAAAAGGAAATATCTTCTCCTAAAAACGACATAGAAGCATTCTCAGAAACTGCTCTGTGATGATTGCATTCAACTCCCAGAGTTGAACATTCCTTTTGATAGAGCAGTTCGCAAACACTCTTTTTGTAGAATCTGCAAGTGGAGATTTGGACCGCTTTGAGGCCTGTGGTAGTGAAGGAAAGAACTTCATATAAAAACCAGACGGTAGCACTCTCAGAAAATTCTTTGTGACGATGGAGTTTAACTCAGGGAGCTGAACATTCGTTATGATGGAGCAGTTTCCAAACACACGTTTTGTAGAATCTGCAAGGGGATATTTGGACCTCTCTGAGGATTTCGTTGGAAACGGGATCAACTTCCCATAACTGAACGGAAGCAAACTCAGAACATTCTTTGCGATGTTTGTATTCAACCCACAGAGTTGAACCTTCCTTTGATAGTTCAGGTTTGCAACACCCTTGTAGTAGAATCTGTAAGTGTATATTTTGACCACTTTGTAGCCTTCGTTTTAAACGTCTATAACTTCACATCAAACCTAGACAGAAGCATTCTCAGAAAGTTTTCTGCGATGACTGCATTCAACTCACAGAGTTGAACAATCCTTTTGATGGAGCAGTTTTGAAACCCTGTTTCTTTGGAATCTGCAAGGGGATATGTGGACCTCTTTGAAGATTTCACTGGAAACGGGATCATCTTCACATAAGAACTAAACAGAAGCATTCTCGGAAACTACTTTGTGATGTTTGTATTCAACTCCCAGAGTTGAACTTTCCTTTTGAAAGAGCAGCTATGAAACACTCTTTTTCGAGAATCTGCAAGTGGACGTTTGGAGGGCTTTGAGGCCTGTGGTGGAAAAGGAAATATCTTCACATAAAAACTAGATAGAAGCATTCTCAGAAACGACTTTGTGAGGATGGCATTCAACTCATGGAGTTGAACAATCCTATTGATAGAGCACATTGGAATCACTCTTTTTGTAGAATCTGCAAATGGAGATTTGGACTGCTTTGAGGCCTACGGTAGTATAGGAAGGAACTTCATATAAAAGGCAAACGGAAGCATTCTCAGAATATTCTTTGTGATGATGGAGTTTCACTCACAGAGCTGAACATGCCTTTTGATAGAGCAGTTTCCAAATACACTTTTGGTAGAATCTGCAGGTGGATATTTGGACCTCTCTGAGGATTTCGTTGGAAACGGGAATAATTTCCCATAACTAAACACAAACACGCTGAGAAAGTTCTTCATGATGAATGCATTGAACTCGCAGAGATGAACCTGCCTCTGAGAGTTCAGGTTCGAAACACTCTTTCTGTAGAATCTGCAAGTGGATATTTGGACCACTGGCTGGCCTTCGTTCGAAACAGGTATATGTTCACGTAAAAACTAAAGAGAAGCGTTCTCAGAAACTTCTGAGTGATGATTGCATTCAAGTCACACAGTTGAACCCTCCTTTTGATTGAGCAGTTTTGAAACTGTCTTTTTGTACAATCTGTAAGTGGATGCGTGGACCTCTTTGAAGATTTCTTTGGAAACGGGAATATTTCCACAGAAAAACTAAACTGAAGCATTCTCAGAAACTGCTTTGTGATGTTTGTGTTCGAGCCACAGAGTTTAACATTGCTTTTCATAGAGCAGTTTTGAAATATTCTTTTGGCAGAATCTGCAAGTGGACATTTGGAGTGCTTTCAGGCCTGTGGTGGAAAAGGCCTGAAAGCCTTTTCCTTTATCTTCACAGAAAGACGAGAGAGAAGCATTGTCAGAAACTTCTTTGTGATCATTGCATTCAACTCACAGAGTTGAAGATTCCTTTTGAAACAGCAGTTTCGAAACACTCTTTCTGTGGGATCCGCAAGGGGATATTTGGACCTCTTTGAAGATTTCGTTGGAAACGGGATAATCTTCACCTAAAAGCTAAACGGAAGCATTCTCAGAAACTTCTTTGGGATGTTTGCATTCACCTCACAGAGTTGAACTTTCCCTTTGATAGCGCAGCTTTGACACACTTTTTCTACAATGTGCAAGTGGCTATTTAGCGGGCTAGGAGGACTGTGTTGGAAAAGGAAATATCTTCTCCTAAAAACGACATAGAAGCATTCTCAGAAACTGCTCTGTGATGATTGCATTCAACTCCCAGAGTTGAACATTCCTTTTGATAGAGCAGTTTGCAAACACTCTTTTTGTAGAATCTGCAAGTGGAGATTTGGACCGCTTTGAGGCCTGTGGTAGTGAAGGAAAGAACTTCATATAAAAACCAGACGGTAGCACTCTCAGAAAATTCTTTGTGACGATGGAGTTTAACTCAGGGAGCTGAACATTCGTTATGATGGAGCAGTTTCCAAACACACGTTTTGTAGAATCTGCGAGGGGATATTTGGACCTCTCTGAGGATTTCGTTGGAAACGGGATCAACTTCCCATAACTGAACGGAAGCAAACTCAGAACATTCTTTGTGATGTTTGTATTCAACTCACAGAGTTGAACCTTCCTTTGATAGTTCAGGTTTGCAACACCCTTGTAGTAGAATCTGCAAGTGTATATTTTGACCACTTTGTAGCCTTCGTTTGAAACGTCTATATCTTCACATCAAACCTAGACAGAAGCATTCTCAGAAAGTTTTCTGCGATGACTGCATTCAACTCACAGAGTTGAACAATCCTTCTGATGGAGCAGTTTTGAAACCCTCTTTCTTTGGAATCTGCAAGGGGATATGTGGACCTCTTTGAAGATTTCACTGGAAACGGGATCATCTTCACATAAAAACTAAACAGAAGCATTCTCGGAAACTACTTTGTGATGTTTGTATTCAACTCCCAGAGTTGAAATTTCCTTTTGAAAGAGCAGCTATGAAACACTCTTTTTCGAGAATCTGCAAGTGGACGTTTGGAGGGCTTTGAGGCCTGTGGTGGAAAAGGAAATATCTTCACATAAAAACTAGATAGAAGCATTCTCAGAAACGACTTTGTGAGGATGGCATTCAACTCATGGAGTTGAACAATCCTATTGATAGAGCAGATTGGAATCACTCTTTTTGTAGAATCTGCAAATGGAGATTTGGACTGCTTTGAGGCCTACGGTCGTATAGGAAGGAACTTCATATAAAAGGCAAACGGAAGCATTCTCAGAATATTCTTTGTGATGATGGAGTTTCACTCACAGAGCTGAACATGCCTTTTGATGGAGCAGTTTCCAAATACACTTTTGGTAGAATCTGCAGGTGGATATTTGGACCTCTCTGAGGATTTCGTTGGAAACGGGAATAATTTCCCATAACTAAATACAAACACGCTGAGAAAGTTCTTCATGATGAATGCATTTAACTCGCAGAGATGAACCTGCCTTTGAGAGTTCAGGTTCGAAACACTCTTTCTGTAGAATCTGCAAGTGGATATTTGGACCACTGGGTGGCCTTCATTCGAAACGGGTATATGTTCACGTAAAAACTAAAGAGAAGCGTTCTCAGAAACTTCTGAGTGATGATTGCATTCAAGTCACAGAGTTGAACCCTCGTTTTGATTGAGCAGTTTTGAAACTGTCTATTTGTAGAATCTGTAAGTGGATGCGTGGACCTCTTTGAAGATTTCTTTGGAAACGGGAATATTTCCACAGAAAAACTAAACTGAAGCATTCTTAGAAACTGCTTTGTGATGTTTGTGTTCGAGCCACAGAGTTTAACATTGCTTTTCATAGAGCAGTTTTGAAATATTCTTTTGGCAGAATCTGCAAGTGGACATTTGGAGCGCTTTCAGGCCTGTGGTGGAAAAGGCCTGAAAGCCTTTTCCTTTATCTTCACAGAAAGACGAGAGAGAAGCATTGTCAGAAACTTCTTTGTGATGATTGCATTCAACTCACAGAGTTGAAGATTCCTTTTGAAACAGCAGTTTCGAAACACTCTTTCTGTGGGATCCGCAAGGGGATATTTGGACCTCTTTGAAGATTTCGTTGGAAACGGGATAATCTTCACTTAAAGCTAAACGGAAGCATTCTCAGAAACTTCTTTGGGATGTTTGCATTCACCTCACAGAGTTGAACTTTCCCTTTGATAGCGCAGCTTCGACACACTTTTTCTACAATGTGCAAGTGGATATTTAGCGGGCTTGGAGGACTGTGTTGGAAAAGGAAATATCTTCTCCTAAAAACGACATAGAAGCATTCTCAGAAACTGCTCTGTGATGATTGCATTCAACTCCCAGAGTTGAACATTCCTTTTGATAGAGCAGTTTGCAAACACTCTTTTTGTAGAATCTGCAAGTGGAGATTTGGACCGCTTTGAGGCCTGTGGTAGTAAAGGAAAGAACTTCCTATAAAAACTAGACGGTAGCACTCTCAGAAAATTCTTTGTGACGATGGAGTTTAACTTAGAGAGCTGAACATTCGTTATGATGGAGCAGTTTCCAAACACACGTTTTGTAGAATCTGCAAGGGGATATTTGGACCTCTCTGAGGATTTCGTTGGAAACGGGATCAACTTCCCATAACTGAACGGAAGCAAACTCAGAACATTCTTTGTGATGTTTGTATTCAACTCACAGAGTTGAACCTTCCTTTGATTGTTCAGGTTTGCAACACCCTTGTAGTAGAATCTGCAAGTGTATATTTTGACCACTTTGTAGCCTTCGTTTGAAACGTCTATATCTTCACCTCAAACCTAGACAGAAGCATTCTCAGAAAGTTTTCTGCGATGACTGCATTCAACTCACAGAGTTGAACAATCCTTTTGATGGAGCAGTTTTGAAACCCTCTTTCTTTGGAATCTGCAAGGGGATATGTGGACCTCTTTGAAGATTTCACTGGAAACGGGATCATCTTCACATAAGAACTAAACAGAAGCATTCTCGGAAACGACTTTGTGATGTTTGTATTCAACTCCCAGAGTTGAACATTCCTTTTGAAAGAGCAGCTATGAAACACTCTTTTTCGAGAATCTGCAAGTGGACGTTTGGAGGGCTTTGAGGCCTGTGGTGGAAAAGGAAATATCTTCACATAAAAACTAGATAGAAGCATTCTCAGAAACGACTTTGTGAGGATGGCATTCAACTCATGGAGTTGAACAATCCTATTGATAGAGCAGATTGGAATCACTCTTTTTGTAGAATCTGCAAATGGAGATTTGGACTGCTTTGAGGCCTACGGTAGTATAGGAAGGAACTTCATATAAAAGGCAAACGGAAGCATTCTCAGAATATTCTTTGTGATGATGGAGTTTCACTCACAGAGCTGAACATGCCTTTTGATGGAGCAGTTTCCAAATACACTTTTGGTAGAATCTGCAGGTGGATATTTGGAGCTCTCTGAGGATTTCGTTGGAAACGGGAATAATTTCCCATAACTAAACACAAACACGCTGAGAAAGTTCTTCATGTTGAATGCATTGAACTCGCAGAGATGAACCTGCCTTTGAGAGTTCAGGTTCGAAACACTCTTTCTGTAGAATCTGCAAGTGGATATTTGGACCACTGGGTGGCCTTCGTTCGAAACGGGTATATGTTCACGTAAAAACTAAAGAGAAGCGTTCTCAGAAACTTCTGAGTGATGATTGCATTCAAGTCACACGGTTGAACCCTCCTTTTGATTGAGCAGTTTTGAAACTGTCTTTTTGTAGAATCTGTAAGTGGATGCGTGGACCTCTTTGAAGATTTCTTTCGAAACGGGAATATTTCCACAGAAAAACTAAACTGAAACATTCTCAGAAACCGCTTTGTGATGTTTGTGTTCCAGCCACAGAGTTTAACATTGCTTTTCATAGAGCAGTTTTGAAATATTCTTTTCGCAGAATCTGCAAGTGGACATTTGGAGCGCTTTCAGGCCTGTGGTGGAAAAGGCCTGAAAGCCTTTTCCTTTATCTTCACAGAAAGACGAGAGAGAAGCATTCTCAGAAACTTCTTTGGGATGTTTGCATTCACCTCACAGAGTTGAACTTTCCCTTTGATAGCGCAGCTTTGACACACTTTTTCTACAATGTGCAAGTGGCTATTTAGCGGGCTTGGAGGACTGTGTTGGAAAAGGAAATATCTTCTCCTAAAAACGACATAGAAGCATTCTCAGAAACTGCTCTGTGATGATTGCATTCAACTCCCAGAGTTGAACATTCCTTTTGATAGAGCAGTTTGCAAACACTCTTTTTGTAGAATCTGCAAGTGGAGATTTGGACCGCTTTGAGGCCTGTGGTAGTGAAGGAAAGAACTTCATATAAAAACCAGACGGTAGCACTCTCAGAAAATTCTTTGTGACGATGGAGTTTAACTCAGGGAGCTGAACATTCGTTATGATGGAGCAGTTTCCAAACACACGTTTTGTAGAATCTGCGAGGGGATATTTGGACCTCTCTGAGGATTTCGTTGGAAACGGGATCAACTTCCCATAACTGAACGGAAGCAAACTCAGAACATTCTTTGTGATGTTTGTATTCAACTCACAGAGTTGAACCTTCCTTTGATAGTTCAGGTTTGCAACACCCTTGTAGTAGAATCTGCAAGTGTATATTTTGACCACTTTGTAGCCTTCATTTGAAACGTCTATATCTTCACATCAAACCTAGACAGAAGCATTCTCAGAAAGTTTTCTGCGATGACTGCATTCAACTCACAGAGTTGAACAATCCTTTTGATGGAGCAGTTTTGAAACCCTCTTTCTTTGGAATCTGCAAGGGGATATGTGGACCTCTTTGAAGATTTCACTGGAAACGGGATCATCTTCACATAAGAACTAAACAGAAGCATTCTCGGAAACTACTTTGTGATGTTTGTATTCAACTCCCAGAGTTGAACTTTCCTTTTGAAAGAGCAGCTATGAAACACTCTTTTTCGAGAATCTGCAAGTGGACGTTTGGAGGGCTTTGAGGCCTGTGGTGGAAAAGGAAATATCTTCACATAAAAACTAGATAGAAGCATTCTCAGAAACTACTTTGTGACGATGGCATTCAACTCATGGAGTTGAACAATCCTATTGATAGAGCAGATTGGAATCACTCTTTTTGTAGAATCTGCAAATGGAGATTTGGACTGCTTTGAGGCCTACGGTAGTATGGGAAGGAACTTCATATAAAAGGCAAACGGAAGCATTCTCAGAATATTCTTTGTGATGATGGAGTTTCACTCACAGAGCTGAACATGCCTTTTGATGGAGCAGTTTCCAAATACACTTTTGGTAGAATCTGCAGGTGGATATTTGGAGCTCTCTGAGGATTTCGTTGGAAACGGGAATAATTTCCCATAACTAAACACAAACACGCTGAGAACGTTCTTCATGATGAATGCATTGAACTCGCAGAGATGAACCTGCCTTTGAGAGTTCAGGTTCGAAACACTCTTTCTGTAGAATCTGCAAGTGGATATTTGGACCACTGGCTGGCCTTCGTTCGAAACGGGTATATGTTCACGTAAAAACTAAAGAGAAGCGTTCTTAGAAACTTCTGAGTGATGATTGCATTCAAGTCACACAGTTGAACCCTCCTTTTGATTGAGCAGTTTTGAAACTGTCTTTTTGTAGAATCTGTAAGTGGATGCGTGGACCTCTTTGAAGATTTCTTTGGAAACGGGAATATTTCCACAGAAAAACTAAACTGAAGCATTCTCAGAAACTGCTTTGTGATGTTTGTGTTCGAGCCACAGAGTTTAACATTGCTTTTCATAGAGCAGTTTTGAAATATTCTTTTGGCAGAATCTGCAAGTGGACATTTGGAGCGCTTTCAGGCCTGTGGTGGAAAAGGCCTGAAAGCCTTTTCCTTTATCTTCACAGAAAGACGAGAGAGAAGCATTGTCAGAAACTTCTTTGTGATGATTGCATTCAACTCACAGAGTTGAAGATTCCTTTTGAAACAGCTGTTTCGAAACACTCTTTCTGTGGGATCCGCAAGGGGATATTTGGACCTCTTTGAAGGTTTTCGTTGGAAACGGGATAATCTTCACCTAAAAGCTAAACGGAAGCATTCTCAGAAACTTCTTTGGGATGTTTGCATTCACCTCACAGAGTTGAACTTTCCCTTTGATAGCGCAGCTTTGACACACGTTTTCTACAATGTGCAAGTGGCTATTTAGCGGGCTTGGAGGACTGTGTTGGAAAAGGAAATATCTTCTCCTAAAAACGACATAGAAGCATTCTCAGAAACTGCTCTGTGATGATTGCATTCAACTCCCAGAGTTGAACATTCCTTTTGATAGAGCAGTTTGCAAACACTCTTTTTGTAGAATCTGCAAGTGGAGATTTGGACCGCTTTGAGGCCTGTGGTAGTGAAGGAAAGAACTTCATATAAAAACCAGACGGTAGCACTCTCAGAAAATTCTTTGTGACGATGGAGTTTAACTCAGGGAGCTGGACATTCGTTATGATGGAGCAGTTTCCAAACACACGTTTTGTAGAATCTGCAAGGGGATATTTGGACCTCTCTGAGGATTTCGTTGGAAACGGGATCAACTTCCCATAACTGAACGGAAGCAAACTCAGAACATTCTTTGTGATGTTTGTATTCAACTCACAGAGTTGAACCTTCCTTTGATAGTTCAGGTTTGCAACACCCTTGTAGTAGAATCTGCAAGTGTATATTTTGACCACTTTGTAGCCTTCATTTGAAACGTCTATATCTTCACATCAAACCTAGACAGAAGCATTCTCAGAAAGTTTTCTGCGATGACTGCATTCAACTCACAGAGTTGAACAATCCTTCTGATGGAGCAGTTTTGAAACCCTCTTTCTTTGGAATCTGCAAGGGGATATGTGGACCTCTTTGAAGATTTCACTGGAAACGGGATCATCTTCACATAAAAACTAAACAGAAAGCATTCTCGGAAACTATTTTGTGATGTTTGCATTCAACTCCCAGAGTTGAACTTTCCTTTTGAAAGAGCAGCTATGAAACACTCTTTTTCGAGAATCTGCAAGTGGACGTTTGGAGGGCTTTGAGGCCTGTGGTGGAAAAGGAAATATCTTCACACAAAAACCAGATAGAAGCATTCTCAGAAACTACTTTGTGAGGATGGCATTCAACTCATGGAATTGAACAATCCTATTGATAGAGCAGATTGGAATCACTCTTTTCATAGAATCTGCAAATGGAGATTTGGACTGCTTTGAGGCCTACGGTAGTACAGGAAGGAACTTCATATAAAAGGCAAACGGAAGCATTCTCAGAATATTCTTTGTGATGATGGAGTTTCACTCACAGAGGTGAACATGCCTTTTGATGGAGCAGTTTCCAAATACACTTTTGGTAGAATCTGCAGGTGGATATTTGGAGCTCTCTGAGGATTTCGTTGGAAACGGGAATAATTTCCCATAACTAAACACAAACACTCTGAGAAAGTTCTTCATGATGAATGCATTTAACTCGCAGAGATGAACCTGCCTTTGAGAGTTCAGGTTCGAAACACTCTTTCTGTAGAATCTGCAAGTGGATATTTGGACCACTGGGTGGCCTTCGTTCGAAACGGGTATATGTTCACGTAAAAACTAAAGAGAAGCATTCTCAGAAACTTCTGAGTGATGATTGCATTCAAGTCACACAGTTGAACCCTCCTTTTGATGGAGCAGTTTTGAAACTGTCTTTTTGTAGAATCTGTAAGTGGATACGTGGACCTCTTTGAAGATTTCTTTGGAAACGGGAATATTTCCACAGAAAAACTAAACTGAAGCATTCTCAGAAACTGCTTTGTGATGTTTGTGTTCGAGCCACAGAGTTTAACATTGCTTTTCATAGAGCAGTTTTGAAATATTCTTTTCGCAGAATCTGCAAGTGGACATTTGGAGCGCTTTCAGGCCTGTGGTGGCAAAGGCCTGAAAGCCTTTTCCTTTATCTTCACAGAAAGACGAGAGAGAAGCATTGTCAGAAACTTCTTTGTGATGATTGCATTCAACTCACAGAGTTGAAGATTCCTTTTGAAACAGCAGTTTCGAAACACTCTTTCTGTGGGATCCGCAAGGGGATATTTGGACCTCTTTGAAGGTTTCGTTGGAAACGGGATAATCTTCACCTAAAAGCTAAACGGAAGCATTCTCAGAAACTTCTTTGGGATGTTTGCATTCACCTCACAGAGTTGAACTTTCCCTTTGATAGCGCAGCTTTGACACACTTTTTCTACAATGTGCAAGTGGCTATTTAGCGGGCTTGGAGGACTGTGTTGGAAAAGGAAATATCTTCTCCTAAAAACGACATAGAAGCATTCTCAGAAACTGCTCTGTGATGATTGCATTCAACTCCCAGAGTTGAACATTCCTTTTGATAGAGCAGTTTGCAAACACTCTTTTTGTAGAATCTGCAAGTGGAGATTTGGACCGCTTTGAGGCCTGTGGTAGTGAAGGAAAGAACTTCATATAAAAACCAGACGGTAGCACTCTCAGAAAATTCTTTGTGACGATGGAGTTTAACTCAGGGAGCTGAACATTCGTTATGATGGAGCAGTTTCCAAACACACGTTTTGTAGAATCTGCGAGGGGATATTTGGACCTCTCTGAGGATTTCGTTGGAAACGGGATCAACTTCCCATAACTGAACGGAAGCAAACTCAGAACATTCTTTGTGATGTTTGTATTCAATTCACAGAGTTGAACCTTCCTTTGATAGTTCAGGTTTGCAACACCCTTGTAGTAGAATCTGCAAGTGTATATTTTGACCACTTTGTAGCCTTCGTTTGAAACGTCTATATCTTCACATCAAACCTAGACAGAAGCATTCTCAGAAAGTTTTCTACGATGACTGCATTCAACTCACAGAGTTGAACAATCCTTCTGATGGAGCAGTTTTTAAACCCTCTTTCTTTGGAATCTGCAAGGGGATATGTGGACCTCTTTGAAGATTTCACTGGAAACGGGATCATCTTCACATAAAAACTAAACAGAAGCATTCTCGGAAACTATTTTGTGATGTTTGTATTCAACTCCCAGAGTTGAACTTTCCTTTTGAAAGAGCAGCTATGAAACACTCTTTTTCTAGAATCTGCAAGTGGACGTTTGGAGGGCTTTGAGGCCTGTGGTGGAAAAGGAAATATCTTCACACAAAAACCAGATAGAAGCATTCTCAGAAACTACTTTGTGAGGATGGCATTCAACTCATGGAGTTGAACAATCCTATTGATAGAGCAGATTGGAATCACTCTTTTTGTAGAATCTGCAAATGGAGATTTGGACTGCTTTGAGGCCTACAGTAGTACAGGAAGGAACTTCATATAAAAGGCAAACGGAAGCATTCTCAGAATATTCTTTGTGATGATGGAGTTTCACTCACAGAGCTGAACATGCCTTTTGATGGAGCAGTTTCCAAATACACTTTTGGTAGAATCTGCAGGTGGATATTTGGAGCTCTCTGAGGATTTCGTTGGAAACGGGAATAATTTCCCATAACTAAACACAAACACGCTGAGAAAGTTCTTCATGATGAATGCATTTAACTCGCAGAGATGAACCTGCCTTTGAGAGTTCAGGTTCGAAACACTCCTTCTGTAGAATCTGCAAGTGGATATTTGGACCACTGGCTGGCCTTCGTTCGAAACGGGTATATGTTCACGTAAAAACTAAAGAGAAGCATTCTCAGAAACTTCTGAGTGATGATTGCATTCAAGTCACACAGTTGAACCCTCCTTTTGATGGAGCAGTTTTGAAACTGTCTTTTTGTAGAATCTGTAAGTGGATACGTGGACCTCTTTGAAGATTTCTTTGGAAACGGGAATATTTCCACAGAAAAACTAAACTGAAGCATTCTCAGAAACCGCTTTGTGATGTTTGTGTTCGAGCCACAGAGTTTAACATTGCTTTTCACAAAGCAGTTTTGAAATATTCTTTTCGCAGAATCTGCAAGTGGACATTTGGAGCGCTTTCAGGCCTGTGGTGGCAAAGGCCTGAAAGCATTTATTTATCTTCACAGAAAGACGAGAGAGAAGAAGCATTGTCAGAAACTTCTTTGTGATGATTGCATTCAACTCACAGAGTTGAAGATTCCTTTTGAAACAGCAGTTTCGAAACACTCTTTCTGTGGGATCCGCAAGGGGATATTTGGACTTCTTTGAAGGTTTCGTTGGAAACGGGATAATCTTCACCTAAAAGCTAAACGGAAGCATTCTCAGAAACTTCTTTGGGATGTTTGCATTCACCTCACAGAGTTGAACTTTCCCTTTGATAGCGCAGCTTTGACACACTTTTTCTACAATGTGCAAGTGGCTATTTAGCGGGCTTGGAGGACTGTGTTGGAAAAGGAAATATCTTCTCCTAAAAACGACATAGAAGCATTCTCAGAAACTGCTCTGTGATGATTGCATTCAACTCCCAGAGTTGAACATTCCTTTTGATAGAGCAGTTTGCAAACACTCTTTTTGTAGAATCTGCAAGTGGAGATTTGGACCGCTTTGAGGTCTGTGGTAGTGAAGGAAAGAACTTCATATAAAAACCAGACGGCAGCACTCTCAGAAAATTCTTTGTGACAATGGAGTTTAACTCAGGGAGCTGAACATTCGTTATGATGGAGCAGTTTCCAAACACACGTTTTGTAGAATCTGCAAGGGGATATTTGGACCTCTCTGAGGATTTCGTTGGAAACGGGATCAACTTCCCATAACTGAACGGAAGCAAACTCAGAACATTCTTTGTGATGTTTGTATTCAACTCACAGAGTTGAACCTTCCTTTGATAGTTCAGGTTTGCAACACCCTTGTAGTAGAATCTGCAAGTGTATATTTTGACCACTTTGTAGCCTTCGTTTGAAACGTCTATATCTTCACATCAAACCTAGACAGAAGCATTCTCAGAAAGTTTTCTGCGATGACTGCATTCAACTCACAGAGTTGAACAATCCTTCTGATGGAGCAGTTTTGAAACCCTCTTTCTTTGGAATCTGCAAGGGGATATGTGGACCTCTTTGAAGATTTCACTGGAAACGGGATCATCTTCACATAAAAACTAAACAGAAGCATTCTCGGAAACTACTTTGTGATGTTTGTATTCAACTCCCAGAGTTGAACTTTCCTTTTGAAAGAGCAGCTATGAAACACTCTTTTTCGAGAATCTGCAAGTGGACGTTTGGAGGGCTTAGAGGCCTGTGGTGGAAAAGGAAATATCTTCACATAAAAACTAGATAGAAGCATTCTCAGAAACTACTTTGTGAGGATGGCATTCAACTCATGGAGTTGAACAATCCTATTGATAGAGCAGATTGGAATCACTCTTTTTGTAGAATCTGCAAATGGAGATTTGGACTGCTTTGAGGCCTACGGTCGTATAGGAAGGAACTTCATATAAAAGGCAAACGGAAGCATTCTCAGAATATTCTTTGTGATGATGGAGTTTCACTCACAGAGCTGAACATGCCTTTTGATGGAGCAGTTTCCAAATACACTTTTGGTAGAATCTGCAGGTGGATATTTGGAGCTCTCTGAGGATTTCGTTGGAAACGGGAATAATTTCCCATAACTAAACACAAACACTCTGAGAAAGTTCTTCATGATGAATGCATTTAACTCGCAGAGATGAACCTGCCTTTGAGAGTTCAGGTTTGAAACACTCTTTCCGTAGAATCTGCAAGTGGATATTTGGACCACTGGGTGGCCTTCGTTCGAAACGGGTATATGTTCACGTAAAAACTAAAGAGAAGCATTCTCAGAAACTTGTGAGTGATGATTGCATTCAAGTCACACAGTAGAACCCTCCTTTTGATGGAGCAGTTTTGAAACTGTCTTTTTGTAGAATCTGTAAGTGGATACGTGGACCTCTTTGAAGATTTCTTTGGAAACGGGAATATTTCCACAGAAAAACTAAACTGAAGCATTCTCAGAAACTGCTTTGTGATGTTTGTGTTCGAGCCACAGAGTTTAACATTGCTTTTCATAGAGCAGTTTTGCAATATTCTTTTCACAGAATCTGCAAGTGGACATTTGGAGCGCTTTCAGGCCTGTGGTGGAAAAGGCCTGAAAGCCTTTTCCTTTATCTTCACAGAAAGACGAGAGAGAAGCATTGTCAGAAACTTCTTTGTGATGATTGCATTCAACTCACAGAGTTGAAGATTCCTTTTGAAACAGCAGTTTCGAAACACTCTTTCTGTGGGATCCGCAAGGGGATATTTGGACCTACTTTGAAGGTTTCGTTGGAAACGGGATAATCTTCACCTAAAAGCTAAACGGAAGCATTCTCAGAAACTTCTTTGGGATGTTTGCATTCACCTCACAGAGTTGAACTTTCCCTTTGATAGCGCAGCTTCGACACACTTTTTCTACAATGTGCAAGTGGCTATTTAGCGGGCTTGGAGGACTGTGTTGGAAAAGGAAATATCTTCTCCTAAAAACGACATAGAAGCATTCTCAGAAACTGCTCTGTGATGATTGCATTCAACTCCCAGAGTTGAACATTCCTTTTGATAGAGCAGTTTGCAAACACTCTTTTTGTAGAATCTGCAAGTGGGGATTTGGACCGCTTTGAGGCCTGTGGTAGTGAAGGAAAGAACTTCATATAAAAACCAGACGGTAGCACTCTCAGAAAATTCTTTGTGACGATGGAGTTTAACTCAGGGAGCTGAACATTCGTTATGATGGAGCAGTTTCCAAACAAACGTTTTGTAGAATCTGCGAGGGGATATTTGGACCTCTCTGAGGATTTCGTTGGAAACGGGATCAACTTCCCATAACTGAACGGAAGCAAACTCAGAACATTCTTTGTGATGTTTGTATTCAATTCACAGAGTTGAACCTTCCTTTGATAGTTCAGGTTTGCAACACCCTTGTAGTAGAATCTGCAAGTGTATATTTTGACCACTTTGTAGCCTTCGTTTGAAACGTCTATATCTTCACATCAAACCTAGACAGAAGCATTCTCAGAAAGTTTTCTGCGATGACTGCATTCAACTCACAGAGTTGAACAATCCTTCTGATGGAGCAGTTTTTAAACCCCCTTTCTTTGGAATCTGCAAGGGGATATGTGGACCTCTTTGAAGATTTCACTGGAAACGGGATCATCTTCACATAAAAACTAAACAGAAGCATTCTCGGAAACTATTTTGTGATGTTTGTATTCAACTCCCAGAGTTGAACTTTCCTTTTGAAAGAGCAGCTATGAAACACTCTTTTTCGAGAATCTGCAAGTGGACGTTTGGAGGGCTTTGAGGCCTGTGGTGGAAAAGGAAATATCTTCACACAAAAACCAGATAGAAGCATTCTCAGAAACTACTTTGTGAGGATGGCATTCAACTCACGGAGTTGAACAATCCTATTGATAGAGCAGATTGGAAACACTCTTTTTGTAGAATCTGTAAATGGAGATTTGGACTGCTTTGAGGCCTACGGTAGTATAGGAAGGAACTTCATATAAAAAGCAAACGGAAGCATTCTCAGAATATTCTTTGTGATGATGGAGTTTAACTCACAGAGCTGAACATGCCTTTTGATGGAGCAGTTTCCAAATACACTTTTAGTAGAATCTGCAAGTGGATATTTGGACCTCTCTGAGGATTTCGTTGGAAATGGGAAAGACTTCCCATGACTAAACACAAACATTCTGAGAAAGTTCTTCATGATGAATGCATTTAACTCACAGTGATGAACCTTCCTTTGAGAGTTCAGGTTTGAAACACTCTTTCTGTAGAATCTGCAAGTGGATATTTGGACAACTGTGTGGCCTTCGTTCGAAACGGGTATATGTTCACGTAAAAACTAAAGAGAAGCGTTCTCAGAAACTTCTGAGTGATGAATGCATTCAAGTCACACAGTTGAACCCTCCTTTTGATTGAGCAGTTTTGAAACTGTCTTTTTGTAGAATCTGTAAGTGGATGCGTGGACCTCTTTGAAGATTTCTTTGGAAACGGGAATATTTCCACAGAAAAACTAAACTGAAGCATTCTCAGAAACTGCTTTGTGATGTTTGTGTTCGAGCCGCAGAGTTTAACATTGCTTTTCATAGAGCAGTTTTGAAATATTCTTTTGGCAGAATCTGCAAGTGGACATTTGGAGCGCTTTCAGGCCTGTGGTGGAAAAGGCCTGAAAGCCTTTTCCTTTATCTTCACAGAAAGACGAGAGAGAAGCATTGTCAGAAACTTCTTTGTGATGATTGCATTCAACTCACAGAGTTGAAGATTCCTTTTGAAACAGCAGTTTCGAAACACTCTTTCTGTGGGATCCGCAAGGGGATATTTGGATCTCTTTGAAGGTTTCGTTGGAAACTGGATAATCGTCACCTAAAAGCTAAACGGAAGCATTCTCAGAAACTTCTTTGGGATGTTTGCATTGACCTCACAGAGTTGAACTTTCCCTTTGATAGCGCAGCTTTGACACACTTTTTCTACAATGTGCAAGTGGCTATTTAGCGGGCTTGGAGGACTGTGTTGGAAAAGGAAATATCTTCTCCTAAAAACGACATAGAAGCATTCTCAGAAACTGCTCTGTGATGATTGCATTCAACTCCCAGAGTTGAACATTCCTTTTGATAGAGCAGTTTGCAAACACTCTTTTTGTAGAATCTGCAAGTGGAGATTTCGACCTCTTTGAGGCCTGTGATAGTGAAGGAAAGAACTTCATATAAAAACCAGACGGTAGCACTCTCAGAAAATTCTTTGTGACGATGGAGTTTAACTCAGGGAGCTGAACATTCGTTATGATGGAGCAGTTTCCAAACACACGTTTTGTAGAATCTGTGAGGGGATATTTGGACCTCTCTGAGGATTTCGTTGGAAACGGGATCAACTTCCCATAACTGAACGGAAGCAAACTCAGAACATTCTTTGTGATGTTTGTATTCAACTCACAGAGTTGAACCTTCCTTTGATAGTTCAGGTTTGCAACACCCTTGTAGTAGAATCTGCAAGTGTATATTTTGACCACTTTGTAGCCTTCGTTTGAAACGTCTATATCTTCACATCAAACCTAGACAGAAGCATTCTCAGAAAGTTTTCTGCGATGACTGCATTCAACTCACAGAGTTGAACAATCCTTCTGATGGAGCAGTTTTGAAACCCTCTTTCTTTGGAATCTGCAAGGGGATATGTGGACCTCTTTGAAGATTTCACTGGAAACGGGATCATCTTCACATAAAAACTAAACAGAAGCATTCTCGGAAACTACTTTGTGATGTTTGTATTCAACTCCCAGAGTTGAACTTTCCTTTTGAAAGAGCAGCTATGAAACACTCTTTTTCGAGAATCTGCAAGTGGACGTTTGGAGGGCTTTGAGGCCTGTGGTGGAAAAGGAAATATCTTCACATAAAAACTAGAATAGAAGCATTCTCAGAAACTACTTTGTGAGGATGGCATTCAACTCATGGAGTTGAACAATCCTATTGATAGAGCAGATTGGAATCACTCTTTTTGTAGAATCTGCAAATGGAGATTTGGACTGCTTTGAGGCCTACGGTCGTATAGGAAGGAACTTCATATAAAAGGCAAACGGAAGCATTCTCAGAATATTCTTTGTGATGATGGAGTTTCACTCACAGAGCTGAACATGCCTTTTGATGGAGCAGTTTCCAAATACACTTTTGGTAGAATCTGCAGGTGGATATTTGGACCTCTCTGAGGATTTCGTTGGAAACGGCAATAATTTCCCATACCTAAACACAAACACTCTGAGAAAGTTCTTCATGATGAATGCATTTAACTCGCAGAGATGAACCTGCCTTTGAGAGTTCAGGTTCGAAACACTCTTTCTGTAGAATCTGCAAGTGGATATTTGGACCACTGGGTGGCCTTCGTTCGAAACGGGTATATGTTCACGTAAAAACTAAAGAGAAGCATTCTCAGAAACTTCTGAGTGATGATTGCATTCAAGTCACACAGTTGAACCCTCCTTTTGATGGAGCAGTTTTGAAACTGTCTTTTTGTAGAATCTGTAAGTGGATACGTGGACCTCTTTGAAGATTTCTTTGGAAACGGGAATATTTCCACAGAAAAACTAAACTGAAGCATTCTCAGAAACTGCTTTGTGATGTTGGTGTTCGAGCCGCAGAGTTTAACATTGCTTTTCATAGAGCAGTTTTGAAATATTCTTTTGGCAGAATCTGCAAGTGGACATTTAGAGCGTTTTCAGGCCTGTGGTGGAAAAGGCCTGAAAGCCTTTTCCTTTATCTTCACAGAAAGACGAGAGAGAAGCATTGTCAGAAACTGCTTTGTGATGATTGCATTCAACCCACAGAGTTGTAGATTCCTTTTGAAACAGCAGTTTCGAAACACTCTTTCTGTGGGATCCGCAAGGGGATATTTGGACCTCTTTGAAGATTTCGTTGGAAACGGGATAATCTTCACCTAAAAGCTAAACGGAAGCATTCTCAGAAACTTCTTTGGGATGTTTGCATTCACCTCACAGAGTTGAACTTTCCCTTTGATAGCGCAGCTTCGACACACTGTTTCTACAATGTGCAAGTGGATATTTAGCGGGCTTGGAGGACTGTGTTGGAAAAGGAAATATCTTCTCCTAAAAACGACATAGAAGCATTCTCAGAAACTGCTCTGTGATGATTGTATTCAACTCCCAGAGTTGAACATTCCTTTTGATAGAGCAGTTTGCAAACACTCTTTTTGTAGAATCTGCAAGTGGAGATTTGGACCGCTTTGAGGCCTGTGATAGTAAAGGAAAGAACTTCATATAAAAACCAGACGGTAGCACTCTCAGAAAATTCTTTGTGACGATGGAGTTTAACTCAGAGAGCTGAACATTCGTTATGATGGAGCAGTTTCCAAACACACGTTTTGTAGAATCTGCAAGGGGATATTTGGACCTCTCTGAGGATTTCGTTGGAAACGGGATCAACTTCCCATAACTGAACGGAAGCAAACTCAGAACATTCTTTGTGATGTTTGTATTCAACTCACAGAGTTGAACCTTCCTTTGATAGTTCAGGTTTGCAACACCCTTGTAGTAGAATCTGCAAGTGTATATTTTGACCACTTTGTAGCCTTCGTTTGAAACGTCTATATCTTCACCTCAAACCTAGACAGAAGCATTCTCAGAAAGTTTTCTGCGATGACTGCATTCAACTCACAGAGTTGAACAATCCTTTTGATGGAGCAGTTTTGAAACCCTCTTTCTTTGGAATCTGCAAGGGGATATGTGGACCTCTTTGAAGATTTCACTGGAAACGGGATCATCTTCACATAAGAACTAAACAGAAGCATTCTCGGAAACTACTTTGTGATGTTTGTATTCAACACCCAGAGTTGAACTTTCCTTTTGAAAGAGCAGCTATGAAACACTCTTTTTCGAGAATCTGCAAGTGGACGTTTGGAGGGCTTTGAGGCTGTGGTGGAAAAGGAAATATCTTCACATAAAAACTAGATAGAAGCATTCTCAGAGACTACTTTGTGAGGATGGCATTCAACTCATGGAGTTGAACAATCCTATTGATAGAGCAGATTGGAATCACTCTTTTTGTAGGATCTGCAAATGGAGATTTGGACTGCTTTGAGGCCTACGGTAGTATAGGAAGGAACTTCATATAAAAGGCAAATGGAAGCATTCTCAGAATATTCTTTGTGATGATGGAGTTTCACTCACAGAGCTGAACATGCCTTTTGATGGAGCAGTTTCCAAATACACTTTTGGTAGAATCTGCAGGTGGATATTTGGACCTCTCTGAGGATTTCGTTGGAAACGGGAATAATTTCCCATACCTAAACACAAACACTCTGAGAAAGTTCTTCATGATGAATGCATTGAACTCGCAGAGATGAACCTGCCTTTGAGAGTTCAGGTTCGAAACACTCTTTCTGTAGAATCTGCAAGTGGATATTTGGACCACTGGGTGGCCTTCGTTCAAAACGGGTATATGTTCACGTAAAAACTAAAGAGAAGCATTCTCAGAAACTTCTGCGTGATGATTGCATTCAAGTCATACGGTTGAACCCTCCTTTTGATTGAGCAGTTTTGAAACTGTCTTTTTGTAGAATCTGTAAGTGGATACGTGGACCTCTTTGAAGATTTCTTTGGAAACGGGAATATTTCCACAGAAAAACTAAACTGAAGCATTCTCAGAAACTGCTTTGTGATGTTTGTGTTCGAGCCGCAGAGTTTAACATTGCTTTTCATAGAGCAGTTTTGAAATATTCTTTTGGCAGAATCTGCAAGTGGACATTTGGAGCGCTTTCAGGCCTGTGGTGGAAAAGGCCTGAAAGCCTTTTCCTTTATCTTCACAGAAAGACGAGAGAGAAGCATTGTCAGAAACTTCTTTGTGATGATTGCATTCAACTCACAGAGTTGAAGATTCCTTTTGAAACAGCAGTTTCGAAACACTCTTTCTGTGGGATCCGCAAGGGGATATTTGGACCTCTTTGAAGATTTCGTTGGAAACGGGATAATCTTCACCTAAAAGCTAAACGGAAGCATTCTCAGAAACTTCTTTGGGATGTTTGCATTCACCTCACAGAGTTGAACTTTCCCTTTGATAGCGCAGCTTCGACACACTTTTTCTACAATTTGCAAGTGGATATTTAGCGGGCTTGGAGCACTGTGTTGGAAAAGGAAATATCTTCTCCTAAAAACGACATAGAAGCATTCTCAGAAACTGCTCTGTGATGATTGCATTCAACTCCCAGAGTTGAACATTCCTTTTGATAGAGCAGTTTGCAAACACTCTTTTTGTAGAATCTGCAAGTGGAGATTTGGACCGCTTTGAGGCCTGTGGTAGTAAAGGAAAGAACTTCATATAAAAACTAGACGGTAGCACTCTCAGAAAATTCTTTGTGACGATGGAGTTTAACTCAGAGAGCTGAACATTCGTTATGATGGAGCAGTTTCCAAACACACGTTTTGTAGAATCTGCAAGGGGATATTTGGACCTCTCTGAGGATTTCGTTGGAAACGGGATCAACTTCCCATAAGTGAACGGAAGCAAACTCAGAACATTCTTTGTGATGTTTGTATTCAACTCACAGAGTTGAACCTTCCTTTGATAGTTCAGGTTTGCAACACCCTTGTAGTAGAATCTGCAAGTGTATATTTTGACCACTTTGTAGCCTTCGTTTGAAACGTCTATATCTTCACATCAAACCTAGAAAGAAGCATTCTCAGAAAGTTTTCTGCGATGACTGCATTCAACTCACAGAGTTGAACAATCCTTCTGATGGAGCAGTTTTGAAACCCTCTTTCTTTGGAATCTGCAAGGGGATATGTGGACCTCTTTGATGATTTCACTGGAAACGGGGTCATCTTCACATAAAAACTAAACAGAAGCATTCTCGGAAACTACTTTGTGATGTTTGTATTCAACTCCCAGAGTTGAACTTTCCTTTTGAAAGAGCAGCTATGAAACACTCTTTTTCGAGAATCTGCAAGTGGACGTTTGGAGGGCTTTGAGGCCTGTGGTGGAAAAGGAAATATCTTCACATAAAAACTAGATAGAAGCATTCTCAGAAACTACTTTGTGAGGATGGCATTCAACTCATGGAGTTGAACAATCCTATTGATAGAGCAGATTGGAATCACTCTTTTTATAGAATCTGCAAATGGAGATTTGGACTGCTTTGAGGCCTACGGTAGTACAGGAAGGAACTTCATATAAAAGGCAAACGGAAGCATTCTCAGAATATTCTTTGTGATGATGGAGTTTCACTCACAGAGCTGAACATGCCTTTTGATGGAGCAGTTTCCAAATACACTTTTGGTAGAATCTGCAGGTGGATATTTGGAGCTCTCTGAGGATTTCGTTGGAAACGGGAATAATTTCCCATAACTAAACACAAACACTCTGAGAAAGTTCTTCATGATGAATGCATTTAACTCGCAGAGATGAACCTGCCTTTGAGAGTTCAGGTTCGAAACACTCTTTCTGTATAATCTGCAAGTGGATATTTGGACCACTGGGTGGCCTTCGTTCGAAACGGGTATATGTTCACGTAAAAACTAAAGAGAAGCATTCTCAGAAACTTCTGAGTGATGATTGCATTCAAGTCACACAGTTGAACCCTCCTTTTGATGGAGCAGTTTTGAAACTGTCTTTTTGTAGAATCTGTAAGTGGATACGTGGACCTCTTTGAAGATTTCTTTGGAAACGGGAATATTTCCACAGAAAAACTAAACTGAAACATTCTCAGAAACCGCTTTGTGATGTTTGTGTTCGAGCCACAGAGTTTAACATTGCTTTTCATAGAGCAGTTTTGAAATATTCTTTTCGCAGAATCTGCAAGTGGACATTTGGAGCGCTTTCAGGCCTGTGGTGGAAAAGGCCTGAAAGCCTTTTCCTTTATCTTCACAGAAAGACGAGAGAGAAGCATTGTCAGAAACTTCTTTGTGATGATTGCATTCAACTCACAGAGTTGAAGATTCCTTTTGAAACAGCAGTTTCGAAACACTCTTTCTGTGGGATCCGCAAGGGGATATTTGGACCTCTTTGAAGGTTTCGTTGGAAACGGGATAATCTTCACCTAAAAGCTAAACGGAAGCATTCTCAGAAACTTCTTTGGGATGTTTGCATTCACCTCACAGAGTTGAACTTTCCCTTTGATAGCGCAGCTTTGACACACTTTTTCTACAATGTGCAAGTGGCTATTTAGCGGGCTTGGAGGACTGTGTTGGAAAAGGAAATATCTTCTCCTAAAAACGACATAGAAGCATTCTCAGAAACTGCTCTGTGATGATTGCATTCAACTCCCAGAGTTGAACATTCCTTTTGATAGAGCAGTTTGCAAACACTCTTTTTGTAGAATCTGCAAGTGGAGATTTGGACCGCTTTGAGGTCTGTGGTAGTGAAGGAAAGAACTTCATATAAAAACCACACGGTAGCACTCTCAGAAAATTCTTTGTGACGATGGAGTTTAACTCAGGGAGCTGAACATTCGTTATGATGGAGCAGTTTCCAAACACACGTTTTGTAGAATCTGCAAGGGGATATTTGGACCTCTCTGAGGATTTCGTTGGAAACGGGATCAACTTCCCATAACTGAACGGAAGCAAACTCAGAACATTCTTTGTGATGTTTGTATTCAACTCACAGAGTTGAACCTTCCTTTGATAGTTCAGGTTTGCAACACCCTTGTAGTAGAATCTGCAAGTGTATATTTTGACCACTTTGTAGCCTTCGTTTGAAACGTCTATATCTTCACATCAAACCTAGACAGAAGCATTCTCAGAAAGTTTTCTGCGATGACTGCATTCAACTCACAGAGTTGAACAATCCTTCTGATGGAGCAGTTTTGAAACCCTCTTTCTTTGGAATCTGCAAGGGGATATGTGGACCTCTTTGAAGATTTCACTGGAAACGGGATCATCTTCACATAAAAACTAAACAGAAGCATTCTCGGAAACTACTTTGTGATGTTTGTATTCAACTCCCAGAGTTGAACTTTCCTTTTGAAAGAGCAGCTATGAAACACTCCTTTTCGAGAATCTGCAAGTGGACGTTTGGAGGGCTTTGAGGCCTGTGGTGGAAAAGGAAATATCTTCACATAAAAACTAGATAGAAGCATTCTCAGAAACGACTTTGTGAGGATGGCATTCAACTCATGGAGTTGAACAATCCTATTGATAGAGCAGATTGGAATCACTCTTTTTGTAGAATCTGCAAATGGAGATTTGGACTGCTTTGAGGCCTACGGTAGTACAGGAAGGAACTTCATATAAAAGGCAAACGGGAAGCATTCTCAGAATATTCTTTGTGATGATGGAGTTTCACTCACAGTAGCTGAACATTCCTGTTGATGGAGCAGTTTCCAAATACACTTTTGGTAGAATCTGCAGGTGGATATTTGGAGCTCTCTGAGGATTTCCTTGGAAACGGGAATAATTTCCCATAACTAAACACAAACACTCTGAGAAAGTTCTTCATGATGAATGCATTTAACTCGCAGAGATGAACCTGCCTTTGAGAGTTCAGGTTCGAAACACTCTTTCTGTAGAATCTGCAAGTGGATATTTGGACCACTGGGTGGCCTTCGTTCGAAACGGGTATATGTTCACGTAAAAACTAAAGAGAAGCATTCTCAGAAACTTCTGAGTGATGATTGCATTCAAGTCACACAGTTGAACCCTCCTTTTGATGGAGCAGTTTTGAAACTGTCTTTTTGTAGAATCTGTAAGTGGATACGTGGACCTCTTTGAAGATTTCTTTGGAAACGGGAATATTTCCACAGAAAAACTAAACTGAAGCATTCTCAGAAACCGCTTTGTGATGTTTGTGTTCGAGCCACAGAGTTTAACATTGCTTTTCATAGAGCAGTTTTGAAATATTCTTTTCGCAGAATCTGCAAGTGGACACTTGGAGCGCTTTCAGGCCTGTGGTGGCAAAGGCCTGAAAGCCTTTTCCTTTATCTTCACAGAAAGACGAGAGAGAAGCATTGTCAGAAACTTCTTTGTGATGATTGCATTCAACTCACAGAGTTGAAGATTCCTTTTGAAACAGCAGTTTCGAAACACTCTTTCTGTGGGATCCGCAAGGGGATATTTGGACCTCTTTGAAGGTTTCGTTGGAAACGGGATAATCTTCACCTAAAAGCTAAACGGAAGCATTCTCAGAAACTTCTTTGGGATGTTTGCATTCACCTCACAGAGTTGAACTTTCCCTTTGATAGCGCAGCTTTGACACACTTTTTCTACAATGTGCAAGTGGCTATTTAGCGGGCTTGGAGGACTGTGTTGGAAAAGGAAATATCTTCTCCTAAAAACGACATAGAAGCATTCTCAGAAACTGCTCTGTGATGATTGCATTCAATTCCCAGAGTTGAACATTCCTTTTGATAGAGCAGTTTGCAAACACTCTTTTTGTAGAATCTGCAAGTGGAGATTTGGACCGCTTTGAGGCCTGTGGTAGTGAAGGAAAGAACTTCATATAAAAACCAGACGGTAGCACTCTCAGAAAATTTTTTGTGACGATGGAGTTTAACTCAGAGAGCTGAACATTCGTTATGATGGAGCAGTTTCCAAACACACGTTTTGTAGAATCTGCAAGGGGATATTTGGACCTCTCTGAGGATTTCGTTGGAAACGGGATCAACTTCCCATAACTGAACGGAAGCAAACTCAGAACATTCTTTGTGATGTTTGCATTCATCTCACAGAGTTGAACCTTCCTTTGATAGTTGAGGTTTGCATCACCCTTGTAGTAGAATCTGCAAGTGTATATTTTGACCACTTTGTAGCCTTCGTTTGAAACGTCTATATCTTCACATCAAACCTAGACAGAAGCATTCTCAGAAAGTTTTCTGCGATGACTGCATTCAACTCACAGAGTTGAACAATCCTTTTGATGGAGCAGTTTTGAAACCCTCTTTTTTTGGAATCTGCAAGGGGATATGTGGACCTATTTGAAGATTTCACTGGAAACGGGATCATCTTCACATAAGAACTAAACAGAAGCATTCTCGGAAACTACTTTGTGATGTTTGTATTCAACTCCCAGAGTTGAACTTTCCTTTTGAAAGAGCAGCTATGAAACACTCTTTTTCGAGAATCTGCAAGTGGACGTTTGGAGGGCTTTGAGGCCTGTGGTGGAAAAGGAAATATCTTCACATAAAAACTAGATAGAAGCATTCTCAGAAACTACTTTGTGACGATGGCATTCAACTCATGGAGTTGAACAATCCTATTGATAGAGCAGATTGGAATCACTCTTTTTGTAGAATCTGCAAATGGAGATTTGGACTGCTTTGAGGCCTACGGTCGTATAGGAAGGAACTTCATATAAAAGGCAAACGGAAGCATTCTCAGAATATTCTTTGTGATGATGGAGTTTCACTCACAGAGCTGAACATGCCTTTTGATGGAGCAGTTTCCAAATACACTTTTGGTAGAATCTGCAGGTGGATATTTGGAGCTCTCTGAGGATTTCGTTGGAAACGGGAATAATTTCCCATAACTAAACACAAACACTCTGAGAAAGTTCTTCATGATGAATGCATTTAACTCGCAGAGATGAACCTGCCTTTGAGAGTTCAGGTTCGAAACACTCTTTCTGTATAATCTGCAAGTGGATATTTGGACCACTGGGTGGCCTTCGTTCGAAACGGGTATATGTTCACGTAAAAACTAAAGAGAAGCATTCTCAGAAACTTCTGAGTGATGATTGCATTCAAGTCACACAGTTGAACCCTCCTTTTGATGGAGCAGTTTTGAAACTGTCTTTTTGTAGAATCTGTAAGTGGATACGTGGACCTCTTTGAAGATTTCTTTGGAAACGGGAATATTTCCACAAAAAAACTAAACTGAAGCATTCTCAGAAACCGCTTTGTGATGTTTGTGTTCGAGCCACAGAGTTTAACATTGCTTTTCATAGAGCAGTTTTGAAATATTCTTTTCGCAGAATCTGCAAGTGGACATTTGGAGCGCTTTCAGGCCTGTGGTGGAAAAGGCCTGAAAGCCTTTTCCTTTATCTTCACAGAAAGACGAGAGAGAAGCATTGTCAGAAACTTCTTTGTGATGATTGCATTCAACTCACAGAGTTGAAGATTCCTTTTGAAACAGCAGTTTCGAAACACTCTTTCTGTGGGATCCGCAAGGGGATATTTGGACCTCTTTGAAGATTTCGTTGGAAACGGGATAATCTTCACCTAAAAGCTAAACGGAAGTATTCTCAGAAACTTCTTTGGGATGTTTGCATTCACCTCACAGACTTGAACTTTCCCTTTGATAGCGCAGCTTCTACACCCTTTTTCTACAATGTGCAAGTGGATATTTAGCGGGCTTGGAGGACTGTGTTGGAAAAGGAAATATCTTCTCCTAAAAACGACATAGAAGCATTCTCAGAAACTGCTCTGTGATGATTGCATTCAACTCCCAGAGTTGAACATTCCTTTTGATAGAGCAGTTTGCAAACACTCTTTTTGTAGAATCTGCCAGTGGAGATTTGGACCGCTTTGAGGCCTGTGGTAGTAAAGGAAAGAACTTCATATAAAAACCAGACGGTAGCACTCTCAGAAAATTCTTTGTGACGATGGAGTTTAACTCAGGGAGCTGAACATTCGTTATGATGGAGCAGTTTCCAAACACACGTTTTGTAGAATCTGCAAGGGGATATTTGGACCTCTCTGAGGATTTCGTTGGAAACGGGATCAACTTCCCATAACTGAACGGAAGCAAACTCAGAACATTCTTTGTGATGTTTGTATTCAACTCAGAGAGTTGAACCTTCCTTTGATAGTTCAGGTTTGCAACACCCTTGTAGTAGAATCTGCAAGTGTATATTTTGACCACTTTGTAGCCTTCGTTTGAAACGTCTATATCTTCACATCAAACCTAGACAGAAGCATTCTCAGAAAGTTTTCTGCGATGACTGCATTCAACTCACAGAGTTGAACAATCCTTCTGATGGAGCAGTTTTGAAACCCTCTTTCTTTGGAATCTGCAAGGGGATATGTGGACCTCTTTGAAGATTTCACTGGAAACGGGATCATCTTCACATAAAAACTAAACAGAAGCATTCTCGGAAACTACTTTGTGATGTTTGTATTCAACTCCCAGAGTTGAACTTTCCTTTTGAAAGAGCAGCTATGAAACACTCTTTTTCGAGAATCTGCAAGTGGACGTTTGGAGGGCTTGGAGGCCTGTGGTGGAAAAGGAAATACCTTCACATAAAAACTAGATAGAAGCATTCTCAGAAACTACTTTGTGAGGATGGCATTCAACTCATGGAGTTGAACAATCCTATTGATAGAGCAGATTGGAATCACTCTTTTTGTAGAATCTGCAAATGGAGATTTGGACTGCTTTGAGGCCTACGGTCGTATAGGAAGGAACTTCAGATAAAAGGCAAACGGAAGCATTCTCAGAATATTCTTTGTGATGATGGAGTTTCACTCACAGAGCTGAACATGCCTTTTGATGGAGCAGTTTCCAAATACACTTTTGGTAGAATCTGCAGGTGGATATTTGGAGCTCTCTGAGGATTTCGTTGGAAACGGGAATAATTTCCCATAACTAAACACAAACACTCTGAGAAAGTTCTTCATGATGAATGCATTTAACTCGCAGAGATGAACCTGCCTTTGAGAGTTCAGGTTCGAAACACTCTTTCTGTAGAATCTGCAAGTGGATATTTGGACCACTGGGTGGCCTTCGTTCAAAACGGGTATATGTTCACGTAAAAACTAAAGAGAAGCATTCTCAGAAACTTCTGAGTGATGATTGCATTCAAGTCACACAGTTGAACCCTCCTTTTGATGGAGCAGTTTTGAAACTGTCTTTTTGTAGAATCTGTAAGTGGATACGTGGACCTCTTTGAAGATTTCTTTGGAAACGGGAATATTTCCACAGAAAAACTAAACTGAAGCATTCTCAGAAACTGCTTTGTGATGTTTGTGTTCGAGCCACAGAGTTTAACATTGCTTTTCATAGAGCAGTTTTGAAATATTCTTTTGGCAGAATCTACAAGTGGACATTTGGAGCGCTTTCAGGCCTGTGGTGGAAAAGGCCTGAAAGCCTTTTCCTTTATCTTCACAGAAAGACGAGAGAGAAGCATTGTCAGAAACTTCTTTGTGATGATTGCATTCAACTCACAGAGTTGAAGATTCCTTTTGAAACAGCAGTTTCGAAACACTCTTTCTGTGGGATCCGCAAGGGGATATTTGGACCTCTTTGAAGGTTTCGTTGGAAACGGGATAATCTTCACCTAAAAGCTAAACGGAAGCATTCTCAGAAACTTCTTTGGGATGTTTGCATTCACCTCACAGAGTTGAACTTTCCCTTTGATAGCGCAGCTTTGACACACTTTTTCTACAATGTGCAAGTGGCTATTTAGCGGGCTTGGAGGACTGTGTTGGAAAAGGAAATATCTTCTCCTAAAAACGACATAGAAGCATTCTCAGAAACTGCTCTGTGATGATTGCATTCAACTCCCAGAGTTGAACATTCCTTTTGATAGAGCAGTTTGCAAACACTCTTTTTGAAGAATCTGCAAGTGGAGATTTGGACCGCCTTGAGGCCTGTGGTAGTAAAGGAAAGAACTTCATATAAAAACTAGACGGTAGCACTCTCAGAAAATTCTTTGTGACGATGGAGTTTAACTCAGAGAGCTGAACATTCGTTATGATGGAGCAGTTTCCAAACACACGTTTTGTAGAATCTGCAAGGGGATATTTGGACCTCTCTGAGGATTTCGTTGGAAACGGGATCAACTTCCCATAACTGAACGGAAGCAAACTCAGAACATTCTTTGTGATGTTTGTATTCAACTCACAGAGTTGAACCTTCCTTTGATAGTTCAGGTTTGCATCACCCTTGTAGTAGAATCTGCAAGTGTATATTTTGACCACTTTGTAGCCTTCGTTTGAAACGTCTATATCTTCACATCAAACCTAGACAGAAGCATTCTCAGAAAGTTTTCTGCGATGACTGCATTCAACTCACAGAGTTGAACAATCCTTCTGATGGAGCAGTTTTGAAACCCTCTTTCTTTGGAATCTGCAAGGGGATATGTGGACCTCTTTGAAGATTTCACTGGAAACGGGATCATCTTCACATAAAAACTAAACAGAAGCATTCTCGGAAACTATTTTGTGATGTTTGTATTCAACTCCCAGAATTGAACTTTCCTTTTGAAAGAGCAGCTATGAAACACTCTTTTTCGAGAATCTGCAAGTGGACGTTTGGAGGGCTTTGAGGCCTGTGGTGGAAAAGGAAATATCTTCACACAAAAACCAGATAGAAGCATTCTCAGAAACTACTTTGTGAGGATGGCATTCAACTCATGGAGTTGAACAATCCTATTGATAGAGCAGATTGGAATCACTCTTTTTATAGAATCTGCAAATGGAGATTTGGACTGCTTTGAGGCCTACGGTAGTACAGGAAGGAACTTCATATAAAAGGCAAACGGAAGCATTCTCAGAATATTCTTTGTGATGATGGAGTTTCACTCACAGAGCTGAACATGCCTTTTGATGGAGCAGTTTCCAAATACACTTTTGGTAGAATCAGCAGGTGGATATTTGGAGCTCTCTGAGGATTTCGTTGGAAACGGGAATAATTTCCCATAACTAAACACAAACACTCTGAGAAAGTTCTTCATGATGAATGCATTTAACTCGCAGAGATGAACCTGCCTTTGAGAGTTCAGGTTCGAAACACTCTTTCTGTATAATCTGCAAGTGGATATTTGGACCACTGGGTGGCCTTCGTTCGAAACGGGTATATGTTCACGTAAAAACTAAAGAGAAGCGTTCTCAGAAACTTCTGAGTGATGATTGCATTCAAGTCACACAGTTGAACCCTCCTTTTGATTGAGCAGTTTTGAAACTGTCTTTTTGTAGAATCTGTAAGTGGATGCGTGGACCTCTTTGAAGATTTCTTTGGAAACGGGAATATTTCCACAGAAAAACTAAACTGAAGCATTCTCAGAAACTGCTTTGTGATGTTTGTGTTCGAGCCACAGAGTTTAACATTGCTTTTCATAGAGCAGTTTTGAAATATTCTTTTGGCAGAATCTGCAAGTGGACATTTGGAGCGCTTTCAGGCCTGTGGTGGAAAAGGCCTGAAAGCCTTTTCCTTTATCTTCACAGAAAGACGAGAGAGAAGCATTGTCAGAAACTTCTTTGTGAAGATTGCATTCAACTCACAGAGTTGAAGATTCCTTTTGAAACAGCAGTTTCGAAACACTCTTTCTGTGGGATCTGCAAGGGGATATTTGGACCTCTTTGAAGATTTCGTTGGAAACAGGATAATCTTCACCTAAAAGCTAAACGGAAGCATTCTCAGAAACTTCTTTGGGATGTTTGCATTCACCTCACAGAGTTGAACTTTCCCTTTGATAGCGCAGCTTCGACACACTTTTTCTACAATGTGCAAGTGGATATTTAGCGGGCTTGGAGGACTGTGTTGGAAAAGGAAATATCTTCTCCTAAAAACGACATAGAAGCATTCTCAGAAACTGCTCTGTGATGATTGCATTCAACTCCCAGAGTTGAACATTCCTTTTGATAGAGCAGTTTGCAAACACTCTTTTTGTAGAATCTGCAAGTGGAGATTTGGACCGCTTTGAGGCCTGTGGTAGTGAAGGAAAGAACTTCATATAAAAACCAGACGGTAGCACCCTCAGAAAATTCTTTGTGTCGATGGAGTTTAACTCAGAGAGCTGAACATTCGTTATGATGGAGCAGTTTCCAAACACACGTTTTGTAGAATCTGCAAGGGGATATTTGGACCTCTCTGAGGATTTCGTTGGAAACGGGATCAACTTCCCATAACTGAACGGAAGCAAACTCAGAACATTCTTTGTGATGTTTGTATTCAACTCACAGAGTTGAACCTTCCTTTGATAGTTCAGGTTTGCATCACCCTTGTAGTAGAATCTGCAAGTGTATATTTTGAACACTTTGTAGCCTTCGTTTGAAACGTCTATATCTTCACATCAAACCTAGACAGAAGCATTCTCAGAAAGTTTTCTGCGATGACTGCATTCAACTCACAGAGTTGAACAATCCTTCTGATGGAGCAGTTTTGAAACCCTCTTTCTTTGGAATCTGCAAGGGGATATGTGGACCTCTTTGAAGATTTCACTGGAAACGGGATCATCTTCACATAAAAACTAAACAGAAGCATTCTCGGAAACTACTTTGTGATGTTTGCATTCAACTCCCAGAGTTGAACTTTCCTTTTGAAAGAGCAGCTATGAAACACTCTTTTTCGAGAATCTGCAAGTGGACGTTTGGAGGGCTTTGAGGCCTGTGGTGGAAAAGGAAATATCTTCACACAAAAACCAGATAGAAGCATTCTCAGAAACTGCTTTGTGAGGATGGCATTCAAATCATGGAGTTGAACAATCCTATTGATAGAGCAGATTGGAATCACTCTTTTTATAGAATCTGCAAATGGAGATTTGGACTGCTTTGAGGCCTACGGTAGTACAGGAAGGAAGTTCATATAAAAGGCAAACGGAAGCATTCTCAGAATATTCTTTGTGATGATGGAGTTTCACTCACAGAGCTGAACATGCCTTTTGATGGAGCAGTTTCCAAATACACTTTTGGTAGAATCTGCAGGTGGATATTTGGAGCTCTCAGAGGATTTCGTTGGAAACGGGAATAATTTCCCATAACTAAACACAAACACGCTGAGAAAGTTCTTCATGATGAATGCATTTAACTCGCAGAGATGAACCTGCCTTTGAGAGTTCAGGTTCGAAACACTCTTTCTGTATAATCTGCAAGTGGATATTTGGACCACTGGGTGGCCTTCGTTCGAAACGGGTATATGTTCACGTAAAAACTAAAGAGAAGCATTCTCAGAAACTTCTGAGTGATGATTGCATTCAAGTCACACAGTTGAACCCTCCTTTTGATGGAGCAGTTTTGAAACTGTCTTTTTGTAGAATCTGTAAGTGGATACGTGGACCTCTTTGAAGATTTCTTTGGAAACGGGAATATTTCCACAGAAAAACTAAACTGAAGCATTCTCAGAAACTGCTTTGTGATGTTTGTGTTCGAGCCACAGAGTTTAACATTGCTTTTCATAGAGCAGTTTTGAAATATTCTTTTGGCAGAATCTGCAAGTGGACATTTGGAGCGCTTTCAGGCCTGTGGTGGAAAAGGCCTGAAAGCCTTTTCCTTTATCTTCACAGAAAGACGAGAGAGAAGCATTGTCAGAAACTTCTTTGTGATGATTGCATTCAACTCACAGAGTTGAAGATTCCTTTTGAAACAGCAGTTTCGAAACACTCTTTCTGTGGGATCCGCAAGGGGATATTTGGACCTCTTTGAAGGTTTCGTTGGAAACGGGATAATCTTCACCTAAAAGCTAAACGGAAGCATTCTCAGAAACTTCTTTGGGATGTTTGCATTCACCTCACAGAGTTGAACTTTCCCTTTGATAGCGCAGCTTTGACACACTTTTTCTACAATGTGCAAGTGGCTATTTAGCGGGCTTGGAGGACTGTGTTGGAAAAGGAAATATCTTCTCCTAAAAACGACATAGAAGCATTCTCAGAAACTGCTCTGTGATGATTGCATTCAACTCCCAGGGTTGAACATTCCTTTTGATAGAGCAGTTTGCAAACACTCTTTTTGTAGAATCTGCAAGTGGAGATTTGGACCGCTTTGAGGCCTGTGGTAGTGAAGGAAAGAACTTCATATAAAAACCAGACGGTAGCACTCTCAGAAAATTCTTTGTGACGATGGAGTTTAACTCAGGGAGCTGAACATTCGTTATGATGGAGCAGTTTCCAAACACACGTTTTGTAGAATCTGCAAGGGGATATTTGGACCTCTCTGAGGATTTCGTTGGAAACGGGATCAACTTCCCATAACTGAACGGAAGCAAACTCAGAACATTCTTTGTGATGTTTGTATTCAACTCACAGAGTTGAACCTTCCTTTGATAGTTCAGGTTTGCAACACCCTTGTAGTAGAATCTGCAAGTGTATATTTTGACCACTTTGTAGCCTTCGTTTGAAACGTCTATATCTTCACATCAAACCTAGACAGAAGCATTCTCAGAAAGTTTTCTGCGATGACTGCATTCAACTCACAGAGTTGAACAATCCTTCTGATGGAGCAGTTTTGAAACCCTCTTTCTTTGGAATCTGCAAGGGGATATGTGGACCTCTTTGAAGATTTCACTGGAAACGGGATCATCTTCACATAAAAACTAAACAGAAGCATTCTCGGAAACTATTTTGTGATGTTTGTATTCAACTCCCAGAGTTGAACTTTCCTTTTGAAAGAGCAGCTATGAAACACTCTTTTTCGAGAATCTGCAAGTGGACGTTTGGAGGGCTTTGAGGCCTGTGGTGGAAAAGGAAATATCTTCACACAAAAACCAGATAGAAGCATTCTCAGAAACTGCTTTGTGAGGATGGCATTCAACTCATGGAGTTGAACAATCCTATTGATAGAGCAGATTGGAATCACTCTTTTTGTAGAATCTGCAAATGGAGATTTGGACTGCTTTGAGGCCTACGGTAGTACAGGAAGGAACTTCATATAAAAGGCAAACGGAAGCATTCTCAGAATATTCTTTGTGATGATGGAGTTTCACTCACAGAGCTGAACATGCCTTTTGATGGAGCAGTTTCCAAATACACTTTTGGTAGAATCTGCAGGTGGATATTTGGAGCTCTCTGAGGATTTCGTTGGAAACGGGAATAATTTCCCATAACTAAACACAAACACGCTGAGAAAGTTCTTCATGATGAATGCATTTAACTCGCAGAGATGAACCTGCCTTTGAGAGTTCAGGTTCGAAACACTCTTTCTGTAGAATCTGCAAGTGGATATTTGGACCACTGGGTGGCCTTCATTCGAAACGGGTATATGTTCACGTAAAAACTAAAGAGAAGCATTCTCAGAAACTTCTGAGTGATGATTGCATTCAAGTCACACAGTTGAACCCTCCTTTTGATGGAGCAGTTTTGAAACTGTCTTTTTGTAGAATCTGTAAGTGGATACGTGGACCTCTTTGAAGATTTCTTTGGAAACGGGAATATTTCCACAGAAAAACTAAACTGAAGCATTCTCAGAGACCGCTTTGTGATGTTTGTGTTCGAGCCACAGAGTTTAACATTGCTTTTCATAGAGCAGTTTTGAAATATTCTTTTGGCAGAATCTGCAAGTGGACATTTGGAGCGCTTTCAGGCCTGTGGTGGCAAAGGCCTGAACGCCTTTTCCTTTATGTTCACAGAAAGACGAGAGAGAAGCATTGTCAGAAACTTCTTTGTGATGATTGCATTCAACTCACAGAGTTGAAGATTCCTTTTGAAACAGCAGTTTCGAAACACTCTTTCTGTGGGATCCGCAAGGGGATATTTGGACCTCTTTGAAGCTTTCGTTGGAAACGGGATAATCTTCACCTAAAAGCTAAACGGAAGCATTCTCAGAAACTTCTTTGGGATGTTTGCATTCACCTCACAGAGTTGAACTTTCCCTTTGATAGCGCAGCTTCGACACACTTTTTCTACAATGTGCAAGTGGCTATTTAGCGGGCTTGGAGGACTGTGTTGGAAAAGGAAATATCTTCTCCTAAAAACGACATAGAAGCCTTCTCAGAAACTGCTCTGTGATGATTGCATTCAACTCCCAGAGTTGAACATTCCTTTTGATAGAGCAGTTTGCAGACACTCTTTTTGTAGAATCTGCAAGTGGAGATTTGGACCGCTTTGAGGCCTGTGGTAGTAAAGGAAAGAACTTCATATAAAAACTAGACGGTAGCACTCTCAGAAAATTCTTTGTGACGATGGAGTTTAACTCAGGGAGCTGAACATTCGTTATGATGGAGCAGTTTCCAAACACACGTTTTGTAGAATCTGCAAGGGGATATTTGGACCTCTCTGAGGATTTCGTTGGAAACGGGATCAACTTCCCATAACTGAACGGAAGCAAACTCAGAACATTCTTTGTGATGTTTGTATTCAACTCACAGAGTTGAACCTTCCTTTGATAGTTCAGGTTTGCAACACCCTTGTAGTAGAATCTGCAAGTGTATATTTTGACCACTTTGTAGCCTTCGTTTGAAACATCTATATCTTCACATCAAACCTAGACAGAAGCATTCTCAGAAAGTTTTCTGCGATGACTGCATTCAACTCACAGAGTTGAACAATCCTTCTGATGGAGCAGTTTTTAAACCCTCTTTCTTTGGAATCTGCAAGGGGATATGTGGACCTCTTTGAAGATTTCACTGGAAACGGGATCATCTTCACATAAAAACTAAACAGAAGCATTCTCGGAAACTATTTTGTGATGTTTGTATTCAACTCCCAGAGTTGAACTTTCCTTTTGAAAGAGCAGCTATGAAACACTCTTTTTCGAGAATCTGCAAGTGGACGTTTGGAGGGCTTTGAGGCCTGTGGTGGAAAAGGAAATATCTTCACACAAAAACCAGATAGAAGCATTCTCAGAAACGACTTTGTGAGGATGGCATTCAACTCATGGAGTTGAACAATCCTATTGATAGAGCAGATTGGAATCACTCTTTTTGTAGAATCTGCAAATGGAGATTTGGACTGCTTTGAGGCCTACGGTAGTACAGGAAGGAACTTCATATAAAAGGCAAACGGAAGCATTCTCAGAATATTCTTTGTGATGATGGAGTTTCACTGACAGAGCTGAACATGCCTTTTGATGGAGCAGTTTCCAAATACACTTTTGGTAGAATCTGCAGGTGGATATTTGGAGCTCTCTGAGGATTTCGTTGGAAACGGGAATAATTTCCCATAACTAAACGCAAACACTCTGAGAAAGTTCTTCATGATGAATGCATTTAACTCGCAGAGATGAACCTGCCTTTGAGAGTTCAGGTTCGAAACACTCTTTCTGTATAATCTGCAAGTGGATATTTGGACCACTGGGTGGCCTTCGTTCGAAACGGGTATATGTTCACGTAAAAACTAAAGAGAAGCATTCTCAGAAACTTCTGAGTGATGAATGCATTCAAGTCACACAGTTGAACCCTCCTTTTGATTGAGCAGTTTTGAAACTGTCTTTTTGTAGAATCTGTAAGTGGATGCGTGGACCTCTTTGAAGATTTCTTTGGAAACGGGAATATTTCCACAGAAAAACTAAACTGAAGCATTCTCAGAAACTGCTTTGTGATGTTTGTGTTCGAGCCACAGAGTTTAACACTGCTTTTCATAGAGCAGTTTTGAAATATTCTTTTGGCAGAATCTGCAAGTGGACATTTGGAGCGCTTTCAGGCCTGTGGTGGAAAAGGCCTGAAAGCCTTTTCCTTTATCTTCACAGAAAGACGAGAGAGAAGCATTGTCAGAAACTTCTTTGTGATGATTGCATTCAACTCACAGAGTTGAAGATTCCTTTTGAAACAGCAGTTTCGAAACACTCTTTCTGTGGGATCCGCAAGGGGATATTTGGACCTCTTTGAAGGTTTCGTTGGAAACGGGATAATCTTCACCTAAAAGCTAAACGGAAGCATTCTCAGAAACTTCTTTGGGATGTTTGCATTCACCTCACAGAGTTGAACTTTCCCTTTGATAGCGCAGCTTTGACACACTTTTTCTACAATGTGCAAGTGGCTATTTAGCGGGCTTGGAGGACTGTGTTGGAAAAGGAAATATCTTCTCCTAAAAACGACATAGAAGCATTCTCAGAAACTGCTCTGTGATGATTGCATTCAACTCCCAGAGTTGAACATTCTTTTTGATAGAGCAGTTTGCAAACACTCTTTTTGTAGAATCTGGAAGTGGAGATTTGGACCGCTTTGAGGCCTGTGGTAGTGAAGGAAAGAGCTTCATATAAAAACCAGACGGTAGCACTCTCAGAAAATTCTTTGTGACGATGGAGTTTAACTCAGGGAGCTGAACATTCGTTATGATGGAGCAGTTTCCAAACACACGTTTTGTAGAATCTGCAAGGGGATATTTGGACCTCTCTGAGGATTTCGTTGGAAACGGGATCAACTTCCCATAACTGAACGGAAGCAAACTCAGAACATTCTTTGTGATGTTTGTATTCAACTCACAGAGTTGAACCTTCCTTTGATAGTTCAGGTTTGCAACACCCTTGTAGTAGAATCTGCAAGTGTATATTTTGACCACTTTGTAGCCTTCGTTTGAAACGTCTATATCTTCACATCAAACCTAGACAGAAGCATTCTCAGAAAGTTTTCTGCGATGACTGCATTCAACTCACAGAGTTGAACAATCCTTCTGATGGAGCAGTTTTGAAACCCTCTTTCTTTGGAATCTGCAAGGGGATATGTGGACCTCTTTGAAGATTTCACTGGAAACGGGATCATCTTCACATAAAAACTAAACAGAAGCATTCTCGGAAACTACTTTGTGATGTTTGTATTCAACTCCCAGAGTTGAACTTTCCTTTTGAAAGAGCAGCTATGAAACACTCTTTCTCGAGAATCTGCAAGTGGACGTTTGGAGGGCTTTGAGGCCTGTGGTGGAAAAGGAAATATCTTCACATAAAAACTAGATAGAAGCATTCTCAGAAACGACTTTGTGAGGATGGCATTCAACTCATGGAGTTGAACAATCCTATTGATAGAGCAGATTGGAATCACTCTTTTTGTAGAATCTGCAAATGGAGATTTGGACTGCTTTGAGGCCTACGGTAGTATAGGAAGGAACTTCATATAAAAGGCAAACGGAAGCATTCTCAGAATATTCTTTGTGATCATGGAGTTTCACTCACAGAGCTGAACATGCCTTTTGATGGAGCAGTTTCCAAATACACTTTTGGTAGAATCTGCAGGTGGATATTTGGAGCTCTCTGAGGATTTAGTTGGAAAAGGGAATAATTTCCCATAACTAAACACAAACACGCTGAGAAAGTTCTTCATGATGAATGCATTTAACTCGCAGAGATGAACCTGCCTTTGAGAGTTCAGGTTCGAAACACTCTTTGTGTAGAATCTGCAAGTGGATATTTGGACCACTGGCTGGCCTTCGTTCGAAACGGGTATATGTTCACGTAAAAACTAAAGAGAAGCGTTCACACAAACTTCTGAGTGATGATTGCATTCAAGTCACACAGTTGAACCCTCCTTTTGATTGAGCAGTTTTGAAACTGTCTTTTTGTAGAATCTGTAAGTGGATGCGTGGACCTCTTTGAAGATTTCTTTGGAAACGGGAATATTTCCACAGAAAAACTAAACTGAAGCATTCTCAGAAACTGCTTTGTGATGTTTGTGTTCGAGCCACAGAGTTTAACATTGCTTTTCATAGAGCAGTTTTGAAATATTCTTTTGGCAGAATCTGCAAGTGGAGATTTGGAGCGCTTTCAGGCCTGTGGTGGAAAAGGCCTGAAAGCCTTTTCCTTTATCTTCACAGAAAGACGAGAGAGAAGCATTGTCAGAAACTTCTTTGTGAAGATTGCATTCAACTCACAGAGTTGAAGATTCCTTTTGAAACAGCAGTTTCGAAACACTCTTTCTGTGGGATCTGCAAGGGGATATTTGGACCTCTTTGAAGATTTCGTTGGAAACAGGATAATCTTCACCTAAAAGCTAAACGGAAGCATTCTCAGAAACTTCTTTGGGATGTTTGCATTCACCTCACAGAGTTGAACTTTCCCTTTGATAGCGCAGCTTTGACACACTTTTTCTACAATGTGCAAGTGGATATTTAGCGGGCTTGGAGGACTGTGTTGGAAAAGGAAATATCTTCTCCTAAAAACGACATAGAAGCATTCTCAGAAACTGCTCTGTGATGATTGCATTCAACTCCCAGAGTTGAACATTCCTTTTGATAGAGCAGTTTGCAAACACTCTTTTTGTAGAATCTGCAAGTGGAGATTTGGACCGCTTTGAGGCCTGGGGTAGTGAAGGAAAGAGCTTCATATAAAAACCAGACGGTAGCACTCTCAGAAAATTCTTTGTGACGATGGAGTTTAACTCAGGGAGCTGAACATTCGTTATGATGGAGCAGTTTCCAAACACACGTTTTGTAGAATCTGCAAGGGGATATTTGGACCTCTCTGAGGATTTCGTTGGAAACGGGATCAACTTCCCATAACTGAACGGAAGCAAACTCAGAACATTCTTTGTGATGTTTGTATTCAACTCCCAGAGTTGAAATTTCCTTTTGAAAGAGCAGCTATGAAACACTCTTTTTCGAGAATCTGCAAGTGGACGTTTGGAGGGCTTTGAGGCCTGTGGTGGAAAAGGAAATATCTTCACATAAAAACTAGATAGAAGCATTCTCAGAAACTACTTTGTGAGGATGGCATTCAACTCATGGAGTTGAACAATCCTATTGATAGAGCAGATTGGAATCACTCTTTTTGTAGAATCTGCAAATGGAGATTTGGACTGCTTTGAGGCCTACAGTAGTACAGGAAGGAACTTCATATAAAAGGCAAACGGAAGCATTCTCAGAATATTCTTTGTTATGATGGAGTTTCACTCACAGAGCGGAACATGCCTTTTGATGGAGCAGTTTCCAAATCCACTTTTGGTAGAATCTGCAGGTGGATATTTGGAGCTCTCTGAGGATTTCGTTGGAAACGGGAATAATTTCCCATAACTAAACACAAACACTCTGAGAAAGTTCTTCATGATGAATGCATTTAACTCGCAGAGATGAACCTGCCTTTGAGAGTTCATGTTCGAAACACTCTTTCTGTAGAATCTGCAAGTGGATATTTGGACCACTGGGTGGCCTTCGTTCGAAACGGGTATATGTTCACGTAAAAACTAAAGAGAAGCATTCTCAGAAACTTCTGAGTGATGATTGCATTCAAGTCACACAGTTGAACCCTCCTTTTGATGGAGCAGTTTTGAAACTGTCTTTTTGTAGAATCTGTAAGTGGATACGTGGACCTCTTTGAAGATTTCTTTGGAAACGGGAATATTTCCACAGAAAAACTAAACTGAATCATTCTCAGAAACCGCCTTGTGATGTTTGTGTTCGAGCCACAGAGTTTAACATTGCGTTTCATAGAGCAGTTTTGAAATATTCTTTTGGCAGAATCTGCAAGTGGACATTTGGAGCGCTTTCAGGCCTGTGGTGGAAAAGTCCTGAAAGCCTTTTCCTTTACCTTCACAGAAAGACGAGAGAGAAGCATTGTCAGAAACTTCTTTGTGATGATTGCATTCAACTCACAGAGTTGAAGATTCCTTTTGAAACAGCAGTTTCGAAACACTCTTTCTGTGGGATCCGCAAGGGGATATTTGGACCTCTTTGAAGGTTTCGTTGGAAACGGGATAATCTTCACCTAAAAGCTAAACGGAAGCATTCTCAGAAACTTCTTTGGGATGTTTGCATTCACCTCACAGAGTTGAACTTTCCCTTTGATAGCGCAGCTTTGACACACTTTTTCTACAATGTGCAAGTGGCTATTTAGCGGGCTTGGAGGACTGTGTTGGAAAAGGAAATATCTTCTCCTAAAAACGACATAGAAGCATTCTCAGAAACTGGCTCTGTGATGATTGCATTCAACTCCCAGAGTTGAACATTCCTTTTGATAGAGCAGTTTGCAAACACTCTTTTTGTAGAATCTGCAAGTGGAGATTTGGACCGCTTTGAGGCCTGTGGTAGTGAAGGAAAGAACTTCATATAAAAACCAGACGGTAGCACTCTCAGAAAATTCTTTGTGACGATGGAGTTTAACTCAGGGAGCTGAACATTCGTTATGATGGAGCAGTTTCCAAACACACGTTTTGTAGAATCTGCAAGGGGATATTTGGACCTCTCTGAGGATTTCGTTGGAAACGGGATCAACTTCCCATAACTGAACGGAAGCAAACTCAGAACATTCTTTGTGATGTTTGTATTCAACTCACAGAGTTGAACCTTCCTTTGATAGTTCAGGTTTGCAACACCCTTGTAGTAGAATCTGCAAGTGTATATTTTGACCACTTTGTAGCCTTCGTTTGAAACGTCTATACCTTCACATCAAACCTAGACAGAAGCATTCTCAGAAAGTTTTCTGCGATGACTGCATTCAACTCACAGAGTTGAACAATCCTTCTGATGGAGCAGTTTTGAAACCCTCTTTCTTTGGAATCTGCAAGGGGATATGTGGACCTCTTTGAAGATTTCACTGGAAACGGGATCATCTTCACATAAAAACTAAACAGAAGCATTCTCGGAAACTACTTTGTGATGTTTGTATTCAACTCCCAGAGTTGAACTTTCCTTTTGAAAGAGCAGCTATGAAACACTCTTTTTCGAGAATCTGCAAGTGGACGTTTGGAGGGCTTTGAGGCCTGTGGTGGAAAAGGAAATATCTTCACATAAAAACTAGATAGAAGCATTCTCAGAAACGACTTTGTGAGGATGGCATTCAACTCATGGAGTTGAACAATCCTATTGATAGAGCAGATTGGAATCACTCTTTTTGTGGAATCTGCAAATGGAGATTTGGACTGCTTTGAGGCCTACGGTCGTATAGGAAGGAACTTCAGATAAAAGGCAAACGGAAGCATTCTCAGAATATTCTTTGTGATGATGGAGTTTCACTCACAGAGCTGAACATGCCTTTTGATGGAGCAGTTTCCAAATACACTTTTGGTAGAATCTGCAGGTGGATATTTGGAGCTCTCTGAGGATTTCGTTGGAAAAGGGAATAATTTCCCATAACTAAACACAAACACGCTGAGAAAGTTCTTCATGATGAATGCATTTAACTCGCAGAGATGAACCTGCCTTTGAGTGTTCAGGTTCGAAACACTCTTTCTGTAGAATCTGCAAGTGGATATTTGGACCACTGGCTGGCCTTCGTTCGAAACGGGTATATGTTCACGTAAAAACTAAAGAGAAGCGTTCTCAGAAACTTCTGAGTGATGATTGCATTCAAGTCACACAGTTGAACCCTCCTTTTGATTGAGCAGTTTTGAAACTGTCTTTTTGTAGAATCTGTAAGTGGATACGTGGACCTCTTTGAAGATTTCTTTGGAAACGGGAATATTTCCACAGAAAAACTAAACTGAAGCATTCTCAGAAACTGCTTTGTGATGTTTGTGTTCGAGCCACAGAGTTTAACATTGCTTTTCATAGAGCAGTTTTGAAATATTCTTTTGGCAGAATCTGCAAGTGGACATTTGGAGCGCTTTCAGGCCTGTGGTGGAAAAGGCCTGAAAGCCTTTTCCTTTATCTTCACAGGAAGACGAGAGAGAAGCATTGTCAGAAACTTCTTTGTGATGATTGCATTCAACTCACAGAGTTGAAGATTCCTTTTGAAACAGCAGTTTCGAAACACTCTTTCTGTGGGATCCGCAAGGGGATATTTGGACCTCTTTGAAGGTTTCGTTGGAAACGGGATAATCTTCACCTAAAAGCTAAACGGAAGCATTCTCAGAAACTTCTTTGGGATGTTTGCATTCACCTCACAGAGTTGAACTTTCCCTTTGATAGCGCAGCTTTGACACACTTTTTCTACAATGTGCAAGTGGCTATTTAGCGGGCTTGGAGGACTGTGTTGGAAAAGGAAATATCTTCTCCTAAAAACGACATAGAAGCATTCTCAGAAACTGCTCTGTGATGATTGCATTCAACTCCCAGAGTTGAACATTCCTTTTGATAGAGCAGTTTGCAAACACTCTTTTTGTAGAATCTGCAAGTGGAGATTTGGACCGCTTTGAGGCCTGTGGTAGTGAAGGAAAGAACTTCATATAAAAACCAGACGGTAGCACTCTCAGAAAATTCTTTGTGACGATGGAGTTTAACTCAGGGAGCTGAACATTCGTTATGATGGAGCAGTTTCCAAACACACGTTTTGTAGAATCTGCGAGGGGATATTTGGACCTCTCTGAGGATTTCGTTGGAAACGGGATCAACTTCCCATAACTGAACGGAAGCAAACTCAGAACATTCTTTGTGATGTTTGTATTCAACTCACAGAGTTGAACCATCCTTTGATAGTTCAGGTTTGTAACACCCTTGTAGTAGAATCTGCAAGTGTATATTTTGACCACATTGTAGCCTTCGTTTGAAACGTCTATATCTTCACATCAAACCTAGACAGAAGCATTCTCAGAAAGTTTTCTGCGATGACTGCATTCAACTCACAGAGTTGAACAATCCTTCTGATGGAGCAGTTTTGAAACCCTCTTTCTTTGGAATCTGCAAGGGGATATGTGGACCTCTTTGAAGATTTCACTGGAAACGGGATCATCTTCACATAAAAACTAAACAGAAGCATTCTCGGAAACTACTTTGTGATGTTTGTATTCAACTCCCAGAGTTGAACTTTCCTTTGGAAAGAGCAGCTATGAAACACTCTTTTTCGAGAATCTGCAAGTGGACGTTTGGAGGGCTTTGAGGCCTGTGGTGGAAAAGGAAATATCTTCACACAAAAACCAGATAGAAGCATTCTCAGAAACTACTTTGTGAGGATGGCATTCAACTCATGGAGTTGAACAATCCTATTGATAGAGCAGATTGGAATCACTCTTTTTGTAGAATCTGCAAATGGAGATTTGGACTGCTTTGAGGCCTACAGTAGTACAGGAAGGAACTTCATATAAAAGGCAAACGGAAGCATTCTCAGAATATTCTTTGTGATGATGGAGTTTCACTCACAGAGCTGAACATGCCTTTTGATGGAGCAGTTTCCAAATACACTTTTGGTAGAATCTGCAGGTGGATATTTGGAGCTCTCTGAGGATTTCGTTGGAAACGGGAATAATTTCCCATAACTAAACACAAACACTCTGAGAAAGTTCTTCATGATGAATGCATTTAACTCGCAGAGATGAACCTGCCTTTGAGAGTTCAGGTTCGAAACACTCTTTCTGTAGAATCTGCAAGTGGATATTTGGACCACTGGCTGGCCTTCGTTCGAAACGGGTATATGTACACGTAAAAACTAAAGAGAAGCATTCTCAGAAACTTCTGAGTGATGATTGCATTCAAGTCACACAGTTGAACCCTCCTTTTGATGGAGCAGTTTTGAAACTGTCTTTTTGTAGAATCTGTAAGTGGATACGTGGACCTCTTTGAAGATTTCTTTGGAAACGGGAATATTTCCACAGAAAAACTAAACTGAAGCATTCTCAGAAACCGCTTTGTGATGTTTGTGTTCGAGCCGCAGAGTTTAACATTGCTTTTCATAGAGCAGTTTTGAAATATTCTTTTCGCAGAATCTGCAAGTGGACATTTGGAGCGCTTTCAGGCCTGTGGTGGAAAAGGCCTGAAAGCCTTTTCCTTTATCTTCACAGAAAGACGAGAGAGAAGCATTGTCAGAAACTTCTTTGTGATGATTGCATTCAACTCACAGAGTTGAAGATTCCTTTTGAAACAGCAGTTTTGAAACACTCTTTCTGTGGGATCCGCAAGGGGATATTTGGACCTCTTTGAAGGTTTCGTTGGAAACGGGATAATCTTCACCTAAAAGCTAAACGGAAGCATTCTCAGAAACTTCTTTGGGATGTTTGCATTCACCTCACAGAGTTGAACTTTCCCTTTGATAGCGCAGCTTTGACACACTTTTTCTACAATGTGCAAGTAGCTATTTAGCGGGCTTGGAGGACTGTGTTGGAAAAGGAATTATCTTCTCCTAAAAACGACATAGAAGCATTCTCAGAAACTGCTCTGTGATGATTGCATTCAACTCCCAGAGTTGAACATTCCTTTTGATAGAGCAGTTTGCAAACACTCTTTTTGTAGAATCTGCAAGTGGAGATTTGGACCGCTTTGAGGCCTGTGGTAGTGAAGGAAAGAACTTCATATAAAAACCAGACGGTAGCACTCTCAGAAAATTCTTTGTGACGATGGAGTTTAACTCAGGGAGCTGAACATTCGTTATGACGGAGCAGTTTCCAAACACACGTTTTGTAGAATCTGCGAGGGGATATTTGGACCTCTCTGAGGATTTCGTTGGAAACGGGATCAACTTCCCATAACTGAACGGAAGCAAACTCAGAACATTCTTTGTGACGTTTGTATTCAACTCACAGAGTTGAACCTTCCTTTGATAGTTCAGGTTTGCAACACCCTTGTAGTAGAATCTGCAAGTGTATATTTTGACCACTTTGTAGCCTTCGTTTGAAACGTCTATATCTTCACATCAAACCTAGACAGAAGCATTCTCAGAAAGTTTTCTGCGATGACTGCATTCAACTCACAGAGTTGAACAATCCTTCTGATGGAGCAGTTTTGAAACCCTCTTTCTTTGGAATCTGCAAGGGGATATGTGGACCTCTTTGAAGATTTCACTGGAAACGGGATCATCTTCACATAAAAACTAAACAGAAGCATTCTCGGAAACTACTTTGTGATGTTTGTATTCAACTCCCAGAGTTGAACTTTCCTTTTGAAAGAGCAGCTATGAAACACTCTTTTTCGAAAATCTGCAAGTGGACGTTTGGAGGGCTTTGAGGCCTGTGGTGGAAAAGGAAATATCTTCACATAAAAACTAGATAGAAGCATTCTCAGAAACTACTTTGTGAGGATGGCATTCAACTCATGGAGTTGAACAATCCTATTGATAGAGCAGATTGGAATCACTCTTTTTGTAGAATCTGCAAATGGAGATTTGGACTGCTTTGAGGCCTACGGTAGTATAGGAAGGAACTTCATATAAAAGGCAAACGGAAGCATTCTCAGAATATTCTTTGTGATGATGGAGTTTCACTCACAGAGCTTAACATGCCTTTTGTTGGAGCAGTTTCCAAATACACTTTTGGTAGAATCTGCAGGTGGATATTTGGAGCTCTCTGAGGATTTCGTTGGAAACGGGAATAATTTCCCATAACTAAACACAAACACTCTGAGAAAGTTCTTCATGATGAATGCATTTAACTCGCAGAGATGAACCTGCCTTTGAGAGTTCAGGTTCGAAACACTCTTTCTGTAGAATCTGCAAGTGGATATTTGGACCACTGGCTGGCCTTCGTTCGAAACGGGTATATGTTCACGTAAAAACTAAAGAGAAGCATTCTCAGAAACTTCTGAGTGATGAATGCATTCAAGTCACACAGTTGAACCCTCCTTTTGATTGAGCAGTTTTGAAACTGTCTTTTTGTAGAATCTGTAAGTGGATGCGTGGACCTCTTTGAAGATTTCTTTGGAAACGGGAATATTTCCACAGAAAAACTAAACTGAAGCATTCTCAGAAACCGCGTTGTGATGTTTGTGTTCGAGCCACTGAGTTTAACATTGCTTTTCACAAAGCAGTTTTGAAATATTCTTTTCGCAGAATCTGCAAGTGGACATTTGGAGCGCTTTCAGGCCTGTGGTGGAAAAGGCCTGAAAGCCTTTTCCTTTATCTTCACAGAAAGACGAGAGAGAAGCATTGTCAGAAACTTCTTTGTGATGATTGCATTCAACTCACAGAGTTGAAGATTCCTTTTGAAACAGCAGTTTCGAAACACTCTTTCTGTGGGATCCGCAAGGGGATATTTGGACCTCTTTGAAGCTTTCGTTGGAAACGGGATAATCTTCACCTAAAAGCTAAACGGAAGCATTCTCAGAAACTTCTTTGGGATGTTTGCATTCACCTCACAGAGTTGAACTTTCCCTTTGATAGCGCAGCTTTGACACACTTTTTCTACAATGTGCAAGTGGCTATTTAGCGGGCTTGGAGGACTGTGTTGGAAAAGGAAATATCTTCTCCTAAAAACGACATAGAAGCATTCTCAGAAACTGCTCTGTGATGATTGCATTCAACTCCCAGAGTTGAACATTCCTTTTGATAGAGCAGTTTGCAAACACTCTTTTTGTAGAATCTGCAAGTGGAGATTTGGACCGCTTTGAGGCCTGTGGTAGTGAAGGAAAGAACTTCATATAAAAACCAGACGGTAGCACTCTCAGAAAATTCTTTGTGACGATGGAGTTTAACTCAGGGAGCTGAACATTCGTTATGATGGAGCAGTTTCCAAACACACGTTTTGTAGAATCTGCAAGGGGATATTTGGACCTCTCTGAGGATTTCGTTGGAAACGGGATCAACTTCCCATAACTGAACGGAAGCAAACTCAGAACATTCTTTGTGATGTTTGTATTCAACTCACAGAGTTGAACCTTCCTTTGATAGTTCAGGTTTGCAACACCCTTGTAGTAGAATCTGAAAGTGTATATTTTGACCACTTTGTAGCCTTCGTTTGAAACATCTATATCTTCACATCAAACCTAGACAGAAGCATTCTCAGAAAGTTTTCTGCGATGACTGCATTCAACTCACAGAGTTGAACAATCCTTCTGATGGAGCAGTTTTGAAACCCTCTTTCTTTGGAATCTGCAAGGGGATATGTGGACCTCTTTGAAGATTTCACTGGAAACGGGATCATCTTCACATAAAAACTAAACTGAAGCATTCTCGGAAACTACTTTGTGATGTTTGTATTCAACTCCCAGAGTTGAACTTTCCTTTTGAAAGAGCAGCTATGAAACACTCTTTTTCGAGAATCTGCAAGTGGACGTTTGGAAGGCTTTGAGGCCTGTGGTGGAAAAGGAAATATCTTCACATAAAAACTAGATAGAAGCATTCTCAGAAACGACTTTGTGAGGATGGCATTCAACTCATGGAGTTGAACAATCCTATTGATAGAGCAGATTGGAATCACTCTTTTTGTAGAATCTGCAAATGGAGATTTGGACTGCTTTGAGGCCTACGGTAGTACAGGAAGGAACTTCATATAAAAGGCAAACGGAAGCATTCTCAGAATATTCTTTGTGATGATGGAGTTTCACTCACAGAGCTGAACATGCCTTTTGATGGAGCAGTTTCCAAATACACTTTTGGTAGAATCTGCAGGTGGATATTTGGAGCTCTCTGAGGATTTCGTTGGAAAAGGGAATAATTTCCCATAACTAAACACAAACACTCTGAGAAAGTTCTTCATGATGAATGCATTTAACTCGCAGAGATGAACCTGCCTTTGAGAGTTCAGGTTCGAAACACTCTTTCTGTATAATCTGCAAGTGGATATTTGGACCACTGGGTGGCCTTCGTTCGAAACGGGTATATGTTCACGTAAAAACTAAAGAGAAGCATTCTCAGAAACTTCTGAGTGATGATTGCATTCAAGTCACACAGTTGAACCCTCCTTTTGATGGAGCAGTTTTGAAACTGTCTTTTTGTAGAATCTGTAAGTGGATACGTGGACCTCTTTGAAGATTTCTTTGGAAACGGGAATATTTCCACAGAAAAACTAAACTGAAGCATTCTCAGAAACCGCTTTGTGATGTTTGTGTTCGAGCCGCAGAGTTTAACATTGCTTTTCATAGAGCAGTTTTGAAATATTCTTTTGGCAGAATCTGCAAGTGGACATTTGGAGCGCTTTCAGGCTTGTGGTGGAAAAGGCCTGAAAGCCTTTTCCTTTATCTTCACAGAAAGACGAGAGAGAAGCATTGTCAGAAACTTCTTTGTGATGATTGCATTCAACTCACAGAGTTGAAGATTCCTTTTGAAACAGCAGTTTCGAAACACTCTTTCTGTGGGATCCGCAAGGGGATATTTGGACCTCTTTGAAGGTTTCGTTGGAAACGGGATAATCTTCACCTAAAAGCTAAACGGAAGCATTCTCAGAAACTTCTTTGGGATGTTTGCATTCACCTCACAGAGTTGAACTTTCCCTTTGATAGCGCAGCTTTGACACACTTTTTCTACAATGTGCAAGTGACTATTTAGCGGGCTTGGAGGACTGTGTTGGAAAAGGAAATATCTTCTCCTAAAAACGACATAGAAGCATTCTCAGAAACTGCTCTGTGATGATTGCATTCAACTCCCAGAGTTGAACATTCCTTTTGATAGAGCAGTTTGCAAACACTCTTTTTGTAGAATCTGCAAGTGGAGATTTGGACCGCTTTGAGGCCTGTGGTAGTAAAGGAAAGAACTTCATATAAAAACTAGACGGTAGCACTCTCAGAAAATTCTTTGTGACGATGGAGTTTAACTCAGAGAGCTGAACATTCGTTATGATGGAGCAGTTTCCAAACACACGTTTTGCAGAATCTGCAAGGGGATATTTGGACCTCTCTGAGGATTTCGTTGGAAACGGGATCAACTTCCCATAACTGAACGGAAGCAAACTCAGAACATTCTTTGTGATGTTTGCATTCATCTCACAGAGTTGAACCTTCCTTTGATAGTTGAGGTTTGCATCACCCTTGTAGTAGAATCTGCAAGTGTATATTTTGACCACTTTGTAGCCTTCGTTTGAAACGTCTATATCTTCACATCAAACCTAGACAGAAGCATTCTCAGAAAGTTTTCTGCGATGACTGCATTCAACTCACAGAGTTGAACAATCCTTTTGATGGAGCAGTTTTGAAACCCTCTTTTTTTGGAATCTGCAAGGGGATATGTGGACCTCTTTGAAGATTTCACTGGAAACGGGATCATCTTCACATAAGAACTAAACAGAAGCATTCTCGGAAACTACTTTGTGATGTTTGTATTCAACTCCCAGAGTTGAACTTTCCTTTTGAAAGAGCAGCTATGAAACACTCTTTTTCGAGAATATGCAAGTGGACGTTTGGAGGGCTTTGAGGCCTGTGGTGGAAAAGGAAATATCTTCACATAAAAACTACATAGAAGCATTCTCAGAAACGACTTTGTGAGGATGGCATTCAACTCATGGACTTGAACAATCCTATTGATAGAGCAGATTGGAATCACTCTTTTTGTAGAATCTGCAAATGGAGATTTGGACTGCTTTGAGGCCTACGGTAGTATAGGAAGGAACTTCATATAAAAGGCAAATGGAAGCATTCTCAGAATATTCTTTGTGATGACGGAGTTTCACTCACAGAGCTGAACATGCCTTTTCATGGAGCAGTTTCCAAATACACTTTTGGTACAATCTGCAGGTGGATATTTGGAGCTCTCTGAGGATTTCGTTGGAAACGGGAATAATTTCCCATAACTAAACACAAACACGCTGAGAAAGTTCTTCATGATGAATGCATTTAACTCGCAGAGATGAACCTGCCTTTGAGAGTTCAGGTTCAAAACACTCTTTCTGTAGAATCTGCAAGTGGATATTTGGACCACTGGCTGGCCTTCATTCGAAACGGGTATATGTTCACGTAAAAACTAAAGAGAAGCGTTCTCAGAAACTTCTGAGTGATGATTGCATTCAAGTCACACAGTTGAACCCTCCTTTTGATTGAGCAGTTTTGAAACTGTCTTTTTGTAGAATCTGTAAGTGGATGCGTGGACCTCTTTGAAGATTTCTTTGGAAACGGGAATATTTCCACAGAAAAACTAAACTGAAGCATTCTCAGAAACTGCTTTGTGATGTTTGTGTTCGAGCCACAGAGTTTAACATTGCTTTTCATAGAGCAGTTTTGAAATATTCTTTTGGCAGAATCTGCAAGTGGACATTTGGAGCGCTTTCAGGCCTGTGGTGGAAAAGGCCTGAAAGCCTTTTCCTTTATCTTCACAGAAAGACGAGAGAGAAGCATTGTCAGAAACTTCTTTGTGATGATTGCATTCAACTCACAGAGTTGAAGATTCCTTTTGAAACAGCAGTTTCGAAACACTCTTTCTGTGGGATCCGCAAGGGGATATTTGGACCTCTTTGAAGATTTCGTTGGAAACGGGATAATCTTCACCTAAAAGCTAAACGGAAGCATTCTCAGAAACTTCTTTGGGATGTTTGCATTCACCTCACAGAGTTGAACTTTCCCTTTGATAGCGCAGCTTTGACACACTTTTTCTACAATGTGCAAGTGGCTATTTAGCGGGCTTGGAGGACTGTGTTGGAAAAGGAAATATCTTCTCCTAAAAACGACATAGAAGCATTCTCAGAAACTGCTCTGTGATGATTGCATTCAACTCCCAGAGTTGAACATTCCTTTTGATAGAGCAGTTTGCAAACACTCTTTTTGTAGAATCTGCAAGTGGAGATTTGGACCGCTTTGACGCCTGTGGTAGTGAAGGAAAGAACTTCATATAAAAACCAGACGGTAGCACTCTCAGAAAATTCTTTGTGACGATGGAGTTTAACTCAGGGAGCTGAACATTCGTTATGATGGAGCAGTTTCCAAACACACGTTTTGTAGAATCTGCAAGGGGATATTTGGACCTCTCTGAGGATTTCGTTGGAAACGGGATCAACTTCCCATAACTGAACGGAAGCAAACTCAGAACATTCTTTGTGATGTTTGTATTCAACTCACAGAGTTGAACCTTCCTTTGATAGTTCAGGTTTGCAACACCCTTGTAGTAGTATCTGCAAGTGTATATTTTGACCACTTTGTAGCCTTCATTTGAAACGTCTATATCTTCACATCAAACCTAGACAGAAGCATTCTCAGAAAGTTTTCTGCGATGACTGCATTCAACTCACAGAGTTGAACAATCCTTCTGATGGAGCAGTTTTGAAACCCTCTTTCTTTGGAATCTGCAAGGGGATATGTGGACCTCTTTGAAGATTTCACTGGAAACGGGATCATCTTCACATAAAAACTAAACAGGAAGCATTCTCGGAAACTACTTTGTGATGTTTGTATTCAACTCCCAGAGTTGAACTTTCCTTTTGAAAGAGCAGCTATAAAACACTCTTTTTCGAGAATCTGCAAGTGGACGTTTGGAGGGCTTTGAGGCCTGTGGTGGAAAAGGAAATATCTTCACATAAAAACTAGATAGAAGCATTCTCAGAAACTACTTTGTGAGGATGGCATTCAACTCATGGAGTTGAACAATCCTATTGATAGAGCAGATTGGAATCACTCTTTTTGTAGAATCTGCAAATGGAGATTTGGACTGCTTTGAGGCCTACAGTAGTACAGGAAGGAACTTCATATAAAAGGCAAACGGAAGCATTCTCTGAATATTCTTTGTGATGATGCAGTTTCACTCACAGAGCTGAACATGCCTTTTGATGGAGCAGTTTCCAAATACACTTTTGGTAGAATCTGCAGGTGGATATTTGGACCTCTCTGAGGATTTCGTTGGAAACGGGAATAATTTCCCATAACTAAACACAAACACTCTGAGAAAGTTCTTCATGATGAATGCATTTAACTCGCAGAGATGAACCTGCCTTTGAGAGTTCAGGTTCGAAACACCCTTTCTGTAGAATCTGCAAGTGGATATTTGGACCACTGGGTGGCCTTCGTTCGAAACGGGTATATGTTCACGTAAAAACTAAAGAGAAGCATTCTCAGAAACTTCTGAGTGATGATTGCATTCAAGTCACACAGTTGAACCCTCCTTTTGATGGAGCAGTTTTGAAACTGTCTTTTTGTAGAATCTGTAAGTGGATACGTGGACCTCTTTGAAGATTTCTTTGGAAACGGGAATATTTCCACAGAAAAACTAAACTGAAACATTCTCAGAAACCGCTTTGTGATGTTTGTGTTCCAGCCACAGAGTTTAACATTGCTTTTCATAGAGCAGTTTTGAAATATTCTTTTCGCAGAATCTGCAAGTGGACATTTGGAGCGCTTTCAGGCCTGTGGTGGAAAAGGCCTGAAAGCCTTTTCCTTTATCTTCACAGAAAGACGAGAGAGAAGCATTGTCAGAAACTTCTTTGTGATGATTGCATTCAACTCACAGAGTTGAAGATTCCTTTTGAAACAGCAGTTTCGAAACACTCTTTCTGTGGGATCCGCAAGGGGATATTTGGACCTCTTTGAAGGTTTCGTTGGAAACGGGATAATCTTCACCTAAAAGCTAAACGGAAGCATTCTCAGAAACTTCTTTGGGATGTTTGCATTCACCTCACAGAGTTGAACTTTCCCTTTGATAGCGCAGCTTTGACACACTTTTTCTACAATGTGCAAGTGGCTATTTAGCGGGCTTGGAGGACTGTGTTGGAAAAGGAAGTATCTTCTCCTAAAAACGACATAGAAGCATTCTCAGAAACTGCTCTGTGATGATTGCATTCAACTCCCAGAGTTGAACATTCCTTTTGATAGAGCAGTTTGCAAACACTCTTTTTGTAGAATCTGCAAGTGGAGATTTGGACCGCTTTGAGGCCTGTGGTAGTGAAGGAAAGAACTTCATATAAAAACCAGACGGTAGCACTCTCAGAAAATTCTTTGTGACGATGGAGTTTAACTCAGGGAGCTGAACATTCGTTATGATGGAGCAGTTTCCAAACACACGTTTTGTAGAATCTGCGAGGGGATATTTGGACCTCTCTGAGGATTTCGTTGGAAACGGGATCAACTTCCCATAACTGAACGGAAGCAAACTCAGAACATTCTTTGTGATGTTTGTATTCAATTCACAGAGTTGAACCTTCCTTTGATAGTTCAGGTTTGCAACACCCTTGTAGTAGAATCTGCAAGTGTATATTTTGACCACTTTGTAGCCTTCGTTTGAAACGTCTATATCTTCACATCAAACCTAGACAGAAGCATTCTCAGAAAGTTTTCTGCGATGACTGCATTCAACTCACAGAGTTGAACAATCCTTCTGATGGAGCAGTTTTGAAACCCTCTTTCTTTGGAATCTGCAAGGGGATATGTGGACCTCTTTGAAGATTTAACTGGAAACGGGATCATCTTCACATAAAAACTAAACAGAAGCATTCTCGGAAACTACTTTGTGATGTTTGTATTCAACTCCCAGAGTTGAACTTTCCTTTTGAAAGAGCAGCTATGAAACACTCTTTTTCGAGAATCTGCAAGTGGACGTTTGGAGGGCTTGGAGGCCTGTGGTGGAAAAGGAAATACCTTCACATAAAAACTAGATAGAAGCATTCTCAGAAACTACTTTGTGAGGATGGCATTCAACTCATGGAGTTGAGCAATCCTATTGATAGAGCAGATTGGAATCACTCTTTTTGTAGAATCTGCAAATGGAGATTTGGACTGCTTTGAGGCCTACGGTCGTATAGGAAGGAACTTCAGATAAAAGGCAAACGGAAGCATTCTCAGAATATTCTTTGTGATGATGGAGTTTCACTCACAGAGCTGAACATGCCTTTTGATGGAGCAGTTTCCAAATACACTTTTGGTAGAATCTGCAGGTGGATATTTGGACCACTCTGAGGATTTCGTTGGAAACGGGAATAATTTCCCATAACTAAACACAAACACTCTGAGAAAGTTCTTCATGATGAATGCATTTAACTCGCAGAGATGAACCTGCCTTTGAGAGTTCAGGTTCGAAACACTCTTTCTGTATAATCTGCAAGTGGATATTTGGACCACTGGGTGGCCTTCGTTCGAAACGGGTATATGTTCACGTAAAAACTAAAGAGAAGCATTCTCAGAAACTTCTGAGTGATGATTGCATTGAAGTCACACAGTTGAACCCTCCTTTTGATGGAGCAGTTTTGAAACTGTCTTTTTGTAGAATCTGTAAGTGGAATACGTGGACCTCTTTGAAGATTTCTTTGGAAACGGGAATATTTCCACAGAAAAACTAAACTGAAGCATTCTCAGAAACTGCTTTGTGATGTTTGTGTTCGAGCCACAGTAGTTTAACATTGCTTTTCATAGAGCAGTTTTGAAATATTCTTTTCGCAGAATCTGCAAGTGGACATTTGGAGCGCTTTCAGGCCTGTGGTGGAAAAGGCCTGAAAGCCTTTTCCTTTATCTTCACAGAAAGACGAGAGAGAAGCATTGTCAGAAACTTCTTTGTGATGATTGCATTCAACTCACAGAGTTGAACATTCCTTTTGAAACAGCAGTTTCGAAACACTCTTTCTGTGGGATCCGCAAGGGGATATTTGGACCTCTTTGAAGGTTTCGTTGGAAACGGGATAATCTTCACCTAAAAGCTAAACGGAAGCATTCTCAGAAACTTCTTTGGGATGTTTGCATTCACCTCACAGAGTTGAACTTTCCCTTTGATAGCGCAGCTTTGACACACTTTTTCTACAATGTGCAAGTGGCTATTTAGCGGGCTTGGAGGACTGTGTTGGAAAAGGAAATATCTTCTCCTAAAAACGACATAGAAGCATTCTCAGAAACTGCTCTGTGATGATTGCATTCAACTCCCAGAGTTGAACATTCCTTTTGATAGAGCAGTTTGCAAACACTCTTTTTGTAGAATCTGCAAGTGGAGATTTGGACCGCATTGAGGCCTGTGGTAGTGAAGGAAAGAACTTCATATAAAAACCAGACGGTAGCACTCTCAGAAAATTCTTTGTGACGATGGAGTTTAACTCAGGGAGCTGGACATTCGTTATGATGGAGCAGTTTCCAAACACACGTTTTGTAGAATCTGCAAGGGGATATTTGGACCTCTCTGAGGATTTCGTTGGAAACGGGATCAACTTCCCATAACTGAACGGAAGCAAACTCAGAACATTCTTTGTGATGTTTGTATTCAACTCACAGAGTTGAACCTTCCTTTGATAGTTCAGGTTTGCAACACCCTTGTAGTAGAATCTGCAAGTGTATATTTTGACCACTTTGTAGCCTTCATTTGAAACGTCTATATCTTCACATCAAACCTAGACAGAAGCATTCTCAGAAAGTTTTCTGCGATGACTGCATTCAACTCACAGAGTTGAACAATCCTTCTGATGGAGCAGTTTTGAAACCCTCTTTCTTTGGAATCTGCAAGGGGATATGTGGACCTCTTTGAAGATTTCACTGGAAACGGGATCATCTTCACATAAAAACTAAACAGAAGCATTCTCGGAAACTACTTTGTGATGTTTGTATTCAACTCCCAGAGTTGAACTTTCCTTTTGAAAGAGCAGCTATGAAACACTCCTTTTCGAGAATCTGCAAGTGGACGTTTGGAGGGCTTTGAGGCCTGTGGTGGAAAAGGAAATATCTTCACATAAAAACTAGATAGAAGCATTCTCAGAAACGACTTTGTGAGGATGGCATTCAACTCATGGAGTTGAACAATCCTATTGATAGAGCAGATTGGAATCACTCTTTTTGTAGAATCTGCAAATGGAGATTTGGACTGCTTTGAGGCCTACGGTCGTATAGGAAGGAACTTCAGATAAAAGGCAAACGGAAGCATTCTCAGAATATTCTTTGTGATGATGGAGTTTCACTCACAGAGCTGAACATGCCTCTTGATGGAGCAGTTTCCAAATACACTTTTGGTAGAATCTGCAGGTGGATATTTGGAGCTCTCTGAGGATTTCGTTGGAAACGGGAATAATTTCCCATAACTAAACACAAACACTCTGAGAAAGTTCTTCATGATGAATGCATTTAACTCGCAGAGATGAACCTGTCTTTGAGAGTTCAGGTTCGAAACACTCTTTCTGTAGAATCTGCAAGTGGATATTTGGACCACTGGCTGGCCTTCGTTCGAAACGGGTATATGTTCACGTAAAAACTAAAGAGAAGCATTCTCAGAAACTTCTGAGTGATGATTGCATTCAAGTCACACAGTTGAACCCTCCTTTTGATGGAGCAGTTTTGAAACTGTCTTTTTGCAGAATCTGTAAGTGGATACGTGGACCTCTTTGAAGATTTCTTTGGAAACGGGAATATTTCCACAGAAAAACTAAACTGAAGCATTCTCAGAAACTGCTTTGTGATGTTTGTGTTCGAGCCACAGAGTTTAACATTGCTTTTCATAGAGCAGTTTTGAAATATTCTTTTGGCAGAATCTGCAAGTGGACATTTGGAGCGCTTTCAGGCCTGTGGTGGAAAAGGCCTGAAAGCCTTTTCCTTTATCTTCACAGAAAGACGAGAGAGAAAGCATTGTCAGAAACTTCTTTGTGATGATTGCATTCAACTCACAGTAGTTGAAGATTCCTTTTGAAACAGCAGTTTCGAAACACTCTTTCTGTGGGATCCGCAAGGGGATATTTGGACCTCTTTGAAGGTTTCGTTGGAAACGGGATAATCTTCACCTAAAAGCTAAACGGAAGCATTCTCAGAAACTTCTTTGGGATGTTTGCATTCACCTCACAGAGTTGAACTTTCCCTTTGATAGCGCAGCTTCGACACACTTTTTCTACAATGTGCAAGTGGATATTTAGCGGGCTTGGAGGACTGTGTTGGAAAAGGAAATATCTTCTCCTAAAAACGACATAGAAGCATTCTCAGAAACTGCTCTGTGATGATTGCATTCAACTCCCAGAGTTGAACATTCCTTTTGATAGAGCAATTTGCAAACACTCTTTTTGTAGAATCTGCAAGTGGAGATTTGGAACGCTTTGAGGCCTGTGGTAGTAAAGGAAAGAACTTCATATAAAAAGTAGACGGTAGCAGTCTCAGAAAATTGTTTGTGACGATGGAGTTTAACTCAGAGAGCTGAACATTCGTTATGATGGAGCAGTTTCCAAACACACGTTTTGTAGAATCTGCAAGGGGATATTTGGACCTCTCTGAGGATTTCGTTGGAAACGGGATCAACTTCCCATAACTGAACGGAAGCAAACTCAGAACATTCTTTGTGATGTTTGCATTCATCTCACAGAGTTGAACCTTCCTTTGATAGTTGAGGTTTGCAACACCCTTGTAGTAGAATCTGCAAGTGTATATTTTGACCACTTTGTAGCCTTCGTTTGAAACGTCTATATCTTCACATCAAACCTAGACAGAAGCATTCTCAGAAAGTTTTCTGCGATGACTGCATTCAACTCACAGAGTTGAACAATCCTTTTGATGGAGCAGTTTTGAAACCCTCTTTCTTTGGAATCTGCAAGGGGACATGTGGACCTCTTTGAAGATTTCACTGGAAACGGGATCATCTTCACATAAGAACTAACCAGAAGCATTCTCGGAAACTACTTTGTGATGTTTGTATTCAACTCCCAGAGTTGAACTTTCCTTTTGAAAGAGCAGCTATGAAACACTCTTTTTCGAGAATCTGCAAGTGGACGTTTGGAGGGCTTTGAGGCCTGTGGTGGAAAAGGAAATATCTTCACTTAAAAACTACATAGAAGCATTCTCAGAAACGACTTTGTGAGGATGGCATTCAACTCATGGAGTTGAACAGTCCTATTGATAGAGGAGATTGGAATCACTATTTTTGTAGAATCTGCAAATGGAGATTTGGACTGCTTTGAGGCCTACGGTAGTATAGGAAGGAACTTCATATAAAAGGCAAACGGAAGCATTCTCAGAATATTCTTTGTGATGATGGAGTTTCACTCACAGAGCTGAACATGCCTTTTGATGGAGCAGTTTCCAAATACACTTTTGGTAGAATCTGCAGGTGGATATTTGGACCTCTCTGAGGATTTCGTTGGAAACGGGAATAATTTCCCATAACTAAACACAAACACTCTGAGAAAGTTCTTCATGATGAATGCATTTAACTCGCAGAGATGAACCTGCCTTTGAGAGTTCATGTTCGAAACACTCTTTCTGGAGAATCTGCAAGTGGATATTTGGACCACTGGCTGGCCTTCGTTCGAAACGGGTATATGTTCACGTAAAAACTAAAGAGAAGCATTCTCAGAAACTTCTGAGTGATGATTGCATTCAAGTCACACAGTTGAACCCTCCTTTTGATGGAGCAGTTTTGAAACTGTCTTTTTGTAGAATCTGTAAGTGGATACGTGGACCTCTTTGAAGATTTCTTTGGAAACGGGAATATTTCCACAGAAAAACTAAACTGAAGCATTCTCAGAAACTGCTTTGTGATGTTTGTGTTCGAGCCACAGAGTTTAACATTGCTTTTCATAGAGCAGTTTTGAAATATTCTTTTGGCAGAATCTGCAAGTGGACATTTGGAGCGCTTTCAGGCCTGTGGTGGAAAAGGCCTGAAAGCCTTTTCCTTTATTTTCACAGAAAGACGAGAGAGAAGCATTGTCAGAAACTTCTTTGTGATGATTGCATTCAACTCACAGAGTTGAAGATTCCTTTTGAAACAGCAGTTTCGAAACACTCTTTCTGTGGGATCCGCAAGGGGATATTTGGACCTCTTTGAAGGTTTCGTTGGAAACGGGATAATCTTCACCTAAAAGCTAAACGGAAGCATTCTCAGAAACTTCTTTGGGATGTTTGCATTCACCTCACAGAGTTGAACTTTCCCTTTGATAGCGCAGCTTTGACACACTTTTTCTACAATGTGCAAGTGGCTATTTAGCGGGCTTGGAGGACTGTGTTGGAAAAGGAAATATCTTCTCCTAAAAACGACATAGAAGCATTCTCAGAAACTGCTCTGTGATGATTGCATTCAACTCCCAGAGTTGAACATTCCTTTTGATACAGCAGTTTGCAAACACTCTTTTTGTAGAATCTGCAAGTGGAGATTTGGACCGCTTTGAGGCCTGTGGTAGTGAAGGAAAGAACTTCATATAAAAACCAGACGGTAGCACTCTCAGAAAATTCTTTGTGACGATGGAGTTTAACTCAGGGAGCTGAACATTCGTTATGATGGAGCAGTTTCCAAACACACGTTTTGTAGAATCTGCGAGGGGATATTTGGACCTCTCTGAGGATTTCGTTGGAAACGGGATCAACTTCCCATAACTGAACGGAAGCAAACTCAGAACATTCTTTGTGATGTTTGTATTCAACTCACAGAGTTGAACCTTCCTTTGATAGTTCAGGTTTGCAACACCCTTGTAGTAGAATCTGCAAGTGTATATTTTGACCACTTTGTAGCCTTCGTTTGAAACGTCTATATCTTCACATCAAACCTAGACAGAAGCATTCTCAGAAAGTTTTCTGCGATGACTGCATTCAACTCACAGAGTTGAACAATCCTTCTGATGGAGCAGTTTTGAAACCCTCTTTCTTTGGAATCTGCAAGGGGATATGTGGACCTCTTTGAAGATTTCACTGGAAACCGGATCATCTTCACATAAAAACTAAACAGAAGCATTCTCGGAAACTACTTTGTGATGTTTGTATTCAACTCCCAGAGTTGAACTTTCCTTTTGAAAGAGCAGCTATGAAACACTCTTTTTCGAGAATCTGCAAGTGGACGTTTGGAGGGCTTTGAGGCCTGTGGTGGAAAAGGAAATATCTTCACATAAAAACTAGATAGAAGCATTCTCAGAAACTACTTTGTGAGGATGGCATTCAACTCATGGAGTTGAACAGTCCTATTGATAGAGCAGATTGGAATCACTCTTTTTGTAGAATCTGCAAATGGAGATTTGGACTGCTTTGAGGCCTACGGTAGTATAGGAAGGAACTTCATATAAAAGGCGAACGGAAGCATTCTCAGAATATTCTTTGTGATGATGGAGTTTCACTCACAGAGCTGAACATGCCTTTTGATGGAGCAGTTTCCAAATACACTTTTGGTAGAATCTGCAGGTGGATATTTGGAGCTCTCTGAGGACTTCGTTGGAAACGGGAATAATTTCCCATAACTAAACACAAACACTCTGAGAAAGTTCTTCATGATGAATGCATTTAACTCGCAGAGATGAACCTGCCTTTGAGAGTTCAGGTTCGAAACACTCTTTCTGTATAATCTGCAAGTGGATATTTGGACCACTGGGTGGCCTTCGTTCGAAACGGGTATATGTTCACGTAAAAACTAAAGAGAAGCATTCTCAGAAACTGCTTTGTGATGTTTGTGTTCGAGCCACAGAGTTTAACATTGCTTTTCATAGAGCAGTTTTGAAATATTCTTTTCGCAGAATCTGCAAGTGGACATTTGGAGCGCTTTCAGGCCTGTGGTGGCAAAGGCCTGAAAGCCTTTTCCTTTATCTTCACAGAAAGACGAGAGAGAAGCATTGTCAGAAACTTCTTTGTGATGATTGCATTCAACTCACAGAGTTGAAGATTTCTTTTGAAACAGCAGTTTCGAAACACTCTTTCTGTGGGATCCGCAAGGGGATATTTGGACCTCTTTGAAGGTTTCGTTGGAAACGGGATAATCTTCACCTAAAAGCTAAACGGAAGCATTCTCAGAAACTTCTTTGGGATGTTTGCATTCACCTCACAGAGTTGAACTTTCCCTTTGATAGCGCAGCTTTGACACACTTTTTCTACAATGTGCAAGTGGCTATTTAGCGGGCTTGGAGGACTGTGTTGGAAAAGGAAATATCTTCTCCTAAAAACGACATAGAAGCATTCTCAGAAACTGCTCTGTGATGATTGCATTCAACTCCCAGAGTTGAACATTCCTTTTGATAGAGCAGTTTGCAAACACTCTTTTTGTAGAATCTGGAAGTGGAGATTTGGACCGCTTTGAGGCCTGTGATAGTGAAGGAAAGAGCTTCATATAAAAACCAGACGGTAGCACTCTCAGAAAATTTTTTGTGACGATGGAGTTTAACTCAGAGAGCTGAACATTCGTTATGATGGAGCAGTTTCCAAACACACGTTTTGTAGAATCTGCAAGGGGATATTTGGACCTCTCTGAGGATTTCGTTGGAAACGGGATCAACTTCCCATAACTGAACGGAAGCAAACTCAGAACATTCTTTGTGATGTTTGTATTCAACTCACAGAGTTGAACCTTCCTTTGATAGTTCAGGTTTGCATCACCCTTGTAGTAGAATCTGCAAGTGTATATTTTGACCACTTTGTAGCCTTCGTTTGAAACGTCTATATCTTCACATCAAACCGAGACAGAAGCATTCTCAGAAAGTTTTCTGCGATGACTGCATTCAACTCACAGAGTTGAACAATCCTTTTGATGGAGCAGTTTTGAAACCCTCTTTCTTTGGAATCTGCAAGGGGATATGTGGACCTCTTTGAAGATTTCACTGGAAATGGGATCATCTTCACATAAGAACTAAACAGAAGCATTCTCGGAAACTACTTTGTGATGTTTGTATTCAGCTCCCAGAGTTGAACTTTCCTTTTGAAAGAGCAGCTATGAAACACTCTTTTTCGAGAATCTGCAAGTGGACGTTTGGAGGGCTTTGAGGCCTGTGGTGGAAAAGGAAATATCTTCACATAAAAACTAGATAGAAGCATTCTCAGAAACTACTTTGTGAGGATGGCATTCAACTCATGGAGTTGAACAGTCCTATTGATAGAGCAGATTGGAATCACTCTTTTTGTAGAATCTGCAAATGGAGATTTGGACTGCTTTGAGGCCTACGGTAGTATAGGAAGGAACTTCATATAAAAGGCAAATGGAAGCATTCTCAGAATATTCTTTGTGATGATGGAGTTTCACTCACAGAGCTGAACATGCCTTTTGATGGAGCAGTTTCCAAATACACTTTTGGTAGAATCTGCAGGTGGATATTTGGAGCTCTCTGAGGATTTCGTTGGAAACGGGAATAATTTCCCATAACTAAACACAAACACGCTGAGAAAGTTCTTCATGATGAATGCATTTAACTCGCAGAGATGAACCTGCCTTTGAGAGTTCAGGTTCGAAACACTCTTTCTGTAGAATCTGCAAGTGGATATTTGGACCACTGGCTGGCCTTCGTTCGAAACGGGTATATGTTCACGTAAAAACTAAAGAGAAGCGTTCTCATAAACTTCTGAGTGATGATTGCATTCAAGTCACACAGTTGAACCCTCCTTTTGATTGAGCAGTTTTGAAACTGTCTTTTTGTAGAATCTGTAAGTGGATGCGTGGACCTCTTTGAAGATTTCTTTGGAAACGGGAATATTTCCACAGAAAAACTAAACTGAAGCATTCTCAGAAACTGCTTTGTGATGTTTGTGTTCGAGCCGCAGAGTTTAACATTGCTTTTCATAGAGCAGTTTTGAAATATTCTTTTGGCAGAATCTGCAAGTGGACATTTGGAGCGCTTTCAGGCCTGTGGTGGAAAAGGCCTGAAAGCCTTTTCCTTTATCTTCACAGAAAGACGAGAGAGAAGCATTGTCAGAAACTTCTTTGTGATGATTGCATTCAACTCACAGAGTTGAAGATTCCTTTTGAAACAGCAGTTTCGAAACACTCTTTCTGTGGGATCCGCAAGGGGATATTTGGAACTCTTTGAAGATTTCGTTGGAAACGGGATAATCTTCACCTAAAAGCTAAACGGAAGCACTCTCAGAAACTTCTTTGGGATGTTTGCATTCACCTCTCAGAGTTGAACTTTCCCTTTGATAGCGCAGCTTTGACACACTTTTTCTACAATGTGCAAGTGGCTATTTAGCGGACTTGGAGGACTGTGTTGGAAAAGGAAATATCTTCTCCTAAAAACGACATAGAAGCATTCTCAGAAACTGCTCTGTGATGATTGCATTCAACTCCCAGAGTTGAACATTCCTTTTGATAGAGCAGTTTGCAAACACTCTTTTTGTAGAATCTGCAAGTGGAGATTTTGACCGCTTTGAGGCCTGGGGTAGTAAAGGAAAGAGCTTCATATAAAAACCAGACGGTAGCACTCTCAGAAAATTCTTTGTGACGATGGAGTTTAACTCAGGGAGCTGAACATTCGTTATGATGGAGCAGTTTCCAAAAACACGTTTTGTAGAATCTGCAAGGGGATATTTGGACCTGTCTGAGGATTTCGTTGGAAACGGGATCAACTTCCCATAACTGAACGGAAGCAAACTCAGAACATTCTTTGTGATGTTTGTATTCAACTCACAGAGTTGAACCTTCCTTTGATAGTTCAGGTTTGCAACACCCTTGTAGTAGTATCTGCAAGTGTATATTTTGACCACTTTGTAGCCTTCGTTTGAAAAGTCTATATCTTCACATCAAACCTAGACAGAAGCATTCTCAGAAAGTTTTCTGCGATGACTGCATTCAACTCACAGAGTTGAACAATCCTATTGATGGAGCAGTTTTGAAACCCTCTTTCTTTGGAATCTGCAAGGGGATATGTGGACCTCTTTGAAGATTTCACTGGAAACGGGATCATCTTCACATAAAAACTAAACAGAAGCATTCTCGGAAACTACTTTGTGATGTTTGTATTCAACTCCCAGAGTTGAACTTTCCTTTTGAAAGAGCAGCTATGAAACACTCTTTTTCGAGAATCTGCAAGTGGACGTTTGGAGGGCTTTGAGGCCTGTGGTGGAAAAGGAAATATCTTCACATAAAAACTAGATAGAAGCATTCTCAGAAACGACTTTGTGAGGATGGCATTCAACTCATGGAGTTGAACAATCCTATTGATAGAGCAGATTGGAATCACTCTTTTTGTAGAATCTGCAAATGGAGATTTGCACTGCTTTGAGGCCTACGGTCGTATAGGAAGGAACTTCATATAAAAGGCAAACGGAAGCATTCTCAGAATATTCTTTGTGATGATGGAGTTTCACTCACAGAGCTGAACATGCCTGTTGATGGAGCAGTTTCCAAATACACTTTTGGTAGAATCTGCAGGTGGACATTTGGACCTCTCTGAGGATTTCGTTGGGAACGGGAATAATTTCCCATAACTAAACACAAACACGCTGAGAAAGTTCTTCATGATGAATGCATTTAACTCGCAGAGATGAACCTGCCTTTGAGAGTTCAGGTTCGAAACACTCTTTCTGTAGAATCTGCAAGTGGGTATTTGGACCACTGGGTGGCCTTCGTTCGAAACGGGTATATGTTCACGTAAAAACTAAAGAGAAGCATTCTCAGAAACTTCTGAGTGATGATTGCATTCAAGTCACACAGTTGAACCCTCCTTTTGATTGAGCAGTTTTGAAACTGTCTTTTTGTAGAATCTGTAAGTGGATACGTGGACCTCTTTGAAGATTTCTTTGGAAACGGGAATATTTCCACAGAAAAACTAAACTGAAGCATTCTCAGAGACCGCTTTGTGATGTTTGTGTTCCAGCCACAGAGTTTAACATTGCTTTTCATAGAGCAGTTTTGAAATATTCTTTTGGCAGAATCTGCAAGTGGACATTTGGAGCGCTTTCAGGCCTGTGGTGGCAAAGGCCTGAACGCCTTTTCCTTTATGTTCACAGAAAGACGAGAGAGAAGCATTGTCAGAAACTTCTTTGTGATGATTGCATTCAACTCACAGAGTTGAAGATTCCTTTTGAAACAGCAGTTTCGAAACACTCTTTCTGTGGGATCCGCAAGGGGATATTTGGACCTCTTTGAAGCTTTCGTTGGAAACGGGATAATCTTCACCTAAAAGCTAAACGGAAGCATTCTCAGAAACTTCTTTGGGATGTTTGCATTCACCTCACAGAGTTGAACTTTCCCTTTGATAGCGCAGCTTTGACACACTTTTTCTACAATGTGCAAGTGGCTATTTAGCGGGCTTGGAGGACTGTGTTGGAAAAGGAAATATCTTCTCCTAAAAACGACATAGAAGCATTCTCAGAAACTGCTCTGTGATGATTGCATTCAACTCCCAGAGTTGAACATTCCTTTTGATAGAGCAGTTTGCAAACACTCTTTTTGTAGAATCTGCAAGTGGAGATTTGGACCGCTTTCAGGCCTGTGGTAGTGAAGGAAAGAACTTCATATAAAAACCAGACGGTAGCACTCTCAGAAAATTCTTTGTGACGATGGAGTTTAACTCAGGGAGCTGAACATTCGTTATGATGGAGCAGTTTCCAAACACACGTTTTGTAGAATCTGCGAGGGGATATTTGGACCTCTCTGAGGATTTCGTTGGAAACGGGATCAACTTCCCATAACTGAACGGAAGCAAACTCAGAACATTCTTTGTGATGTTTGTATTCAACTCACAGAGTTGAACCATCCTTTGATAGTTCAGGTTTGTAACACCCTTGTAGTAGAATCTGCAAGTGTATATTTTGACCACTTTGTAGCCTTCGTTTGAAACGTCTATATCTTCACATCAAACCTAGACAGAAGCATTCTCAGAAAGTTTTCTGCGATGACTGCATTCAACTCACAGAGTTGAACAATCCTTCTGATGGAGCAGTTTTGAAACCCTCTTTCTTTGGAATCTGCAAGGGGATATGTGGACCTCTTTGAAGATTTCACTGGAAACGGGATCATCTTCACATAAAAACTAAACAGAAGCATTCTCGGAAACTACTTTGGGATGTTTGTATTCAACTCCCAGAGTTGAACTTTCCTTTTGAAAGAGCAGCTATGAAACACTCTTTTTCGAGAATCTGCAAGTGGACGTTTGGAGGGCTTTGAGGCCTGTGGTGGAAAAGGAAATATCTTCACATAAAAACTAGATAGAAGCATTCTCAGAAACTACTTTGTGAGGATGGCATTCAACTCATGGAGTTGAACAATCCTATTGATAGAGCAGATTGGAATCACTCTTTTTGTAGAATCTGCAAATGGAGATTTGGACTGCTTTGAGGCCTATGGTAGTATAGGAAGGAACTTCATATAAAAGGCAAACGGAAGCATTCTCAGAATATTCTTTGTGATGATGGAGTTTCACTCACAGAGCTGAACATGCCTTTTGATGGAGCAGTTTCCAAATACACTTTTGGTAGAATCTGCAGGTGGATATTTGGAGCTCTCTGAGGATTTCGTTGGAAACGGGAATAATTTCCCATAACTAAACACAAACACTCTGAGAAAGTTCTTCATGATGAATGCATTTAACTCGCAGAGATGAACCTGCCTTTGAGAGTTCAGGTTCGAAACACACTTTCTGTAGAATCTGCAAGTGGATATTTGGACCACTGGGTGGCCTTCTTTCGAAACGGGTATATGTTCACGTAAAAACTAAAGAGAAGCATTCTCAGAAACTTCTGAGTGATGATTGCATTCAAGTCACACAGTTGAACCCTCCTTTTGATGGAGCAGTTTTGAAACTGTCTTTTTGTAGAATCTGTAAGTGGATACGTGGACCTCTTTGAAGATTTCTTTGGAAACGGGAATATTTCCACAGAAAAACTAAACTGAAGCATTCTCAGAAACTGCTTTGTGATGTTTGTGTTCGAGCCACAGAGTTTAACATTGCTTTTCATAGAGCAGTTTTGAAATATTCTTTTGGCAGAATCTGCAAGTGGACATTTGGAGCGCTTTCAGGCCTGTGGTGGAAAAGGCCTGAAAGCCTTTTCCTTTATCTTCACAGAAAGACGAGAGAGAAGCATTGTCAGAAACTTCTTTGTGATGATTGCATTCAACTCACAGAGTTGAAGATTCCTTTTGAAACAGCAGTTTCGAAACACTCTTTCTGTGGGATCCGCAAGGGGATATTTGGACCTCTTTGAAGGTTTCGTTGGAAACGGGATAATCTTCACCTAAAAGCT